>NC_000003.12:122796483-123099513 GCF_000001405.40 Homo sapiens | reverse complement strand
CTAAGGATTCTCTCCTCTCCCCATCCCCTGCACTCTCTCTCTCCCTGAGGGGTGAGTGGGGAGGAGGCTTCCTGTCCCATCTGAGCACACTTCTGGCACACACCAAAGGGCCACTGGCTCCAGAAACATGTGCTCCGTGAAGCCAAGGGCTTGGTTTTGTGCACAGCTATCTCCCCAGTGGTACAACAGCAGCTGGCACACAGTAGGCACTCTATAAATCACCTGACTGAATGGCTGAATGGCTGAAATGAATGATACTGTCTTACCGCTGCTGGGATGAGGCTCTGCATTTCTGGCTTTCTGGGATCTCTGGGCTCTGTCTATTGAGCTCCAGGAATCCTGCCAGGTGACAATTCCTGAAATTCCTGACAATGTTCTCTCAGCACTGCTCCCCTCCTTCTCATAGTTGTGTCTCTCAAAATGTATAAGTGTGAGTAGTGTGTGTGTGTGTGTGTGCGCAAGCATGTGTGCACACACTAATTGTGCAGTGCAGACAATGAATATCAGAAGAGTTCAAGTATGGGAGAAAATTACCTAAGCTCAGAGACTTAAAAGGATCTGAGTTGAGAGATTAAGTACAATTAATTGATCTACTGCCTACCTCCCTCCCCCAGCCAATGACTGAGGTTCTAGGGGAGAAAGGAGACAAAGCAGTGAGCAGGAAAACGAGATGCTTTGCTCGAATTGAGGGAATGGAGAATGCACCATGGGTCATGGAGAAAGGGCTGGCAGTGCAAAGACCCTCACCTGACTCCCCGGCCCCTGTCCTGCAAGAACCAGCCATCCCTCTGCCCATTTACTCACCACTGTTCCAAGGAATGAGGCATCAAGGCCACTGATCTGCTCCAGCCTATCCCTCCCCACCTCACTTGGCTCTCTTCCATGGAGAATGTGGAAGGAAAGATTGCAGATGCCTGTACACACTTCCCTCCCCACCCCACACCCCCACACCCAGACAGACACATGGGCATGGGTGTTTTCATCTGAATCTGCCATGGGACAGCTGGCTGCTAGTCGGGAGTGGCTGCTGCAGGTACACAGTGCTATGTTTATTGGATTTTCCTGTGCAGTAATTACTATCCAAGAGACTCGAGACACACTCCTGGGAGTCAGGCCCAGGGATCAAAGTGGGGATGAGAGCAGGAAGAAAGAGAAAAAACAAGGTCTGGGAGACGGCGGGGTCGGAGGGTGGGGGTCTGAGGTCTTTCACAAGTCCAGCCTAAGTACCACAGCCCATTAGAATGACAGCTTCAACATCTGGCTCTGCCATTAGCGACCTCTGGCGGGACCCTTAGTTTCCTGAGCTGCAAAATGCCGGAGTTATCCACATAAGCTGAATGGAGCTTGATTTCTCTACGGGGTCAAGTCAGACTAAATAAAGCATGGAGACAGGCTGCCTTATATCCTGACACATGAACCAGGAGCCAGAACCTGGGGCAAAAGATGGAGACAAAAAAACCTCCAAACCCCTGTCATTTCTCTCCTCGCCTCCCAACCAGATCCTCAGTCAGCCACAGTTGGGGTTCTCATGTCCACGGGAGACCACGCTCAGCCCCTCCTGGTGGGGTAGAAAGAAGACTACACTGAAGACCAGAAGGAAGGCTGATGCCTGCCTTAACATTAACTTTGTGCCCACGACTACCCCAGCCTCTCTAGTTCCATTTCCCCATCAAAGAAGGGATAACTCTCTTCCTCCCACCAGCCCTGGTCTAACATGGCAAGCTTCTGGCCAGGTGGACCTGTGATGCCCTGGGGACAGGTAGGAGAAGAAACGTAGAAAGTGCCCTCACTTCAAGGACATGAAGAAAATGGAGGGGGAGGGGGCGGGGGCGAGTGCTGAGCAAGAAATACTGAGTGACTGCCTGATGCCAAGTACCAAGGATGATGTGAAAGAATGTGGCTAGAGGATACAAGGCAGGAGACAATGAGAGAGAAGTCCTGGAAGAGCTGAACCTTGAACTTGGACAGGTCGTGGTGGTCACGTAGCACTCTCTGAAGGAAGGATTCCCTACAACAGGGCTCCTCCCTGAGTTGGCTGTTTCCCTTGGTACGTGCCTCAAGAAGGTACATCACAAGGTCTGGATTACACAGTACAGTTAGTAAGAGTGGCGGGAAAAAGAGAGAGGAACATGGCTTCTCTGCAGACATGTAAGGTGCCTCCCCTCCGCTGCCCTCCCAGCCCAGCAATTCTAAGTCTCTGCTCCTCAAGGGGATGTGTCACTCCAACAAGTGCATGGTGGTGTGCTGGAAGGTATCTGAAGCCACAAGATAAACACGACAGTTCTTCTGGGAGTCTGTTTTACCCCCTGGTAAGTAATGTTGAACATGCTTAGGAGCAAATGCTAAATTCAAATAGTTTTTAGGAAAAAACATAAGTCTTTAAAATATGTTATGCCTGCTCTGGCAGGCCCCCAGTCTTGCATCTGGGAAGCTGTGACTGCTCCAGAGAAATCAAGCAGATGGGGAGGAGAGCAGGAAAGAAAGCAGATGTGGTTAAGCAATGACCTTAAGCCCCGAGGAAAAGAAAGTAGCAAGCACCTGATAGGACAGCCTTGCCCCCTGTGAGACGCAGCCTCGGGAATTAGCAAACCAGGCACAGCTCCATGCTGGCTCCAGCTCAGCTTCCCAGACAGCAGCACTCCACGCCAAGCCCGAGCCCCAGCGCCCAGCTGGCAGGGCACGAGGGGAATACCAACTCCCGCACACACAACCCGCTTAACAGCCGGACAACCATCACCAGCCAGACTGAGCGTGGCTGTTGAGGTCTGAGCCAAGAGTGGAGTGAGGGGGAAGGAAAGCTGACAAAACCCTAGACAGAAGTCAGATGCCCTACAGACACCCCAGAGCAACAAGTTACAGGGCCTGGACCGGGGAGAAAACCAGCAGAGAAGTGTTTGTGTGTTCCTATAGGTGCACATAAAGGAATAGGGAGGAAGAGTCAGAAAAGCAAAAAATTTTTTTAAAAAAAGGAAAATATATATCCATATAGAAAGGAGAAAGGGGAAAAGAGGCCAAAAGAAGGCCAGGCCAGGCACGGTGGCGCATGCCTGTAATCCCAGGACTTTGGGAGGCCAAGGCAGGTGAATTGCTTGAGCCCAGGAGTCCAAGACCAGCCGGGGCAACATGGCAAAACCTGGTCTCTATAAAAAAAATACAAAACTTAGCTGAGCGTGGTGGTACGCGCCTACTGGGGAGGCTGAGCTGGGAGGATGGCTTCAGCCCGGGAGGTCAAGTCTGCAATGAACCGAGATTGTGACACTGCACTGCAGCCTGGGCAACAGAGTGAGACCTCATCTCAAAAACAAAAAGGGCCATGCAATGGGGCGGTGCAGGGGGAGTCCTGGACTCAGGATTGGGAAAAGGGAATAGAAACCTAATAAGGGGAGAGAAAAGAAGGAGACAGGAGAGAACCTCAGAGAGAAGGATAGGCACCCTTCCAAAATGGGGAATGGGGAGGGAGGGGCACAAAAAGACCCCCCTGAAAGACTAGAAGGCACACGCCCACAGCCACGCTTATAACACACACACCAAGCCTGGCAGCTTCCAGCATTTTCTGAACCAGGCTATTTAGGGATGAGAGCAACTTGGAAGACTCAACTCCACATTTCCCAGAAGATTCAATTGAAGCCCAGAGAAGGGCAGTGACTTGCCAAAGGCCCCACAGCTATTTGATGTCAGAGCCTGGACTCAAAGCTGGGTCTTCTGACATTTAGTCCTACAAATTCCACTGCACTGCACCCTGTACTTTTTTTTTTTTTTTTTTTGAGACAGAGTTTTGCTCTTGTAGCCCAAGCTGGAGTGCGATGGCGTGATCTCGGCTCACTGCAACCTCCACCTCCTGGGTTCAAGTGATTCTCCTGCCTCAGCCTCCCAAGTAGCTGTGATTACAGGTATGCACCACCACACTCAGCTAATTTTGTATTTTTAGTAGAGATGGGGTTTCTCCATGTTGGTTAGGCTGGTCTTGAACTCCCGACCTCAGGTAATCCGCCTGCCTTGGCTTCCCAAAGTGCTGGGATTATAGGTGTGAGCCACTGTGCCCAGCCTGCACCCTGTACTTCTTAAGGGTCAGAGCAAAACACCCATGGCCTGGGGCTCACTCCCATGCCCAAAACCTTCTTCAGGTTCATCCTTACAAGAACCAAGGGATCCTCACCCAGTAAACAGTTGCTGAGTGAACAAGCATACCACTTCTCCCCCTCCAGCTTTCTCCTGAACAAACTTGTCTAGATGAAAAACAACACTAGGAGAATGGTGTCTCACATTTAAATTGTATTTCCTATTTTATAAAGAACTTTCATTTACCCGATCCTTATCACAGACCTGGAAAGAAGGCAGAACGCATATCGCTGTCCCATTTCACAGCTGAGGAAACAGAGTCAGAGTGACCGACTTGCCCGGTGTCACAGGGCTAGTGAGCAGCGCAGCTAACTAACTAGTTAGCAGTCAGCCCGGGCCCCCTCCTAAGCCCAAGGCTTTCTCCCTTATTCCACACACCTGCAAAGACACCTCAACACTGGAGCAGCTTCTTCTCTCACCCCAGATGCTCCCTGTTCCCCTCACCTGCCTTTTAAAGGGAAAAGCAGGGTGGCCTGTGCACTCCTGACCTTCCTGGTCACCCCAACCCCAAGCCCTGTCCCCATCCTAGCCACCAACCCTTCGTGGGCAGGGAAGGAAGTAGAGCTGGAAAGGATGAGAGATGGGTGCCTCAGCAGGGCCCATTTGAGGGAGGCAAGCTCTGGCTGGCTACCTGCTGTTTCACAGTGACAAGGATAAAGAAGGTAGCATGGCCCCGTGCCACCTACTCGTTCCTCGGCAGACAGCACCAGAAAGCAAAGTTCCCAGCACCACTTCTGCCCATCCCTGGGTGTGTCTCATTCACAGACCCACAGACACGGACTGGACACACTTAGGAAAACTGCGAGAGCTGTCAACGCAGGGCTCTGTGGAGCTGACACGGGGGCTCCCCATGCCCTGATGATTACAGGCAAGTTTAGAAGTCTAGGAGCAGGAGTGAATGAACTGGAGGGCAGGAGCTGGGTTCTTGGAGATCTCCTTTTCTAACAGTGGTTCGTGACAGCTGCCGCCTAGAGTGGCCTACATGGGCCACAGCCCAGAGTTCTGAACCTTGGGCTACTCCAGAAAGATTGCACCCTGACTCTAATTTCAAACTCACACCCAGATATTCCTGAGTCCAACTTAATCTACTTTGGCTCCATAATTCACCTACTTGTCCACACTATTTTAAAAGCTATCTAACATTTCAGTTTCTATTTCCTCTTACAGGAATAAATTCAACACAGCGAGGCAACTACATGGAATAGTCCATCCTTCTGTCTTAAGGTTAACTCTTTCAAGCTCCAAGGTGCTTCCCTGCCCCAGTTTTAATTTGAGCACATCGAAATTCACAGGATATTCTCATTGGCACTTTTATTGACTCTAGACATCATGTTTCCAAACTTGAGTCCTGAAGTTGAATCTCCATAGTCTGTCTTCAGCCACTACTCCTGACCCCATTTCACTCAGGCACCCTGCGCTGCATGTTTTCCAGGCCGCTCAGGGACAGCAGCAGGCCTTTCACCTCCACAGGCAGTTCTGGGGGCCCACTCCATAGGTGGCTGCCTGCAGGGAAAGCCAGGGCACTGTGAGCGCGTGGTATTGTGCTCCGAGGTCTTTGCCACCAAATGTGAACTCGACCGCCTCTGTGAAGCTTTTCTCAACCTTTCCAGGAAGAATGGAGGGGCTTTCCCTCCATGCATATAGTCTGTGTTTGTGGCACTGTTCACCTGACATTGTAATCGCTGGGCTAAGTGTCTGCCTTCTCCTCACACACTGAGCTCCTTGAGGATGCAGTTATCCATCTGCGTATTCTCAAAGCACATAGTAAATGCCCAGTAATGTCTGTTACATGGACCCAGGTGGAGACAACAACTAAGTCAAAGCTCCTCTGCCCATTTCTGCCACCTACAAGCCTCATAAGCACTCCCTACAATAAGCCTCCATCAGCTTGGCAGAACTGCTGTCATCTTCAGATATGGAAATTCCAAAGTGCCTTGTCTTCATTTAATAGGCTTTTTACTTTGCCAGTCACACAGAGCACAGCTGGTCAAGGCAAGCACACTTTTGGACCAACTATGAACTAGAATTAACCAATGGCTAAGATCTCACCTACTGCCTGGTGAGCAACCTTTTCTGTTCAGTTAGTATCTGAATGAATCTGGAAGTATGAGGCCACACACACACACACACACACACCCTCTACAGCACACACCACTTGGCTAAGACTTATTATCCTAGTTTCACTCAGTGCTTTGTCAAAATATGAATCTCCTTCAATGCTCTCTAATCACAGGCAGAACAAACTTGAGGTCATCAACTTATAAATCAGTTATGTCCCAAAAATTCACTCGAAAAGTAACCATTTAGAACTCAGACTAAAGAGGAAGAGGATTACACTGGAGTGGGTGCCATAAAAGCTCGCTTAACCTGCAGGGTAGTAACAGGGCTTATGACTCAGGCAATAATAGCTACATTAAAGATTTAGAAGACCTTTATAGGCCTGGGCCCCCTCAGAAGCCAAGGCATAGACAGCTTGACCCACTGATTCTACCTTTGCATGGTGGGCAGCAGAGGCGTCTAGTGGTAATGTCCTGGGTTGGGGGTAAAGCTCATGGTTCTTGCTGCAGACCCACCACAGGCAAACCCACTGGGTAACCTTGAAAATCACCTTGCCTCTCGGGGTATCAAGGCCACCCTCTGTAAGACAGGAAGGCCCCCTCTGCCACTCACCTCCCTCTGGGAAGACAGAAGAAAGAAACACATGGAAATAGAAGAAAGTGAAAGCTCTACGGAAAAAGGGAAGAAATGGGGCTGGGCTGGGAAGAAAGGGGTGGAAAGCCAGACACCACTCTTCCAGTCCAGAGGTGACCTCGAAGTATCACTAGATGGAATCTTTCCATCGCATCCTCTCTCCCAGATTATTAATCAAGAGACAGTTCCTGTCCCCACCAATCAAAGCCCCAAGTGCCCCTCTGCCCAGCAGCCACCATGGCACATGGCCCCAGCACATACCCACAGTCCACCCAGCAGATGGTCCCTTGTCCTTTCACCGCCTGGGCCACTGTGGACAGTAACCTGAGATGATTTTCAGCTGCCACCTCTGTAAAAAAAAAACAAAAAATTAAACATCTGTGACCAAGGGCACTGGGTCATGTCTGCTATCTTCCCTCAGGGGTGAGGAAGGATGGAGACCAATCCTAGAGGGGGTGGAGAAGTCCTGAGCACCAGGTAAAACACCCATCCCTGCATTCAACAGTGCCAGGGCCTGTGCTGCAAGAATGGTCCTGGCTCTTCTCAGAAACCCCTGATCCCACCATACTCAGGGGCCTTCCTCTTGGACACAGAACCCCCAAGTCACCCTGCCTTAATCCACACCTCACACCTTACTATTCCAAGAATCTCTCAGCCAGATCCTCAAGGCCAGTAAAGTCTCCGACTCATGTCTTTCTGGGATACATTTTGACAATTCCATAAACAATGACAATCCTATAACTAAAGCAGGGAATGATGTTGCTGACTCCACATTCATCTGTCCTGATGCCCCACCTAGGAGCTGACGAGAGCTAGGATCAGATCCTTCCTTTACTTGTGCAGCACACGCTCATCTAGGAGCTCAGTACAACCTGATGATAAAATGAGGTCTATAAGTGACACTAGGCTCTGATGGGCCAATGCCAAAGACACCTAAGCCACATTTAACAGCCCACTTCCCCAGAAGCCACGGGGCAAGAGCTGGTCCTGGTAGCACCTCCAGGGGTCAATTGCAGGAATGTGGACCATGCCTTGGGACAGGATGGAGTGATCACAAGAAAGGAAGACTTTCTCATTGGTGCAGATGTCAATCCTGATGGGTCAGGGCAAGGCACCCGGATACTACTGTGGGAGGGCAGGGTCTTAGGGACAGAGCCTCTGTGGCCAGGATTTCAGCACTGCCAGCCTGCAATGATCCACTGCAAAGTGGCTGTGGCCAGTGTTTGATTCCTGTGGCCAGCAGGCTCCTGAGTCACGTTCTCCTAGGCGACACCTGTGAGCTCACTTGAAAGGCCTGCCAGACAAAGACTTGTGGGGAGAGCGATCTGCTGCTTTCTCCCGCCAAAAACCATATGATACATCCCCAAGCCAAGCAGAAATGATGTCTGAATTATGTGCCTCCGCAGATCGCCTTTTCTAGTGTGGATAATGGTAGCTGTTTGTGAATACAGAGCATGCTGAGCCTTTCACAGAAGCAAACAAAAGTATCGCTCAAGAGACATGCATGGAGTCACTCGGAGAAGGCACTCCCAGGAAACCACAGCCAGGGTGACAGGAGGAGGGCGAGCCACTGATGTGGGGAAAGCCATTGTTCTACTGCTGGGACTGGGTTCTGGGAAGCAGGGGAGGGGGAGAAATAAACTACAGCAAGATAAAGTACCCCCTGCCCTAACCTGCATTTTAGCCATGGAAAGGGAGGCACTGCTTGGAAGGATGGGAGGGAGCAAAGAAAATCCAGTTTCTGCACTGTTCAAAAGCCCCACTGAAGGTCACATGTCTCTCGTGCAGCAGGCCTAGGCAAGGAGGCAGGAAGTTAAAATAATTGCCCAGGCCCCATCAGGCAATGAAAGCAGGAGGTAGGCTGACAAGTGGGAAGCACCAGGGGCTCTACTCTCAATGGCTCAAGACAGGGTCGGGTGAGGGAAAGAGAGCTTAGGTGCTACCTCCTGCCCTGCAAGCGCCTGACAACAGGGCCCCACCTTTCCACTCTCTAACTTCCCATAATGATTTTCCGGCCTCAGCCCCAACCTGATCTCAAAGCCCTTCTGTCATTGCAGAATCAATACTCTCTTCCCATCCTCCATCAGAGAAAATGAGAGACAGCGGGGCATAGGGGACCAGCTCCCACCTGCTGCTGGAAGATCTCAAACAAGTCCGCTACTCCCAGCTTCCATTTCCTCATTTGTATACTGGATGTCCTCTGACAACCTGCACTGCCTCCCTCACAGCAAAGGAGCCAATGAGACTGTATTATGATGAGCTTATATGATGGGATCTACCCTAGGGAAGGAATGGAGCGTGTCTATCACTGACAGTCCTCCTAGTTCCAACTCCGGGAGTATCCAAGGCAGCAAGCCACACGTTTTCAGGGCCCTATGCCCCAGGCCTCAAGAGGACACTGCTTCCCCTTTCCCTTGATTTCGCCCCTATTCCTGACAGCAGAGGAATGCTAGTCACATGCTGGGCTCCCAACAATGCACTCGGGGCATGTGTGCCAGAAGGGGAAGCAGCAGCCGCAAGTGGCAATGAACACATCCCACGTGCCAGGGATGCCTGGAGGATGCAGGCACGTCTGGAGCCTCTATCATCCCCCAGGTGCCAGTGAGTGCTGAGGCCGAGCTGCCGGGGAAAACTTTGCCCGGAACTGGCCAGCCACTGGCTGCTGCTTCTCCAGGGCCACAGAAAACTTGGCATCCTTAGAAGCAGCAAAAAACACTTAACTCTGCTGGAACAACTTCAACAGAGTCAGCGTTCACCCTCCCCCAAAGTCACTGCCAAGAGCCAAGCAAACCTCTCTCCATCTGCTATGTCCTTGCCAGCCTCAAGGTCAGAAGAGAGGCAGGCCGCTGCTCCTGCCCCCAAGAAATGCTGTGACCCAAGCTTAGAGCCCACTCCAAATTCAGTCTTGCATCTGACCCCAGAGCAGGACAGATGGACTGGGCAGGGCCAGGGCTGCCAGCTGGGGTGAGTACTTCCAAGCCTGGGACCCATTCAGCTGGCAACAGGCCGGCCTGGCCAGTTAATCAACAGCTCTGGTGAAGCATGCCCTGGCAGGGCTCGGCCCCATGCCTGTGCAGGAAGCCAGGACATCCATGCCCAGTGTCCGCCACTGTGATCCTCTGTCCTACTTCACACACGCCCTCTCCCTCTTGAGGAGTGAGGGGCTCCAGAGGACTTTCCCAACAAACAGTCATAAAAAAGAAATGGAACCACCCCCTCGGATCAGAAAGTGGCAGAGCCAATGCCTCTGTGTGCCTCTGCCTCTGTCTTCTGAGGAAAGGTGACAAACCCCATGTCCCTTGGACCCTCCCTAAGTGGTTTTCATCCTAACGTCTCCTGCCTCCCACTCCTTCCCCTGAATCCCATCCTACCCCGATGGTTGACCTCAAGGCCAGGAAGGGACACTCACCAGATTTGGAGTAAAGCACCAGTACATTATTCCGGGTTCTGAGCAGTTTTTTCAAGTCCTTGGGGTCAGAGATTCTCTCAATGAGCGAGGAGACCTTTGCAGAGGACAGCCATGATGGCAGGACCACCTGGGGATCAAGGAGCCAACGACTGTGAGTTCCAGCTTCTGGCTGGGCCCCAGAAGAATCGGTGCCCATGGATGTGCTGCCTAGAGCTGCTTTACTTCCAGAGGATGAGGGCAAACCAACACATCTCATGCACCACACCTACTTCTTCACCTCTAGGGACACTCCCCAGCCCACTCCCAGTCTCCCTTCCCCTCCAGGCACTTTTATAAGGCTGTATGGACTGCAGATATATACAGTCAGCCCTCTATCTCGCAGGTTCCGCATCCACAGATTTGACCAACCATGGATGGAAAACATTTGAAAAACATAAAAAATAACGGGATAACAGTAAAAAATAATAGCAATAAAACCAATACAGTATAACAACTACTTACTTAGCATTTATATTGTATTTGGTATCATAAAAAATCTAGAGATGATTTAAAGTATACAGGAAGTCATGCATAGGTTAGATGCAAATACCATGCCATTTTATATAAAGGACTTGAGCATCCATGGGTTTTGGTATCCTGTGGAGGCGGGATGCTGGAACCAATCCCTCAAGGATACCAAGGGAGGTTTGTATAAACATTCTGCATTGTTACACATCAGTCGAGAGCCCCCTGGGAGGTCAATGTCTGTCCATATTCCTCATGTTACCACAATGCCATATGCTGGGGCAAAGTAAAAACTCCATCCCATCTAGAAGCACCAAAGCATAAAATACACAGAGAAATAAGATCATCCCTTAATGCTTAGGATGGGAATGGATGGGTGAGAGGTTTTTAGCTTTTCTTACTCAGCCAAGTGATCTCAGGAGGTCAGTCAACAAGAAATGAGCCAATTCTCCCCCAGAGAACCCTGGAAAACTTCGGGAACTGGAGGTATCAGGCACCTCTGCAGGCACAATGAAGGGTGGGCTAAAAGCAATGGGTGGGGGTTTATTAAAAGTGTGAATAAGGAGTAGACACAAAGCAGATCCCCTTGCCCAGATTGCACAGCTGGGCAACAGCCCCTTGCCCACCTGTCAGAAAGCAAGAGGGTTACTATATGGAGAGATTGAGTAAGAAAAGTTCCACTGGGAGATAACCCGGCAGAGGGTGGGAGGATGGCCCTCAGAAAAGACAGGGGGATTCAAAGAAAGTCTACAAACTGAACCTTGAGATCACTCATTCCTCCAAGCTCCCAGCCCCCAGCATCTCCCTTCCCTTCTCTGGAATGCCACCTGCCAGTCTTATTCCCCAGGCAACAGATTAGAGAATTTCCCTCTGGGGAAACTGAGGAGCATAAGAAAAACAACCTAAAGACAGTGATTTGGAGATCCTCAATTGAAACAGCTGGGTTCCTGCTCAAATCTCCACTGTGAGGCTCTCCCAGTAAACAAGCACTCTCCACTCCCTCCACACACTCACAGAGCTGCCAGTCAATGTGCTAGTGCCTTGCTCTTCAAAACAGACAGATAATCAAGGTTCACCGGTTACAAAAGACAGAGACCAGAACAAACCAATGGAAAGATGAAATGTAGAAGAAAAAGAAAATTAAAAGAACAGAAGAAAACAAGAAAATTATTATTCTCAGAGAAATAAAATGGTGCATCCATAAAATAAGAATAGAATGTTATGAAGAAAAATAAATACTCAGAGAATCGTGAAAATCTCTTGGAAAGTAAAACTATCACAGAAATAATTAGGGTTGGAAGTAGAATTGAAAAAAAAAAATCTCCTAGAAAATACAACAAAAAGATCAAGAAATAAAAAAGGACTTAAGAAAAATAAGAGAATGGACCCATTAAGCACAAGAACCAAATTAAAGAGACTCCAGAAAAAGAAAAAGAAAAAAAAAAGAGGAAAATCAATTATCAAAAAATTAATTTGAAGCCTGGCACAACGTCTCATGCCTGCAGTTCCAACTACTTAGCAGGCTGAGGCAGGAGAATCACTTGAGCCCAGGAGTTCATGGCCAGCCTGGGCAACAGTGAGACTCAATCTCTAAAAAAGCAAATAAATTAAAATAATAGTTGAAGAAAATGTTCCAAAACTGAAGGATATGAGTCTTCAGTTGGCAGGGCCCAGCATCATGAATAAAAAGACTCTTACCAAAATACATCACTGAAAACTTTCAGAACACTGCTGACAAAGGGGAGACCCTAACCATTTCAAAGAAAAAATAAATACAACATACAAAAGATCAGGAGTCAGAATTGGCATAAGACTTCATCAGCACACAAAAGACAATCAAGCATTGGCTTCACAATTCTCAAGGAAAATGATTTCTAACTGGAATTCTGTAACCAGCCAAACTACCAATCATGAAAATAGACTTGAACAGATGAAAATATCAGATGTATAACATTTACCACCAGCGCACCCTTTCTCAGAAAGATACTGGGACCCGTCTTCCACTACAACAAAAAATAAATGAAAAATTAGACATGGAAACTAGGAAACAAAGAATTCAATGAAAGAGAGAGGCAAAAGGATTACCACATTGATGGTGAAGAGAAATCCCAGGATGACAACTGTTCAACAGCCTGCAGAGCAACCAGACCAGAACAGAGCAACGACGGAGCTCATGGAGGAACATGGTCAATAAAAAGGGGCAACCATAGCTTATTTGATATGCTTGGTCATACTGAGAGGAGTGTTAATTTCTGCCAGAAAAAATTTTTTTAAAAATAATCTGACCAAAATTACATAGCTAGTAAGTAGAGCCAGGATCTGAATCCCAGTCTTTCTAATATGAGTCACGCCTTCTCAGCCTCCTGCCTTTTTGCAGTCAGAAGTCTTGGATTGAGTCTGAGCCTCATCACTCAATAGCTAAGATGCCTAGCCAATGTCACTCAACCTTTTACAGGCTTAGTGACTCCTGTCTGACATACAGATAATGATACTTCCCTCGTGGGATTGATATGAGGATGAAATGGGATAATTTATTGAACGTGTTTTATAAATCAGAAAGCACTCTGAGAGTATCAGTTACCATAATATATAACACAAACTTCCATCTCAGCAGAGAAGAAGACTGAAACATTACCATATTCTAGTGTTTCTAAATATAATCTGCCATTGGAATTCAAAGTTTCCCTCTTCCCAGAGTAAACCCATCCAGGAGGAAGCCAAGGAATGATTTCTCCCTCATCACACCCTGCAGAGCAGGGTAAAATGTCTGAGGACCCGCTGCCCTTATGCAAGCCACCTTAAGAGCTCACCAAAAAGTCTGCTAAACTTTATTATTATTACATGTTATCCTACTACTCCCAGGGAGCTAACGGACTTCAGACTGAAAACTCCACAGCTCAATGCACATGATTAAAGGGAAAAAAAATAATCTGTTGGAAAAACACATTGCCTCACTGCTGTTTTTAATCCTCAGATAATCTGACCAGCGGAGAGCAACAACTGCTCTTGCCCAGGGCCTCAGGACTCTGACCTGTAGTCCAGCCCCTCCTGAGGCTGGTAGGCACCCACGCTTCTGGAACTGGGGAGAAGGAAAGGGGAAGGCAGGAGGGAGGGTGAGCCCAGAGCTCATCTGCCCAGGCAGCGGTGTGTGCAGCTGAGCCGCAGCGACAACAAAGTGTGTACAAGAGAAACCACTAGAGGCTGAGGCTCACAGCACACCCTCAGCTTCCTTCCCATAAAACCCAGTCCATCCCGCAGGTCATCTAACCCAGGGCCAATGAGATTAAACAAACCACCTTCCAGCCAGTCAGCCAAGCCCCTCACCCAGCATTTGGAGTCACACAGTAGAGAAGTTAAGCCCAACCAGAAACGCGCTGAGCAAATTTACTTTGCTTGAAAACCATCACTGGGCATGACACTGGGGCTCAGACTGGGCATCACCCATAGCCAATCCGGTTTTGAAGCCTAATGAAGGATCCATCTCCTCCCTACCCTCACCCCCATCCCCAAGATTAAGAGCTCTGGAGGAGGGCAGGGCCCCCACACAAGGCCTGGCGCATTGAAAGCCCTCAGGAAATGTTTGACCAGTATTATAAACATGACAAATTACACTGTTACCACACTCCTGGCCTTAGCAGAGGTCACCCACTATCAGTATGTGATGGGGTGAGTCCACAGCAGCCCTTGGGAGGCCCAGAAGGGTCGATGGAAGCCACACAGACCACAGCTCAGGGGGTGTCTGGGCTAGAGCATGGCAGAAGGCAGTGGGGGCAGGCTGGGCTCTTCAAAGCCTGCCCAAGGACCTGGCCTGGTGCAGGAAGAGAGTGGGAAGCATCATTGCCCAGTTAGCAGGGGAGTGAAAGGATGAACACAGTATATTGTAGAGACTCATCTGGCCGTGACCTCAGACTGGGCAGCAGCCAGGGAGGCCGGAGGTGGAGGGCCCTGCTGGGTGGCTGCCCGCGTGGAGAGACACAGATCAATGCAAAAGCCTCAGAGGGAAAAACAACAAAACCCAATGACTATTCATAGGTAAGTGAGGAAGAAAGAGTAAAAAAGTCTAAAATGACTCTTAGAATTCCGGGCTGGGAGACTGCAACAACAGCCAAAGGTGGAAGAACGGAGAAGCAGCAGCAGAGGAGGCTTTTCTCTTACATTAAGGAAGATGATAATAGGCTCAGGTTTTGGACAGGTAGACAGTGAGGCATCAAATACAGGCCTCCTCCAGGTTGCAAGGTGAGCCACCAAGTAAATGAAGTCCCCACGGACCGGGCTCAGAGGGAGGAGACAGGAAACACCCTCAGTGAGGGAGGAGGCAGGACCAAGAGGGAGGTGGGGAGGGCTGCGTCCACAGAGACCAGGGAGGGGACACTTCTAAAGAAAAGAGAGTGATCCACAGGCAGTCAGAGTGGGGAGGCTGGGACAGGGCCAAAGGCTGTGAAGTCCCTGGGAACACTGGAGAGAATGTCAGCAGTACACGTGGCGGGAGCTGGAAGCCAGGCTGCAGAGGAGAGAAAGTCTACCCAGCACAGGAGCTGCGGTGATAATGGGAAGGTGCAAGGAAGTGCCACAGGGTCAGAAGAAGGATAAGTTGTATCCCATGAAGATGGGGGCGTGCGGGCGTTAGTGGGCACAGGAGAAGCAGGATTTGCCTAGAGTGGCAGGATCTGAGAATGAGAGAGGAAAAATAATCAGGATAGGTCGATCAGGGAGAATCCAGGGAGATGGGGTCCAAAGAGCTAAGACACTAACTGGGCTTCTGAGAAGGGGAAGGATGAAAGGCCCCTCTGTGTCTGGCCTCAGACAGACCCTCACCCTAGCAAACAACCACAGATGCAGACAAGTGGGAGCCCTTTCCTCCCCTCCCCATAAGCCCAAGGGGACTTTCCTCCTGCCACTTAACATTCTCCTTTCTCCTCCACTTCAGTCTATTTTAACCTTTCCAATGTGCACGCTCCTTCCTTTCCTTAAGATGCAGTCCCAGCAAGCCTCGGAGCACCTTGCCAAGAGCCTTACTGCAGACTTCATAAGTCACAACCCACAAACCTTGATAACAACAATAACTACAGCAACAATAACAACGTTAATGATGCAAAAACTATCTGTTCCTTTGTCAAGCCCTTGGGGGAGAGGGCAGGATTTGAGAAGTGCTTCCAAAGGCAGCCAGGGTTCCATGCCAGCCACGGCATTGTTCCTGGGCTTGGCAGGCTCTTTACATTCGAAGTCAATCGCTCTAGAGGTAGAGGAGAGAAAAAAGATCCCCTTTGTTCACCATGCAAACTCCTTCTGACCTTCTCCAATAATTGCTTTCTTTCTGCTCACAACCCTCAGCTTTAACAGTATTTACATCAGGGCTGAGCTGCCCCCGCTGGCTGGGCTGAGACCCATAAAGCATCTCCCTGGTGCAGGGCAGAAAACTGCCGGGAAAAATGGCTTTCCCCTTTTCTGCTGCTGGGAAATAGAGGCCCCCAATGCCAGGTCCTGCCTATTATCAGCCAACCAGCACATCGCTGTCAGAGCACCAATGCCTCTAACCTCCAAACCCCCTCACAGAGCTTCACTGCACCCCCCCTCCCCCACCCCGAGCACCAGTTCCCTTCCACCACCCAACCCCTCCCCTGAGTACAGGCTCTCTTCAGAGCCCAACAGCACCAGAGTGCCAGGCACGGAGGTCCTCACTGCCCACCTCTGCCATGGCTGGAGGCAATGGGGTGGAGACTGAGTCCTTCCTCATCTTCCAGACCCCCTGCCGTGCTCTTGTAACAGGTGTCTGCTCATTCAGGGCCGGCCAGACAAACCACCATCCCACTTAGAAACCCACTCTCTTCTCCCTCTGCAGTCTTCCAGACACCACAGAAAGAGCACTGGCTCAGGAGTCAGACAGACCTGGGGGAAATCCAGGTGCCACCATTTATAGCAGGATGACCTCAGGCCTGTTACTAGACCTCTGAGTGTCAACTCCCCACCTACAAGGTGGAGAGGAGAATACCAATGCCCACCTTGCAGAGTGGCTCAGGACTACATGAGGGGAGAGATGACAAAGAATCTAACATAATGTTTGGCATGCAGAAGCACAGAATAATTGCACTTCTCTTTATTAGCGAGACAACTTATAAGGGGAGCAAGGACAGCAGTAACACGGGGACCACCTCTTCCTCTCCAGGGGCCCTGCCTGCAATCAGGCAGGGCAGCAGGTCCAGGCAGGAAGGAGCGAACACGTACACACATTCAGCCACCAGAAAACCTCAAATCATCACCAGCTGCACAGCGACCCAGACCAAGAGGTCACACGGCACATTTAGAGCACACTTCCCAGGTTTCATACCCACTAACTCGTTTACCCCTCACAATACCCCAGTGGGTAGGTACTCGCCTCATCCTACAGATGAAGAAACTGAGGCTCAGACAGGTTACATTAATTACCAAGGTCACACAGTAGGTAAGTAACAGAGCCAGGACTAGAACTTGGGCCTCCCGACTCCAGGCCACAGGAGGCCTGCTTCTCTCAACCCCACAAGCTCCCTGGACTGCTGCAACAGATGGCACAACACAAGCAGAAAAGGAACATCTCCTTCCAAGGCAGGGCCTACCGAAGCAACCAGGAAATGCCCCTATCTCCCAGAATCCCAGGGCAAGGAGGGTCCCAGCAGGGGTTTAGACTAACCCTCTGCTTTCTGCAAGTCCAGCAGATCCTGGAGTCTCCCAAGGTTCCTGGGGCCAAGAGCATGAAGATCCTAAATGTGGCAATTAGCCCAGGTCTGTTTCCAGCCAGAGGCTGTGTGCAGGAAGTGTGTGGTCCTCCCAATCTGCTAACATAGCACACACAAACTCCTCTCTTCACTCAGCTCACTTAATGAGGCTGATCGCCACCCAGCATCTCCATCAGACTAAAGAGATAAGAGTCCCAGCACGCTGGGAGATAATCAGGGAGAACAGTCCTTGCCACATTACACCTCAGCTTTAAAAAGCTCCTCATCTCTGGGGCGCGTGCCAGCACCCTCGCATTCTCTGTAACTAGCAAAGCCGTCTGTCATTATAGATTTACTATTCAATGCAGACCATGAAGCCAGAGATATTCAATTATGTAAAAGCAGCTTGCTAACGGAGGAAGACTTGGGAACAGAAGTTTAACATTGAGGAAAAAGGGTGAAGGTGGGACTCAACCTCTTTTGCTCTGCCACCTGAAAAAAAGATACCCTTATGTTAAGAACTGTGAAGAAACAGGTTTAATTTAGTTTAACCCACATTTTGCTCAAAATAGTTTTTAAATGTCAGAATCTAAGTCTAGACTCATAAGAAGCTGGTACGAAAGGGACTCAGGGAAAAGAGGAAGACCTGAGAAAACAGATGTGGCCCTGAATCCAAGGTCAGAGAACTTGAGCGGGCTGAGAATTTAGAGCTGGTGGTTTGGCGGAAAGAACACCGTACTTGGAGTCAGAAGCTCAAGTTTTGTGCTGACTTTGATTATTACTAGTTGTCATCTCTCCTTCTCCAAGTCTGTTTCCTACTCTGGAAAACTGAGGAACTGAAAGTGATTTCCAAAGTTCTTTACAATCATATCATTTGGTAAACCCATTCTCACGACCACCACCAGAGAAGTACTGTGAGGTAATCACACCTTGTGAAGAAACCATTGAGTTTCCCTGGGCATGTGGCCACCCGCAATAAAAGCCTTATCTCTCAGTCTCCCTTGCAGCAAGGGGGCCATGTTCCAGCCCTTGGAATGTAAGCTTAAGTGTGATGTGGCAACTTTTAGAAACTGTCCCTAACAGACATCTGATAAGAGTCTTCTTAGTCCCTGCCTCATTCCTGCCAGCTGGAATTTGGACAAGATGGCTGGAACTCAAGTAGCCACCTTGAGACAATGGGGAGGAAGGGCCTGCTAAAGAGGAGCTAATAAGATAGACGTTACCTGGGTCCCTGACACCACAGAGGGATACTCTGGCCCTGGAATATCCCTGTGCAGGCTTCTGCATGGGTGAAATAAATGATCTTTTTAAGGAGCTCTCATTCTGGGTGTTCTGGCACACACAAATAGATCTTGAGTGCCCACTGAACAAAAGCTTTAACTAGAAAGAAATACAAACATCTGTTCCAACTGGGATATTTCAAAGTGCCTCAAGCACCAAATCATGCATTAACTTTAGATATGTTATTTATAAGGAAGGAGACAGAGAGACTGTCAAGGGATTGATTTACCCAGTGTTCTTCCCAGTAGCCCAAATTTTCAGTGTGCCTGTTCTTATCAGGTACTTTGGTCACCTGGTGCCAGCTATTCACAAATGAAAGAAGAATTAGCCCGGGAACTCTCCAATTTCCTTACCTCAGCCCTTTTCTGGTAAGAGGACCACTGCTGGAGACAGAAAAGCTAGGACATCTCTTTCAATTCAGAGTTGAGTTGGGCTGATGAGTTTCCCAAAAATATAGAAATCCCCTCAAAATTCCTCACATACCGTCTCCAGCCTCCAGGTAGCCCTCCAGAGCCAAGGACTCAAAATCTCCTGAGACCACTCAACTCAGCTGGACCCAGAAGGCTGTGGGAACTCAATATGCTAATATGTAGAAGTCCCATGTCCTACACCATACCCATATCATCTTGGAGGGCTCCTCATTAGAAATGTTAAATCCCCCCCACACACACACCCATCTGTCAGCCTATCACACTCCAAAGACAGCAAACACGTCTCTTTTAGGATTCTCTAGGTGAAATATCCTAATTCCTCACGTGTGACCTCAAATCCCCACTGTCTAGACACTGCCACCTCAGTGATTCCCAGAGTTCTTCCCAATGCTCTGTTTCAGACTGTTGCAGCTTGAAAAGAGTAATGTGCTATTTTATACCATAATTTATTTTTAGAAATAAATACCTAGGCTCTCATAAGTCAAAATATAGGAAATTAATCTCAACACAAATCTTCATTGGTGGGTCACAGTTTAAAAAAAAAAGGTTGAGAAACACCATTAGTGAATCTCTTAAAATATGGAGCCCAACTGTCATATACTGCTGGCAGAAACCTCAACTAGTACAACTCTTTTGGAAAGGTAGCTGGCACAATTTATCATGTATCTCTAAAGTATTTATGCTCTTTGACTTGGTAATTCCACTTCTGGGAATGTGTCCTGAGGAAATTAGCAGAGGTCTGACACACGTATGACTCACAACCATTCTAACCATAAGAGTTAAAACCTATAAACAACCTAAATGTCCAACAACAACAGAATGGTTACACAGAGTAAACCACTCAATAGAAGAATAAGCCATTTAGATGGTATTTTATTTAAATGGTGTTTTTAAAGACTTCGCAATGCAAAAATATTTGCTTTAATGTCTTTAAAAATAGAATTCACTTTGGGAGGCCGAGGTGGGCGGATCACGAGGTCAGGAGATCGAGACCATCCTGGCCAACACAGTGAAACCCCGTCTCTACTAAAAATACAAAAAATTAGCCGGGCGTGGTGGCGGGCGCCTGTAGTCCCAGCTACTCAGGAAGCTGAGGCAGGAGAATGGCGTGAACCCAGGAGGCGGAGCTTGCAGTGAGCCGAGATCGCACCATTGCACTCCAGCCTCAGCGACAGAGTGAGACTCCATCTCAAAAAAAAAAAAAAAAAAAAAAAGAATTCAAAATATACGTGGTATAACCACAACTATAAGTAAACAAAAGTATGCTCAGAAAAACACTGAGGATTTGCCCTCGGTAATATTTATTCTTCCCTTTTCTCTATTTTTCAACTTGCCATAATAAGCATGTCCAATCTAAATGTTTAAAGAAAAAAATTACCACCACTTGGCTACCATTATGAAAATAATTAACTGCCTCAAAGTATCTCCCCACCAGAAAATGTATCTTTACAGTGGGAAAACATGGCAGAAACCCCCTTAACTAAGGGACCAACAGTAACACCACCAGTAATGGGTCAAATTGACGTCAGGTGCCCCCTGATATAATGCACTAAATGAAAACATCATCAAAAACCAAATTGAGGAAAATTCTTTAAAAATGTCAAGGTCACAAAAGACAGAGACTGAGGAACTATTCCAGATTAAAGGAGACTAAAGAAGGACAATTAAATGCAGTGTGTGATTCTGGTTTGGGTCCTGAATCAAATACTACCTTCCTAGTTTTGATCGTTGTACTGTGGTTACATAAGAGAATGTCTTTGTGTTTTAGGAAATACTGAAGTATTTAAGGGGCAAAGGAACATCATATATAAACTTCATATATGTAGAGGAAGAGTATGATAAAAACAAATGTGATAAAATATTAATATTTGTGGAATTGAGATAAAGGGCATATAACAATCCTTTGGATTCTTTTTGCAACTCCTCTATAAATCTGATATTATTTCTAAATAAAAGTTACAAAGAAAAAAACCTGCCTAAAAAAAAGGAAAGAAAGAGGCTTCCAGAACACAACCAGATACCGCCCCCAGCTCTTGCATGGGCCTTCTGATTCCTCCCGGCCCAGCGCTTGCTCTGTGCCCTTTCCCACGTACGTGCAGTGCTTATGTGTCCTTCTGTACTGCTAGCTGAACTGTCTCGCCTCCGTTCATGTGACATTGCGTGGTTTGGTTTTTTTCATAACTATTATATGGAATCTGCAAAGTACTTGGCACGCAACACATACCTAGCAAATACTTGTAGAATGGTTTTGATGAGAGATCTAAGAAAGAACATTAATTTTAGGCCGGGCACGGTGGCTCATGCCTGTAATCCCAGCACTTTGGGAGGCTGAGGCGAGCGGATCACGCAGTCAGGAGTTTGAGACCAGCCTGGCCAATATGGTGAAACCCCGTATCTACTAAAAATACAAAAATTAGCTGGGCATGGTGGCACGTGCCTGTAGTCCCAGCTACTCGGGAGGCTGAGACAGAAGAATCACTTGAACCTGGGAGGCAGAGGTCGTAGTGAGCTGAGATCGCACCACTGCACTCCAGCCTGGGCAACAGAGTGAGACTCTGTCTCAAAAAAAAAAAAAAAGAACATTAATTTTAAAATATGCATACTGTATGCCCCTTAAAAGGGTAAATTCTAAACATCTGCCATGAGCCACCATAGCTAAACACCACTCTTCATAAGGAGTGAAGGCCTAACCTTAAATCAAGCTTGGGGATCTCACTACCGATGTTTCCCAATGTTCAAATGTCTACCCAGCAGCCTCTGAAATAAAACCAAGCAACATGAGTCCCTGAATGGTGGTGATATTGTTGTGTGTGTGTGTGTGTGTGTGTGTGTGTGTGTGTATGTGTGTGAGGTGGGAGAAGAGGCTGGCCCTGGGATGTGAGACCCTCGGCTAGTGGCAGCCAAGGGGGCTAACTGTGCTTATTAACAAAGAGAAATGCAAAAGCACCTGGCAAGGAACAGAACCCAAGAGAGGATCCTTTAATTCCAAATCCAGGGCTTAGGGATTAGCCCATGATAACAATAACAGCCAAAAGTAGAGTGCTTATTGTATGACCAGCAGTGAGCTAAGCAGTTCACATGTTATCTAACTGAATTACCTTGACAAGTGTATAAAGTAAGCACTTTTATTATTCCCATTTTATAGATAAAGAAACTGAGACTAAGGGGAGTTAAGAAATTTGCTGAAGGTCACACAGCAAGTAAGAGAGCTGTGATTCAGACCCAAGTCTGACAGACTCCAGCACCAGAGTTGGGGCATAAGGAAGACAGATTCCCAGAACCACACACATCTTACTGCCTGCTGCTGTAAATACAAGTCCAGCTGCATTTCTTATATTTTGCTTCCTTTAAAAAGCCACACCTTACATTTGGGGCTACGCAGCACAGTGTCTCCCCTTTTTATTCCCCATGGCACAAATGTTGCTGTCAACAATGGACAATTCAGGGGCAGGGCAACTTATCTGAGAGCTTATGAAAACAGGTTTTCTTATCCTGAAATTGCAACTGCAGTGCATTTAGCCAGGACTTAAGTCCCTAAAGCTTTTAATGTTTTGGAAAACCTCTTCTTGAGCCAAGAGGGGTCTGGATCACCGCCAGCTTGGTGTGCCAGGCCTGTTAACGAGGAAGAACTGGTAGAGGGAACATTGAATTAGGCAGCAGGGAGGGAGGAAGAGCAGGTGAATTCCCACTCCGGAAATCAACTCTGCCTCCAAGCTCCGTTAACTGATAAGAAAATAACAACTCAGTGTTCATGACCCACGGTGTACATCCATGCTTTTACACACATGATCTCATTTCATCCTCTGAAGCTGAGAGTCTAAGCCACTGTTTCCACCCTTCAGGTCTCAACCCAGGAGTCTAGTCATAAAATCAGTGAGTTACAGTAGCATTTTTAAAAAATTACATTGACTAGAAAACATCAGTGAGTAGCACAGGTAGCAACACTATGCATTCAGTGAGCCCAGTGTGTACTGGGTTACACTGTAAAATGTATAACTGTTCTTGCAGGAGTTGAAAAATTGTCATAAACAATGAGTGTTTATAGGCAGAGGTGGTACTATCCCCACTTTAGAGATGTGAAAACTGAGGCTCAGAGAAGGGATTTGCCTCGGATTAAGCCTAAAACAGTAGAGCCAGGTCCCCGCCAGGACAGATCTGATGCTTTTCTCTTGGGCTGTCAATGTGAATAGTTCCCACAGACATCCCTGGAGCATCATCCACTCCCCGTTGCTCCACCCAGAATAATACCCGAGAGGCTGGCAAGTCTGCTGTCCCTTCCAATCCAGCTATTGAGCGTGACCTGCTGAAAAGAGCTACAATGACAACCTGATCCATCTTCCCTCTGCTACCAGCATGTCCACAAACCCCCAAATCCCTTCAGAGAAAAGCACATGCTCAGGCCAAGTGACACCAAGCAGACAATGGTGACACAGCTCCAATGTGAGCAGAACTTGTGCTACACACTCAATTGAGAGCACCCACCTCGGCTGGCAAAATACCACCAGCCATATAAGATTAACTTGGAAATGTGTCTAGTTTTGTAGCTTTACCGCAGAGCTCGGTATTCTGGGAATACAGATTCCTGGGCTTTATTCTTGAAGAAAAACATCTCCAGGGGCTGGGAGCCCAGGAATCCATTTTACACATATCTCCTTAAGGTGAAGAAACTCCATCACTGACCCATCTTTTAAAAACTCTCTCTCTGGACCCCATATCACTCCCCTCTCCACTCACAGCCAGAATTTTCCATCTCCCCTGCTCCTCCCATTCTCCTCCCTCCTTCCATTGCTCATCCCTCTGAAATCTGCCCTCCCCACAACCACCACAAAAAAGGCTCTTGGTGAAGGCTCAACAATGACCTCCTATAGATAAACCCTACAGGCACTTCCAGTTCTCATCTTGTTTGGCCTCTTGAACTGGATGCGACACTTGGTTTCCCTCCTACCTCTCTAGCAATCATTCCTTTCTTCTTTGTAAACCCTCCTCTCCCCATTCTTTCAATGTTGAAGTTCCACAGCTCACTCAGTCTACCCTCTCTTCCTACCCTATATGGTCCCCCAGCCAACTTCACCCACTCTCCTGAACAGCACCCCTAAATTAACATCTCCAGATCAGACCTCTCTTCTAAGCAACACATCTTTACGTCCTGCTCACTCAGCAGTTGAACTGGAGTCAAGTACAGTTCTAAAATGTTAAAAGCCTAATTCTCATACAAATAGGTATTGAGCATATTTCAAAGTTTTACTTAACTCGCTAATAAGAGACCCTAAAAAAGAGGATATAATCCTGATATAAGATTGCTACATTAGATACCAACAGGTTAATGTCCTTCAGGGCAATAATCTTTGTGCTTCTCTTCTTTACCAAACAGAAATAATTTGCATCCTACTTAACTTTACAAAGTATGGCCCATAAAAAATAATAAACAGAGTTACATCCCCTAGAACACAGCTGGTCCTTAGGTGGTTTCTTATACAATACTCCAGTATGATACTAAAATGTCACAAAATCATCTTTTATTTCCAAGTGTTATATAATTTTTTTCCACTGTAGTCTACGAATTTGGATGGAGAAAAATGACATCTTTATCTTCACTAACCTCTAACTGAAATTTAGCCTTTCCTGTATTATGAATGTATTTATAAATGTATAAATGCTTTCTACATTTATGAATGTAGATAACAAATTACAGTAGTAATTAGGGTAGCAGTGTCTGTGACTTTGCCACCAACAGAAATCATATTTTCTTATCACATTACAAGATATCCTGAAACACTATTTATGCTCATCACAACTTAAAATTATAGAAGTTATCAAGCTTGTACCTTTGATCTTTTTATATGATGCATTAATAAACATAAATATTATTTTATCACAACCTTGTTGTTATATTTTGATAACTGTATTTCAATAAAACTGCTTTCTTTGTAATTCTATGCATTTTACTTTATACATTTAAAAACATTATTCTAAGAAAGACCCAGAGGTTCTCAGAGAAGGCTTTCCTGACTCCTTGAATTAGGTTAGGGATCCCTGTTATACATTCTCTTACCACATTATATTAACACTTTCTCTTTCCAGCACTTACTACCTGAATTAAATAATTAATCAGTGGCTGTCCCACTAGGCCATGAGAGAAAGAGATGGTGTCTGTCTTATTTATGGTTATCCCCAATGCCTTAGCATGAGGCCTGGCTCATAAAAGATTCTCAAGGAAATATCCATTTGGGAAAAAAAAGAAGTATCTGTTGAATGAATGAACATCTGTGGCACATGTAGGATGCTGATGTTGGTCCACCTTCCTTTGAAATAGGGGCATGTACTAATACTCTGCCCAGGACCCAGTAAGACTAGACCCTGTGATGAGAACAAACCCACTCGTTCCTCAAGACCCTTCCCTACTTGGCCCAAACAACAGAGCTTTCCTACCAGGCCCACATCTGGGCTCAGATACTGGATCACCTTTATGTTTAAGCCCCAGTTTACAACCCTCAACCTTGATTTTCATCAACATCTTCCAACAAGGATTAAAGGACCTGCTCACGACTTCCAGAAATCTGCCTGCGCCAAGGGGTTGGAGGAACTGTAGGATTCTTTGCAGGGAATGGACACTCCACCCTTGCGCCCCCGCAACTCTAGTGAGCTGGAAACTCTGAAGCCAGACACAGGCCCACCATCACACCATCTAGGAATGGAATGTGCATCAGACTGGGGCCTCAGTATGACTTTGAGGAATAAAGGCTCTTTTAACCCCACACTCCATGAGTGTCTTCAACCCCCCAATGTAAGATCACAAAGCTAATTATTTAGAAGTGGTTGCAAACTGGTATGTGGAAAGAGGCCCTGCTGATGTAGGGTGGCAATAGGGGACAGTGAACTGGAGCTCCTTGGGGGAAGGATACAGTCAGCATGTACCTGGCTGGCCACCCCTGTCCAATGCCAAAGCCACCAGGGAGCAGCTGAAAAGCAAGTTTCAGGGACACTCCTGGAAAATGGCTGCCAACGCAGCTGCTTACACATTCAAGCCAGGCACTGAGAACTCTGACTGTGGTCCCCACCTATCTCTTTATGCCTTCATCTTCCAGGCCACAGACACCTCAACCTCGTCTAAGGACATGTTGCTTCCCACCTCCCTGTCCAGCCACCCATCCCTCTCCAGGGATGATGGTACTGGGCTAGCCTACTCACCTCACCAAGTTACATGGGGCTCAAAACCACACCGTCGTGAAATACGTGGAAATGCTTTGCAAACTCTCAAGCCCTCTACAAATGCATCCGATTTGACAATTCTGCCAACAGATCACACGGGGAGCCAGAGGCTCCAGGCAGTGCTGAAAGATGGCCAGGCAGAAGGAATGGGCCAGCCCACCAGGGCTGAGCACTCCTGCTCCTTCCCTCTCCCGTTGGGACCTAAGATGCCAGGTGTTAAAAACAACAACACCACATACACACACACACACACACACACACACACACAGAAGGAGAGGTAGGGGGCAAATAAACCATCCCAAGTCCAGGTTATGTGGAAGAACCTCCGCCTCTCCTTATACCCCATGCATTCATTTCTGGCCCATTGTCACTCAGCCTCAAAGGCTACCACAACCACCAAGCAAGACACAAGAGCCCAACAGAATAAAACCACAAAGCTGGGGCAAAACCCTCCTGGGATACAGTGTGTTTGGTGTCTTCATTCTCAAGAGGGGATCTACTTTCAGAAGAAAGGGGAGAGAAACCAAGCACACTTACATCCTGAGCCCTTCTGCACCACCCCCCCTACCTGGGATCTCTGCAGCAGCCTGGCAGAGAGGAGGCAAGGAGGCAGTCAAGAGCTCAGCTCCAAGTAACTCCCGTGGGGAGAATCCTAGCTGCACAGGGGTACCCGTACCTGGCATTCAAATCATGCAGCCTCTCTCTGGCCCTTCCTTGCCCACCTCCTCCTCTTAACTGCCTTCCCCATCATCTCTTACTCAACAACTGGCAATGACTGCTGAGACTCCCAGTGACTGGGCACTTTCACGTGCCAAGCGCTGTGTTGGGTGCTTCCTGTATTTTTTCTAATCCTTTCAACACTGCAAGATGGATATCATTACCACCACTAACAAACAAGAAAACTGAGGCAGGGCCCAAGGTCACGCAGCTCCTGAGTGTCTAGCTGGCTAAAAGCCCATGTTCTTTCCACTACATAACACTTGAATTTATCTTGTAGATAACAGAGAGGAAAGTAAGGATGAAAGTGTTGTTCTGGGAAAATTAGTCTCTCCCCCTCCCACCCAACCCTACATGCGGCCTGATTGATCTTGTTATTAAAAGGGCAGCTTTCATCAAGTCTCTCCATTACCTACAGAATCGAGTCCCCCACAGCTTTGCCAGGCATTTAAAGTTCTTTACGATCCACTTTTTCAGTCTTACTCCCCTCATCCCCAGACTCAAACCCTCCCTCCATCCAGCCTGGCCTATCATTCCTCATTTCCCATGTCTCTGGCTTGGAAGGTTTCCTTCTCTGCCTGTGACATTAGTTCCATCAGCCAAACACGGACCGGGGCTGACGACATGCCAGGCCCTGGGCTAGGTGCTGGGGACACTACAGCCAGGACAGGGGGCTCCCTGCTGTCACAGAGCTCCAAGTCTGCCCTCCTTGTGAGGCCAGTCCACACCTTGCTCTTTCCTGGGGCCTTCTCTGATCACTCGGTGTCCCACTGCTTGGCCTCGTCCTGGATCCCCAGCACACAGGGGCTGCCACTCTTATGGCACTCAGCCACACTTCCACCTTATATGCCGGGTCTGTTTTAAGACTTCCGCTGTAATGTGTTTATTTCTGTGGGAAATGTGCACTACAGGTTCCAAACAGCATTTTAAATGGCAATTCAGTCCTCAGGCCAACCCACAAAAGCCTATTAAATATATAATCGTCCCAGAGAAGTACAGAACCTAAATAAGTGTACCTTAAAAGCTCTACAGGAGATGCCAGGAACAAACATCTGCCTCCTGCACCTCCACCCACTGTCCTCCAGGGTCTGAGCTTCAAGCGACCATCAGGGGCAGAGGCAGAGAAGCAGGCGGGAGATGGATGAGTGGGAAGAACCCGATTTACATTCAGCAGATCTGGCTCTTCTCCCAGCTCTGCCTTCACTAACTGGGTGGCCTTGAGTGAGTCCCTTCCCTCCCTAAGCCTCGCTATTCTCCTATAAAAGGAGAAGGCTGAGTTAGATCAGTTCTGAATCTCACAGATCAGCAGAATATATATATTTTTAAATATAAAATGGATTTTATATTATTAAAAATAAATTTTATCAAGAAAGGGCTTTTAAAAAGAAATCACAATATACTACAACCAGCCTCATTTTTCAAAGGGATGCTGTAACCCCCTCCCCCTCAAAATATCGTCATGTCAGAAAAATTGACAACTTTTTAAACTGAAAACATTTGCATTCATGAAAAACAAACAAACAAAAAAATACACCATTTTTTTTTTCCAGTTTGACTGCAGACCAGAAAACTCTATCCCAGCCCAGCTTCAGTCCTTGGCCCAATGCTTGAGAACCACTGAGCTAGGAGACCTAGAGTTCACTCCAGCTCGACGTTTCTCCATCCTACAGGCTGGATGGAGCCAACAGGACAATCAGCATGGACGGCCCTAGAGAAGAGTCAGCTGCAGGGATGAGCTGAGCTGGACAGCAGGAAAGCAGGCAGTCAGCGCAGGGATGGGAGCAGGGCAGCATGGCTCGGCAGGGATCGCCCTGTGCCCTAGGGCTACCTCCTGCCCCTGTGTCCAGGAGCACTTGGCAGGGAGGGCACCGCCACCCATAGCCTCTGAGGGCACAGACACCCAGCCTGGAAGCTCTTGGAACTAACCTGTCCCACGTGTTTGACAGTGACACCTTCCTCCCCAGTATTCTTTTGGAAGGCTAAGGGTTCCCAAAGCAACATTTTAAAAAATCTTTATTAACTTTTCTGATTATAAACTAATACATATTCATGTGAAAAACTTGGAATCCACAGAAAAGCATAAGCAAAGAAGCAGAAGTCATCACAACTCCACCTTCCAGAACAATGACTGTTAACATTTTGATGCACTAATTCTTCATACATGTAACTTCAGCCACCCTCAGATTTGGTTTTACATCCTGCTTTTCCCTTACTTATCACACTTGGGCATTTTTCCACATCCTTAGATATTCTTCATAAACATCATAAAATGTTTTCATAATAAACATAATATTCTGGTAAATAAAAATATTCTTTATAAACATTGCAATGGACTGAATATTTCTTCTTCTTCTTCTTCTTTTTTTTTTTTTTTGAGATGGAGTCTTGCTCCATCCCCCAGGCTGGAGTGCAGTGGCGCGATCTCAGCCCACTGCACCCTCTGCCTCCTGGGTTCAAGCGATTCTCCTGCCTCAGCCTTCTGAGTAGCTGGGACTACAGGCGCCCGCTACCATGCTTGGCTAATTTTTGTATTTTTAGTAGAGACGGGGTTTCACCATGTTGGCCAGGCTGGTCTCGAACTCCTGACCTCAGGTGATCCACCCGCCTCAGCCTCCCAAACTGCTGGGATTACAGGTGTGAGCAACTGTGCCCGGCCAGGACTGAGTATTTCTGTCATTCCCCTGAAAATTCATATGTTAAAATCCTAACCCCCAAAGTGGTGGTGTTAGGAGGTGGGGCCCTTGGTACGTAATTAGGTCATGAGGGTGGATCGCTCATGAATAGGATTAGTGCCCTTGAAAAAGGGACCCAAGAGAACTGTCTAGTCTTCTTTCTATCATATGAGAATACAGTGAGAAGTCAAGAGTCTTCTGGAGGAGGGTCCTCACTAGAATTCAACCATGCTGGCACCCTGATTTCGGACTTTTGGTCTGCAGAACTGTGAAAAATACATTTCAATTGTTCTACACCACCAGTCTATGGGATATTTCTTATAGCAGGCCAAACTGAAAAAGATAAATATCACTTTCCATGATATGGACAAGGCCAGATATTATTTAACCATGCCACTATTATTGAGCATTTAACCCATTTCCACATTTTGCTATTGTAAAAAATGTGGTGGGTGTATATCCCTGTACACGAATCCCTGCAGATGCCTTTATACCCTTCAGGTCACAGCCCAGTCCTGTGCACATATCAGCCCTCAGTAAATATTGAGTGAACAAAGAAACCCAACCGGCTTCCAGGAACCTGGGGAGCACTTATCAGATAGATACAGCATTTAAATTTACAAAGACCCAACGCGCTGTCCAGCAATCACTCACCACTGCTCCTGTTGGCATGCTCCCTCCACCTCCTACCCGCTAAGCCAACTCTAGGGCTTAGGGAAAGGAGAAGATAGAAATTGCTTGCTCAGGACTCCCAGGTTCTAGTGCTTTCAGCAAACCTACCTGCTCTTCCGCACCTCCTGGTGAAGGGGACCTGCAGCCCTCCACTGCCTAGCTAACTACCACACATCTTTCAGACTCTGTTCAACCCTACCACCTCAGGAAAGCCATGGCTGACCTCCCTTTAAATCAACGTATGGCTCCGGTTCAGTGAAGGATACTAGTACTTAAGGTCACAGCACTTGCAGTTCTGTCATTATTTGCTCACAGGACTGACTCCTTTGCCCAATCCAGGGCAACACCAGACGGCAGGTACAATGTGTGTTTTGCTCTCCGCCCAAAATCTAACCCAGTGGAGGGCAAAATATCAATCCAAACAATGTGATTGACAAATAAATGTCTGCCGAATGAAATTTCAGATTCTCAAGCCGTTTGTTTTCACAAAAGGGAGGGGAAAGGGAGGAAAGCAGGACCTCCTACTCAGCCCAAGTGCAAAGACCGATGGGGGGCGTTTCAGGAGATAGCTCCCTCCTCCTGGCCCAGAGACCCGCCCAGACCAACTGGCTCCAGGGAACTGATGGCAAACCAGCATTCAACAAACCCAGACGCAATTAAGTGACACTGCCCCACTCCAGCCTGGTTCTCCCCAAGAGGGAGAACACAGACCGAAGAGAACAGGGGGCTTCTTTCCCCACCCACTTCCAACCAGAGAGTACCAGGCCACTCCTCACTGGTGATCCAAAAGGCCAGGGTATTGGGAGATGGAAGTGTTTCAAGCAACTCAACCCACACTTTTCTCCTCCCATTTGCCCAGTGTCCTTGCCACACCCAAATGGAAAAGAACGGGAAAATCTGGGTTGGGGGGAGGGTGCCAGGAACAGGAAGTTCCCTGGAACTTCAGGGGAAAAGGACCAGGATGGTCCTAAAATAAGGGAGCGCATAAGTTATGGAAAAGATGGGGAAGGAGGCCACAATATCTCATCACACACCCACAGCGAAACGAAGGCCAAACCCCAGACCTGGGCCGGCAGGCACACCCATTCCGACCTCTCTCAGGGATGCCTGGAGTCCCCCCCACCAAGTGTAGCAAACTACTCTTGGAGTCCACTCCTTTTCCACTTTTGTAAGATTTTGCAGTTTACACAGCTTCCTCCACTGAGACCTCATCCGACTCTCAGAACCACCCTATGGGGGTAGCTTTGCCTTTCTATATCATGCATGAGGAAACTAGCTCAGATACATTAAATGAACCGCCGCGTCACACAGCTAGAAAGTGGCTGAGGCTCGAGCCCGCCTCAGTTGGGTGTAGGAGCAGCTCCTCCGCCGGGGCGGGCTACGTCGACCCCACCCAGCCCACCGAGCCTGGCCTGTGGGCGGAGGCCCAGGTGGTGGCCCGCAGTTTCCCAGACGCCTGGGGCCGAAGCCAAGAACAAGGTGGCCCTAAACCAAGGTTTCCGGCAGTGCAGGTAGTAAGCACCCCCATCCCACCCCGCACTCACACAGGTGCAGGGCTCGGAGTCTGGAGCGGAGCTCACCCCGCAGCCCGCCGGCGTCCTGCCCGACCGGCTGTGCCCCGACCTGCATCCCCGCAAAGTTGTGGCCGTGGCGTAAGCACCCTGCCAGGGATCTCCCGGCGCCCCACAGCTGCCTCCTGCCCCTGCGTCCGGGAGCGCTTGGCGGCGAGGGCACCGGGACGCCCGCTGTCTCCCGCGTAGCACCCAGTGCCCGCCTGCCTGGCATGCACGCCCTCATCCCGGTGCCCCGGGGCAGCTCCCCGCACGTTCCGCAGAGGGCTGGAGCAGAGAGCGCAGAAGGGCACGCGGGACACACGTGCTGGCCCGGCCCGGATCCCTGCCCCACAGTCTCACCCAGATTGCCAGCAGCAGCCACGCCGGCCCGGCCCGCGCCATCCCAGCAGCGCTGCCCACCGCTGGCTCCTTTCTCCACTCCGGCGCCCGCTCCCGCCCGCCCGCCTGCTAGCTCCACCGCGGCCAACCACCACGGCCACTTCCCAGCCGCTCCCCGCCTCCGAGTTCCCGGTGCCACGTCTGCCAAAGCATGCGCAGCAGCTGGGGAGAGGCGGCCGGGAAGAAGTGCTCGCTGGGAGTTGTAGTCTGCAGCCTGGCTCAGCTGGGGGCTGCGGGTGCGGACTGGGCTCCGAGGCCACGTGGCAGCGAGTGAAGTGCGAAAAGGCAAGGTCAGGGAGTAAGGGAAGGCAATTAATGAGCGGGGGCTTACTCTGTGCCTGGAGCTTCAGAAACAGTATCTCACGCAGCTCACAGAAATTAGGTTTTATTTTCTCCACTTTGAGGATTAGGAGGCAGCGCAGGGAATTTAAGTACGTTGATCCAGATCACACAGCCGGTAAATGGCAGAGTCCAGGGCTGCCTGTGAAGGACAGGAAAAGCCCTCATCCCTGCCTCCCAGACTCCCTCCTGCTTATTCTATTTAACTTCAGTAAAACATTATTGAGCTGTTGGAAAACAATCTGGTGGTTCCTCAAAAAGTTAAACATAGATTACTATATGACCAGCAATTCCACCCTTAGGCTAATACCCAAAAGAATTGAAAACAGGTATTCAGACAAATGCACGTACACCAGTGTTCACAGCAACACTATTTACAATAACCAAAAGGTAGAAACAACTCTAACGTCTGTCAAAGGATGAATGGGTAAACAAAGTGTGATACATCCATCTAATGGAATGTTATTTAGCCATTAAAAGGAATAAAGTGGCCCAGCAGGGCAGCTCATGACTGTAATCCCAACACTTTGGAAAGCTGAGGCAGCAGAATCGTGTAAGACTAGGAGTTTGAAACCAGCCTGGGCAACATAGCAAGACCTCATCTCTGCTAAAAATAAAAATAAAATAAAATAAAATAGCTGGTGTGGTGGCAAGGGACTGTAGTTCCAACTACTTGGGAGGCTAAGGCGGGAGGATTGCTTGAACCTGGGATATGGAGACTGCAGTGAGCCAAGATCATGCCACTGCACCCCAGCCTAGGCCACAGGGTGAGACCCTGTCTCAAAAAAAAAAAAAAAAAAAAAGGTGGGGGGGAGAGAATAAAATGCTAATACATTCTACAATGAATGAATCTCAGAAATGTATGCTAATGAAAGAAGCCAGACACAAAAAGTCACATATGATGTGATTACATCTTATGAAATATTTAGAATAGGTAAATCCACAGAGACAGAAAGCATAGTAGTGGGGGTGGGGAGGAAGGAATGGGGAATGACTGCTTAATGAGTATAGGGACTCCTTTGGGAGTGATAAAACATTTTGGAACTAGATGGAGATGATGGTTCCACAACATTGTGAAGGTACTAAATGCCACTAAACTGTACACTTTAAAATGGTTAATTGATGTTATGTGAATTTTACCTGAGTAAAAATTTTCAAAAGAAAAAAACTCTTTATTGAACCCATTCCCTGTGCTAAAGCAGGGGTCCCCAAACGCTGGGCCTCTGGACAGTCTGTGGCCTGTTAGGAACCAGGAGGCAAGCTGTGGGCCAGCGAGCATTACCACCTGAGCTCTGCCTCCTGTCAGATCAGTGGTGGCATTAGATTCTCATAGGAGTGTGAACTCTATTGTGAACTGCACATTCAAGAAATCTAGGTTGTGGGTGCCTTATGAGAATCTAATGCCTGATGATCCGAGATAGAACAGTTTCATCCCAAAACCATCCCCTGTCCCCCCACCATCTGTGGAAAACTTGTCTTCCACAAAACCGGTCCCTGGTGACAAAAAGGTTGGGCCCTGCTGTGCTAAAGCATTCTTGCATGCAGTCAGTTCATACATTCAAGAATGTTTATTGAACACTTACTATGTCCTGAGGCTCAAGATATCCAGTAGTGAGATGAACAAGAGAACAGCACAGTCAGAGGTTGGTAAGTTATAGCTGAAAGGTCCTTGCCTTCTGTCAGGAGAGTCAAAGCTCAAAACTTAGAAGTTATCCATTACTCGCTTCCTATTCACAACAGGCCCATCCAACCCCTCACCACATCCTGTCAATTTTACCTCCAGAATATATCTCTCCTGCCACCTCCCAAGTCTAAGTGACTATCACCTAGGGAAGGGTAACAGTTTCTGAAAGAGTGTGCCTGCTTCTCCCCCATGCCATCCATATGTTAATGTCAGTTGGATCTTGCTTGCCCCTCCCCTGAAACCCTCCAGTGGTTTCCCATTACCCTTAGAATAAAATCCAAACTCTTCCCAAGACCTGCAAGCCCTGCATGGTCTAGGCCCTCGCCCGCCCGGTAGACCTCATCTCCTGCCTCCCACAACCCCTGTCCACTGGGTCCAGTTACACAGACCATCATTTCCTCACCCCTCCCCTCTCCAGAGCTGCTCCTGCCTCAGGGCTTGTGCTCCTCCCATTCTCTTTGCCTTGGCAATTTCCTTGGCCTTTGTCTGGCTGGCGCCTTTGTATCCTTCAGGGTTCTCCTATCTATCCCCTCTCAGAGATGCCCTTCAGAGCAGCCCATCTACAGGTGAGTTTACCCTCCCCACTGCCAAGCTCCTTTTTCTCTATCTCAACTTCTGCTTAGGTTCTGTTGCTTCTTTGCCCAGCACCTACCAAAACCCACAAGACTTACTGAGTCCTTGTGTTCATTGTCTCTTGCTCCAACCTGAATGTCAGTTTCCTGTCCCTCTGTTCATCACCTTGCTTCCAGGACCTAGCACAGGACGGAGCCACAGATGGTTCTCACTGTTCTTTTTGATGAATGACTGAATGATTGAGCTAAGTAATGTGTTGGGAAGTGTCAGAAATTCCTAAAGCAGTTTGGGGACAGGGCTTCCTTGGCATGCTCTGCTCTGCAACCTCGAACTTATGACCTGCACATGGGAAAGTGAGATTTGCACCCCTCTCTGTGGGTCTCTGTTTCTCATCTGTCAAATGAAGCAGTTGGTGAGGATGCAGAGCTACTGGAACACTCACGCATTGCTGTGGGAGTGTAAATTGGCTCACCTACTTTGGACAACTGTACATGTACAAAATCTGAGCCAAAATGTTCATGGCAGCTTTATTCACAGAAGCTGTTATGGACTTGTGTCCCCCCCAAATTCATATGTTGAAGTCCTAACTAACCCTTACTACATCAGAATATGACCGTACTTAGAGCCTTTGAAGAGGTAATTAAGGTTAAATGAGGTCATTGTGGTGGACCCTAATCCCATATGGCTGGTATCCTTACAAAAAGAGGACAGTAGGACACATATACAGAGGAAAGACCATGTGAGGACACAGAGAGAAGACAGAATGGCCAGTGACACGCCAAGGAGAGAGGCCCTCAGAAGAAATCAACCCTGCCAAAAGCTTGATCGTGGATTTCTAGCTTTCAGAATAATAATAATAATAAAAAACAACCTCTGTCATTTAAGCCACCCAGCCTATGGTGGTCTGTTACGGCAGCCCTAACAAACTGATACAGTAGCCCAAACTGGAAACAACCCAACTGTCAGAACAGGAGAGTAGATAAATTAGCGATAGCATATTCTGCAAAAAAGAGAGACAGAGAGAGAGAGAGAGAGAACAAACTCCTGATAATATGCAACAACGTGGATGAATCTCAAAACCCTGATGTTGAGCAAAAGTAGCCAGACACAAAATAATATGTACTGTATGATTCCATTTATCTGAAGTTCAAGAACAGGCAAGTACAATCTGCCTGTTCGATAAAAGAAAACAAGTGGATGAGGAATAGAGACGGACTGTGGGGAAAGCATGAGCAAACCTTCCAGGTACTGGAAATGCTCTGCATCTTGCTTTTTTGTTTCTCTGTTTTGAGACAGGCTCACTCTGCCACCCAGGCTGGAGTGCAGTGATGCAATCTCACTCACTGTAACCTCCATCTCCTAGACTCAAGTCATCCTTCCACCTCAGCCGTCCGAGTAGCTGGGACCTCAGGCTCACACCACCACACCGGGCTAATTGTGTATTTTTAGTAGAGACGGGGTTTTGCTATGTTGCCCAGGCTGGTCTTGAACTCCTGGGCTCAACTGATCTGCCTGCCTTGGCCTCCCAAAGTGCTGGGATTACAGATATGAGCTACCATGCCCAGCCTGTATCTTGATTCAATGATAGTTACATGACATTTAAGATGTGTTGAAATTAATTTATTATTCCAGCTGAATTGATTTATTTTCTAAACTAGATACTAAGATTTTACGCTTTATATACACTATCTCTCAGTCTTTTTCTTAAGTCTGAACATTGAAGGGTGGTGTGAATCAGCTAATCTTCAGGATTCCTTGTAGCTCTTGTATCTTCGAAGTTCAAGACTGGCTAAAAGTTCCTGGGTCCAGGGAGGGCTGAACTCTGCAGAAATGTAACTGCCAAAAGGGGCAAGAGTTGAAGGGAGGAAGGCAGGAAGGAAGCTATGCACCTGAGAGCCAGGGAAACAGAGGGCAAGGGACCGAGGGGGGCAAATAAAAATTTCCAAGAAAACAAGCCATTTCATTCTGCAATTGAAACAAGCTAAAATGCGATTCGTAGCCCTTCTGGGAATGCTTACCAATTCTAAGCTTCACTCTCCTTGAAATATTAGGAGAATAGCACAGGGCAAGCACTGTCCCTCCTCCATTAGAGCCCTCAATGGGCACCATCCATTTTCCAGCAGCAGCCCCGCGGGGCCAGGCCAGAGACACTTCTTGTCCTGCAGTTTATTGCGAATTGTGACACCACCTTATATTTGTGTAGCCAGTTCCCCTCCATCATCTCGGCTGGGATGAGGACTAGCACAATGACCATTTTCTGCATTCAGGCAAGATAAGAATCGGCCCAGAAAGAAAAGGAGGAATGTTGAACCAAAGAAGCCAGACACAGAAGAGTACATTCTGTAGGATTCGTTTATATGAGAAACATGAGGCAAAGGTTGTCTATTTTGTTAGAAGTCAAAATAGTGGTTACTCCAGGGGGAAGGATGTCAGTAGTCACTGGAAGGGGGCCTCTTGAGGTGCTGGTAAGATTTCACGTCTGAATCAGGGCACACGGGCATGTTTACACTGTGAGAATTAATCACACACACCCAGAGACTATAAAGTATGATATGGTTTGGATCTGTCGCCCCACCCAAATGTCAAATTGTAATCCCGTGTTGGAGGTGGGGCCTGGTGGGAGGTGAGTGGATCGTGGGGGTGGTCTCACGAATGGTTTAGCCCCATCCCCCCTTGGTACTGTATAGTGAGTTCTTGTGAAATCTGGTTGTTTAAAAATGGGTGGAACCTCCCCCCTCTCTCTCTTCCTCCTGCTCTGGCCATGTGAAGACGCCTGTTCCCGCTTTGCCTTCCACCATGAGTAAAAGCTCCCTGAGGCCTCCCCAGAAGCAGATGCTGCCATACTTCCTGAACAGCCTGCAGAACCATGAGCCAATTAAACCTCTTTTCTTGTAAATCACCCAGTCTCAGGTATTTCTTTATAGCAGTGCGAGAATGGACTAATAATACAAGGTACATATGTTACGTTTCACAAAGAAGTTCATGATTTTAAAAAAGAGGAGGAATGAGATGGAAGGAAAGAAAAGTCAGCTCTGAACAGGGAAGGTGAAAGGTAGCGGGGATCCCAAAGAAGAAACAGTTGGGAAATAATTCAGTAACCTCAACGCCTGGGCGAGCAGCCCATCCCCCCAAGAGGGACTGACCGGGACAACTCGTGGTGCCCAGAATACCCCAAGCTGCCTCACAAGCCTTTGCTTCCGCTCATCCCAACTGCTGACATGCAGCTCCTCCCTCACTCCCTTGCTTGGCTGGTATCTACCGAGTTTGAGCACCTCTCCTTCAAAAGCCTCTTCTTACACTTGTCATCCTCCTACTGACACCCCCCCAGTCCAGAGCTAAGTGTCCCTGCTCTGTGCTCGTACAATTTCCCATGTAGAACATGGTCCTCAAGACAAAGACTGGGACACATTCATGGAGGCAGAAAGTAGAAACATGGTTTCCAGGGGCTGGGTGAGGAGGAGCTATTGTTTAATGGGTAAAGAGTTCCAGTATGGCATGATGAAAAGTTCTGGAGATGAATAATGGTGATGGTTGCCCAACAACGTGAATGTTCTTAATGCCACTGAATGGTACACCTAATAGTGGCTAACAATGGAGAACCAAAAAATGGTGTCGGGAAAACTAGATGTCTACATGCAAAAGAATAAAATTGGACCCTTATCTCACACCATATGCAAACATTAACTCAAAATGGATCAAAGACCTAAATGTAAGAGCTAAAACTATAAAATTATTGGTGAAAACACAGCACAGAAACTTCATGATATTGGATTTAGCAATTATTTCTTAAATATGAAACCAAAAGCACAAACAACAAAAGTAAAAATAGATAAACTGGATTGTGTCAAAATTTAAAGCTTGTGTGCCTCAAAGGACACAATCAACAGAGTAAAAAAGCAACCTACAGAATGGGAGCAAATACTTGCAAATGATATATCTAATAATGGGTTAATATCCAGAATATAGAAAGAACTCACACACACACACACACACACACACACACACACACACACACACACCATTTAAAAATAGGCAAAGGACTTGAATAGATATGTCCAAAGAAAATATACAACAAGCATATGAAAATATCCTCAACAATACTAATCATTAGGGAAATGAAAACCAAAACCACAAGGAGACACCTCCTCATACCTATTGGGATGGCTGCTATAGTGGAAAGAAGGAAGGAAGAAAGGAAGGAAGGAAGGAAGGAAGGAAGGAAGGAAGGAAAGAAGGAAAGGGAAGGGAGGGGAGGAAGGGAGGAAGGAAGGAAGGAAAGGAGAGAGGGAGGGAGGAAGGAGAGAAAGAAAAGGGGGAAGAAACAGGAGAGGAAAAGAAAGAGAGGAGAGAAGGAGAGAGAAGAAAGGAGAGAAAGAAAGAAAAAAAGAAAAGGAAAAGAAAGAAAGAAAAGAAAGAAAGAAAAAGAAAGAAAAAGAAAGGAAGGAAGGAAGGGAGGAGAGGAAGGGAGGGAGGGAGGAAAGAAGGAAGGAAAAAATAAATTAAATAAAGAAATGGAGAAATAACATGTGCTGGCAAGGGGTGGAAAAATTGGAGCCCTTGTACACAGTTGGTGGGAATGTAAAAAGGTGCAGCCACTACGGAAAATAGTATGACAGTTCCTCAAAAAATTAAATGTAGAAATACCATATGACCCAGCAATTCCATTTCTGAGCATATATCCAAAAGAATTGAAAGGAGTGTCTTGAAGATATATTTGTATACCCATGTTCATAGCAGCATTATTCACAAGAGCCAAAATGTGGAAGCAATGCAACTGTCCATTGATGAATGACTGAATAAACAAAATATGGTATGCAATGGAATATCACTCATCCTTCAAGGGGAGAAATTCTGATACAAATTACAACACTGATGAACCTTGAGGACATTATTCTAAGTGAAATAAGCCAGTCGCAAAAAGGCATATACTGTGCAATTCCACTTATGAATTACCAAGGATTGTCAAATTCATAGAAACAGGAGCTAGAATGGTGGTTGCCAGGAGTCAGGGGAGAAACAAATGGGAAAATGAGAAGTAGATGTTTAATAAGTTTAGAGTTGCTATTTTGCAAGATAAAAAGCATTCTGGAGATTGGTTATACCACGATGTGAATGTACTTAATATTACTGAATGTACACTTAAAACTAGTTAAGATGGTAAATTTTATGTTATGTGTATTAACTACAATTAAAAAAAACTGTGACCTTAGAAAGGCATGGATATGAGTCCTGGCTCTGCCACTTACTAGCTGTGTGGCCTTAGAGAAGTGACATGACCTCACATCCCCCTTCTGTAAAATGGGAATAATAACAGTACTTTCTTTACAGTTCTATTGATGAGTAAATGAGATGATCTGTGTAAAATATTTAGCTAGCATTTGTACTGGATGGATAATTAGCTTTTCTTTGATAGTCCTCTTTACAATATATTATATTTTCCTACAATGTCCAGTTTCTCAACCACTCCAACACCCATATCCCAACATACACACACATGTGCATGCACACACATACACGCACACACATACACACACACGGTGTGAACTCTTAAGGACAAAGATGGCACGGCATCTGGTTTACTTCATTTATCTTCGTATCCCCAGTGCCTAGCACATAGTAGGAGCTCATTAAATGTCTGAAATGAACTGTAGCAAGAGGGTTTGACAACACAGACAAGGAAACCCTCTCAACATGAATATAGACAAACAGCAGAACAAACTGATAAAGTAATTTTAAGACCAAAGAAGAACTGTCACAGACCTGGGCTAGGCTACGTCCTTCCAAAAATGAGTACATAGAAGGACAGCTTCAGGAGAATGAAGCTGGGTGAGCAGCCCGTCCTCCAGGAGGGACTGACCGTGACAACGGTCAACCTTTGTTTCAGGGCAGGCCTAGGAAGTGCGTGGTTGGTTATTGAACAATAATTAGTAACTCATTATTGGACATTGATTGGACATTCATCATAGACTCATTTGCAGGGCCTGCATCTGACATTTCATTAAGAAAACATCACATTACAAAGCCCAGTTCTCAAGTTAGTATGTATGCTTTCTGCCTGTCCTCTCCAGCCTGGGTCCTTATCTCTTCTGACCATCTTGCCCTCCTTTCCACCTACCCATCCTGACTCTAGCTGGTGAGTTGTTTAACCCTGTAGTCCTGCAGGCCCACCCCTTGGCCTTCAGTTAGAATTATGACCACCCCCTCATGTGGCTGGAGTCCCCCAGACAAACTCTACCCAGTCATGGTTCCAGGACCTGTGCTTTTGGGCCTCTTTCATGGACCCTAAGTGAAACCAGAGGACCCTGTGGTAGTGCATTTGAACTTCATCCTGCTCAGAAGGTCTCCCTTGAGAACTATATCTCTAATGTGTCTGTGTTTTTTTCACTTTCCCCATTTTTTTTTTCATAACTTAACTCCCCAACTGATTTTACCTACAAGGCCCCAGGCTCTAGCTCATTTAAAACAACAACAACAACAAAAACACATTGACTTGCTGTAACTAAATCTAGGGCTGACCTTGGAAGACATCATTTTCTTCCTTAACAATAACATTCACATTACTGAAGACTTGAAGTTTATATTTAAAGCCAAATGTCAGCATCCAGGATATCCTCAGATCCTCTATCTTGTGGGGTCACCCTTCTGTTAATAGTTACATTTAAATGACTCAAAACCTTTTCCCATTTATGATGGGAAACAACCCAACACCTTCTCCCCACTAAGTACCTTTGGAGAGTCTTGACTGAGGACTCTCACAGAGGGATTCTGGGGGCTCTCGGGGATGAGACGTTTTCCTTTGTCATCTCTAGCTCCCATATCTCGTTTCCACCAAGGCATATGCATCTCGGTGGAAACAAAATATTGGAGCTAGAGATACTGGCACTTTGGTTTCTTTCCATCCTGTGCTGACACAAACATGATGTGGCCCCTTAACCTTTGGGGTCTACACTAACTCTGGGAGTCAGTGTTAGAATTGAACTGAATTGTTGGACACCCATCTGGGGTTGGAGAATCAGACAGAAACCCTTCTGTGATGGGGATTGCTCTAGTGGTGCCTGTGCCTGTACGTGTGTTTGGCAGACCTGCAACCATATAGGTCTTGGTGACAGTCAGAATCCTGCCTCATATTTGCAGCATCCCCGAAGGCCATATTGTAGCTGAGGTGTGGGCACAGTGATCTAAACTCAGCCAACCAGCTGCCTAGGCCAGTGGCTCTGTCTTTGGAGTGAGTGCTATGAATAACGGAAGGAATGTTTATATAGTTTATAAGAGGGGCACCCATGTCTGGGCAACATGGCCTAGGGTGTCCAGCCCTGAGCAGGCTACTCCTTGGTGTGGCCTTGGCTGGGGCATTGGCTGTCCAGCTTTCTACCTGTTTTTCAAGTCTCATTCTCCAACTTTCCTGGACAGTTTTAATTTTAGTATATGTCCAAAAATTATTTGATACTTCTCCCCTTCAAGAGCTGGGGCTTAATTTCCCTGTCTGTGAGGATGGGCTAGACTTAGTGACTCACTTCCTATGAAAAGAATGTGGCAGAAGTGGGCCGGGCTTGGTGGCTCATGCCTGTAATCCCAGAACTTTGGGAGGCCGAGGTGAGTGGATTACCTGAGGTCAAGAGTTCGAGACCAGCCTGGCCTACCTGGTGAAACCCCATCTCTACTAAAAATACAAAAATTAGCCGGGCATGGTGGCACACGCCTGTAATCCCAGTGACTCGGTAGGCTGAGGCAAGACAATTGCTTGAGCCCAGGAGGCGGAGGGTGCAGTGAGCTGAGATCGTGCCACTGCACTCCAGCCTGACCAACAGAGTGAGACTCTGTCTCAAAAAAAATAAATAAATAAAGAATATGGCAGAAGTGACCATGTGTGACTTGTGAGACCAGGCCAGAAGAGGCACTGTGGCTTCCTCCTTTCTGTCTCTCAGATTGCCCGTATGGGAGAAGCTGCCTTCCATGTCCTAAGGACTCTGAGGTGGGATTATGGAGAGTCCTGCCTCTGTGAAAATCAAGCCCCATGCCAACCGCCAGTGAAGTGCTGAGGTTTCCTGTCGGCATCCTAGTGAGTGAGCCATCTTGGAAGCAGCTCCTCCAGCCCTAGTATAACTTGAGAAGACTGAAGCCCACCGGACATCATAACTACAGCCTAATGAGAGACCCCAAACCAGAACCACCCCACTAAATTGCTCCCTAATCCTTAACCCGCAGAAATTATGAGATAATGAATGTGTGTTATTTTTTTGCCTGTAAGCCTTGGGGTAATTTGTTGTGTACCAAAATAGCTAATATACTTCTCCTGGATTTTTTTTTTTTTTGAGACAGATCTCACTCCCATTGCCCAGGCTGCAGTGTAGTGGCACCATTATGGCTCACTGCAGCCTTGACCTCCTGGGATGAAGCCATCCTCCCACCTCAGCCACCCAAGTAGCTGGGACTACAGGCCCATGCCACTTCGTCTGGCTAATTTTTTGTATTTTTAGTAGAGATGGGGTCTTACTATGTTGCTCAGGCTGATCTCGAACTCGTGGGCTCAAGCAATCCTCCTACCTCGGCCTCTTAAAGTGCTAGGATTATAGGTGTGAGCCACTGCACCCAGCCTTCTCCTGGATTCTGTGAGCCTTCCTGTGAATTTCTTTTCTGCTTAAGTTAGCTAGGGTCAGGGTCGGTTTCTGTTGTTTACAAACAAGAGTCCTGTCTGATACCACTCCACATCTTCTCCCTCTACTAACGAGGTGGCTGCTAACCTCCACCCCCAATCCACAGCCCCAACCCCTCAACCCAGTTTATCAGGCAGGGTAGCTCAGGATTCTCATGACCTCACCAGCATATCCAGGTTATGTCCTGGAGCCTTCAACCTTTCTCATCAAACAGGGCATCCAGATATTTTCCTAGTTGTAAAATCATTGTCACCACTCCCTGAGAAGGCAAAAACAGCTGGAGACTACTGTGGCATTAAATGACTTGCAGCCTCCTTGCCCCAAGGACTTCCCATCTGTCTTCCACCCTCATCACCGACTTGCTGCTCCCGTGGAGGTTTCCCACGGTCTCCTCCTCAGTGAGTTAAATTGCCTTGTCTCAGTCCCCTGAGAACGTCCTTGTTTGGCCTGTGTGCAGTTTTGAGCACCATTCACCAGGATCCTCTTCTGAAAACCCTCTCCTTCCTCGATTTCCTCTGTGTTGCACATGCTGCATTTCTGCCCCACCTCTCTACCTGCTCTTTATTTTTTAGGTTATTTAGTCTCTCGTTTCCTAAATAATGTGTCTCCCCTGGTTTCTTCCTCTGCGCTCTCCCTGGGCTGCCTCAGCCTCTCTCAGGCCTCAGCCCTCAGCTAAGGGGAACCCCTGAATTTCTAATTCTGCAGCTGACTTCTCTCCCAAACACCAGGCCCCGTTTCTTTCTGTTCAATTAACGCTAATTAGCTCTGTCACTGGTGCCTCAGCTCAGCATCGGTGTGTGAGAGCCAGAGCCTGCTCATCTTCTCTCCTGACTTCCCTCCTTCTATTAATGGTATCATCCTTCCTTCTGGAAATCAGGCACAAATTCCCAGTTATCTTTGACATCCTCTCTCCTGTTACTCCCTCATCTCCTTGGTTGTGGAATCCCACCAAGTCCTTCCCTTCAGCACCCACACTTCCCTTCTTAGCCACGCTGGCCTCTCCCCTCCGTGGGTATCTCTGGAATCTCTGCCACTGTCTGCACTCCACCACCTCATCTCCCCGCCATACAGGCTCCAGAGCAATATTCCTAAGAAATAATCTTCATCTTACTTACTGCCTCACTTAAAAACCTTGCATTCTATCCAACAGTTATTGAGTTCCTATTGCATGTGTATTATTTATGATTCTTTGCATGCAACCTACTGAAACCAACTTGTGCCAGTTTAAACTGAAAAGGGGGTGTGGATCACACGGATTCAGGGAGAATGCAGCCAAGCCTCAGAACTGGAAAACTCTCAGGACTCCATGGCGTGCTCTTTCTCCATCCCCTCTCTGCTTTTCTTGGCGTCTACTGCCTCCTCCCCGGCTGCAAAGCCCAGCTTTCTCTGATACTCAGTCTCTTGCATGAGATCCTTGTCTCAAAGGAGCCAAGGTTTATTTTTATCCCTGCCACTCAAAAGACCACTCCCAATAGAAATGGAGTCTTTCAGTCCCAGTTTTTAATTTGCAGGTGTGCTGGTGCAGGATCTTCTGCTTGCAAATGATGAAAACCCAACATAACTAGCTTGGACAAAACCATGATTTATGGGCTCTTATAAACAAGCCTTGGAAAGGGCAGGGCTGGGACTAAGCCTCCTTGACAGAGGGTGAAAGGGACTGGATATCATTCATATCCCCATTTCTTTTCTCTGACTGTGAGCATCCTTTCTTTAATACAGACCTGCCCTTTACACATGTTGAAGGCCATGAACCCCTGATGACGACTGATAAATCTTACCACCTAAGAGGCTTGACTCTTCTTCTCCAAATTTCAATTTTTTAAAAAAACCCTTAGAACTCTACTTGATCCTGCTTGGGACATGTTTCTATCCCTTATAGGCTCCGAAGTCAGACTACCTGGGTTTAAATCCGGGTTCTGTTGCTGATTAGCTGTGTGACTCTTGGCACTTAAACCTCTCTATATCTCAGTGTTCTTGTCTGTTAAGTGGGGATATCAATAGGACCCATCTCATAGATTTTATAAAGATTAAATTTAGACTACTTAGAATAGTGCCCAACAAAGTTAGGCTCTGTATGGGTTAGTTATGATGATAATGATGTTGACGATGATGATGATGGTGACAACAATGTCAATGACAATGACCACAGGGGAGGAGGAAAAGAGTAACTTCTTCTCGAACCACATGCTTGAGAGGAGAGGAGAAGCACATCAAAAGGAGGGTGTCCTAGGACTGCTGTAACAAAGTATCACAGACTGGGTGGCTTAGAACAGATATTTAGTGTCTCAGTTCTGGAGGCCAGAAGTCTGAAATCAAGGTGTCAGCAGGGTTGGCTCCTTCTGAAGGCTGTGAGGAAAAATCTTTTCTCTGCCTTTCTCCTAGTGTCTGGTAGCCTCAGGGTTCCTTGGTTTATAGACGGTGTTTCCCCTGTGTCTCCTTATCATCTTCTCTTTGTACATGTCTATCTCTGTGTCTAGATTTCCCCTTTTTATAAAGGACACTGGGTCATGTTGGATTAGGGCCCACCCTAATGACCTCATCTTAACTGGATCATCTATTTCCAGAGACTCCATTTCCAAATAAGGTCACATTCATGTGCTAGGGATTAGGATTTCAACATTATCTGGTGGGAAGGGGACACAATTCAACCCACAATAGGTGGGGATGGGGCAGTGCTGGCCAGACCAGCAGCAGCTGTTCCATCCACTTATGATTCCCAGGACTGCACATACCGGTCAGGCCAGCTTGGATTGGTTGCTCAGCCCTGGCCCTATCAACAGTGGCTTGGGAAGTGGGATTGAAGTTGCACTGCACAAAATATTGCTGGGGATAGTGGCATGTCTCCGAGAAAGGGCTGGGATGTTCGCCTGCTGGACAATCATCTCAGGTGCTGTCCTCTCCAATGTGCAAAGTGCCCATCACTCAGTGGGAGGTTCCTGGAGATGAGCAAGAAGATGTTTATGCAGCAGTGATGGAGAAAGTCCCCTACTGAAGAACAAACGACGGAGCAGGTGCCACAGAATAAGTGCTCCAGTGGAGGCACAAAGCACTATGGGACCACGAGAGCGGGTGGAGAAGTTTCACATTGGTAGGGAGGGGCTGGAAAGAGCCTTTCCAGAGGAATGGCCATTGAGTTCATCTCAACTGAGGACAAGGGAGTTCATCTCAACAGAGACAAGGGGAGAATTTGGTGGGTAGAGAAGATGTAGGAATGGGAGGGAAAGAGTACAATCCTATGGTCAGAGAATGGTGAGGAAATAATCTAAGGTGTCGGGGTAGTCAGATGAAAAAGGAAAGTGATTGCAAACATTCACTGAGAGCTAACTGGATACATGACATTGTTTTATATGTTTGATGTGCATAATCTCTGCTCCCTTCACCATGGCCTCTACCTTGGTACATTACCATCACTTCTACCCTACAGATGAGGTTCAGAGACCTGCCCAAGGTCACATGACCAGGAGATGGTTGAGCCCAGGGTCTCCATGCTCAGTTACTACTTCTGCCCCCTCTCCTATTATTAAGTGTTAACTTGGAAAGCTGGGTAGGCACAGAATGTGTCTGGCTTTGCCAAGGAGTGTGGAATTTATTCTGCAGGTAACAAGAAGCCACTGAGGAATTGTAGGCAGAGGAGGACCTGATTGGGCCTTTATTTCAGGATGACAGCTTGGTGCAAGTGTGGAGGATGCTGTGGAGCAGGGAGAGATTCCAAGAGAGCGAACACCTGTCTTCTCCTACTCCACTGGGAGGCAAAAGCATTAACCAGTCATCCTTCTATATAAGACAGCACCAGGGGCCTCAGGGACCATTTGCTCACTCGTTTTTTTTAATTTAATTTTTATTGAAGCATAACCTACATACAAAAAAGTGCACAAATCATAAGTCTGGCTTGATAGATTTTTCATCAGATGAACACACCTCGTGGGTTCATTCTTTACCTTAACAACTCCAAATAATTCCCTATCAAACGTAGCTCTGAACCCACCACTCTGACTACCCCATCCTTCCCTGGGAAACCTCTTACTGATTAATTATGGCTCAACACTTTCTGCTGGAGAAACACACTGTCCTTCCAAAGTGGTATGGGCAGCAGTGCTAACTGTGAGTCACAATGTTTAGACTCCAGGCTTCCCCTTACTCACGGTGCAGCCTGAGGCCACAGTTCCTTCACCTCTGTAGGGCTTAGTGTCTGCATCTGTAAAATGGAGTAGTAAGGGTTAGTTTCTATTTCACAAGCTTCATAAAAAATTAGCTGTAGGCTGGGCATGCTGGCTCATGCCTGTAATCCCAGCACTTTGGGAGGCCGAGGTGGCTGGTTCAGGATTGTTTGAGCCCAGGAGTTCGAGACCAGCCTGGGCAATACGGAAAAACCCTGTCTCTACGAAAAATACAAAATTAGCCAGCCATGGTAGCAAGCACCTGTAGTCCCAGCTGCTCAAGAGGCTGAAGTGGGAGGATTGCTTGAGCCTGGGAGGTCAAGGCTGCAGTGAGCCGTGACTGTGCCACTGCACTCCTGCCTGGGTGACAGAGTGAGACCCTGTCTCAAAAAAAAAAAGAAAGAAAGAAAGAAAAAAAACCTGTAAATAAACAAATGCATTATAAATTAAAAATTTATAGAAACTTATAAAATTGATAAAATATAATAATATATTATGTTTATAACATACAATGTATAATTTATATAATTGATGGCATTAATTAATTAAACAGAATAATTATTGGCCATCACCGTCTTCACCATCTTTGATGGTGTCCATTCCATTTACTTTGATATACACTTATGGAGGTGTTTTTATGCCAGCTGGAGGCAAGACGCTGTGGGGGACACAGAGGCAAGGAAGATGCACCCCTCCCACCCCCACCCAACAAGCACTGGAGATATAGTGGAGAGTGGTGGAGAGGTGTGCAGTGTGGAAGCCAGGTACACAAATGACCTTTAAAAGATTCTCTTGGCCTCAGCCAGTGTGGTGTTTTATGGGGCTCTGATGGAGCTTGAGCTATTTGCTATCTCTCTCTGCTTTGCTCTGAAGAATTCTGCCTGGGGGCAAGGGGGAATTGAGGCCCAAACTCAGTGGTGATGGTTGGTTAACGCTTTCCGGCCCAGAGTTGGTGATTAGGGTTGGACTGGGAGCTAACTTTAGCTGCTAAGCTTTGTGCTGCATGTTGCATTTTCAATGATCAGTGATTGTATTTTCTCCTCTTCCCTCACACACTTCCAGCCAGGTTACTCTCAGACTGCCTCTCCCCTTCATTCAGCTCACATCCTGGGAGACAGGGAGCTTCAGACCACAGAACTCCCAGGGGAGGGGCCTGCTTGCTAAGTGGACCCATTATCACCACTGGCCTCCTTGAAGGTCAGTTGCCCAGCTCTGCTTCTCCCCTTCTCCTGTGGGAGCAGGCTCCCCCAGGTACTTTTCCATGCCTCCCAAGCTCCAGTGTGGGTGGTTGAGGGCAGAAAAATCCATGGCAAGTGGAAATCAGTGTTTTCTGGGACATCCGAATCCTGCTTCTGTGAGATTTATTTCTGAAGTACGGAATCACAGAAAGGATGTTAAGATCAGAAGGTTAGAAGTTGGAAGCCTGGAACTCAAGTCTACATGTGATCAGTCCTGATTATCTTGCTGTTTGTTTACTTCTTGTAGCTTCAGCTTCTTTGCTTATAAAATGAGAATAATACTGATCCAACTCATCTCAAAAGAGTGATTGTGCTTTTAGAACTGTAATGTGCTAGGAGGAATGTATGAGATTATTATTCTTACTATTGTCTTTCTTCCCCGCCCCCCGTTATTGGAAAACCATATAATAGTCTTTTAAAAATAAAATTACAAAAGTAATACATATTTAAGACCTACACTATAAGCAGTAGAGAAGGGCCCAAGGTGAACAGTTCAACTCCCCTTCACTCTCCCCACTCCCACACCTCCAAACCCACCCTTCTAAGATCGCCACTCCTTTTCATTTCATTTCTTTCTTTCTTTCTTTTTTTTTTTTTGTTTTTTTTGAGACGGAGTTTCACTCTTGTTGCCCAGGCTGGAGTGCAATGGCGCAGTCTCAGCTCACTGCAACCTCTGCCTCCCGGGTTCAAGTGATTCTCCTGACTCAGCCTCCCAAGTAGCTGGGATTACAGGCATGCGCCATCATGCCTGACTAGTTTTTGTATTTTTAGTAGAGACGGGGTTTCTCCATGTTGGTCAGACTGGTCTCGAACTCCCAACCTCAGGTGATTCGCCCCCCTTGGCCTCCCAAAGTGCTAGGATTACAGGCGTGAGCCACCACGCCCAGCCCTGTTCATTTCTTATGTATCTTTTCCGACACCTTCTGTGTGTAAACAAGTCAGCATGTATGTAATAGGGTTCTTTTTACCTAAATCAGATTATACTGTACATCTCTTCTGCACCTGGCTTTTTTTCATGTAGAATTTTGAAGAACTTTTCATTTTAGCACAAATAAATTCTTTTTAGTGGCTACGTGACACTCCAGTATGTGAATATACTATGATGTGTTTACCAAGCCCTAAAGTTGAACATTTGGAATTTCCATTTTAGCTTTTTTTTTTTTTTTCGAGACACGGCCTCGCTCTGTCACCCAGGCTGCAGTGCAGTGGTGTGATCATAGCTCACTGTAGCCTTAAACTCCTGGCTCAGGCGATCCTCCCACCTCAGCCTCCCAAAGTGCTGAGATAACAGGCGTGAACCACTGCGCCTGACCTCCCATCCTTTTAAGGTCCCTTAGCTGGCAGTTTGGAAACTCCACAGTTGTCCCTGACTTTGTGTTCTTCCTCATTTAATCCTCTTAGGAGTCCTTGGGGCCCGTGGGAGCTGAATGTAGCCAGCCTTTCCGGCCTCAGGATGGGAGGAGCAGTGAGAGACTTGTTGGCACCCATGGGCTGAGGTCTCCCCAGGGCACAGGAAACAGAGGAGGAAACACCGGGGCTAGGGACATCACTCAGTGTCTCTGTCTCTGTTGACCTCTTCAATCTCCCTGACTGCCTCCGAAACCACGCAGGGCTGCTTGACCTGGCCTCGCAATAGAATCACCTGGAAACCTTCTGCCATCTCAGAGCGAGACCACGCCCCAGGCTAAGTAAACTAGAATATTTAGGGGCCAGCCCTGGATAGCAGCAGTTTGAAATATTTTAGGTGATTCTGTTGTGCAGCCACAAGAGCTACAGTGCCTGAGCCTGGAAATAATAACAGCACGACAGGCCTGAGGGCCTTTGCTTTCTTCCTGTTTTCAACTATGAGAGCGAGATGCTTATCCCACAGCACATGCACCAGAATGCATTTAACATCCGTGATGTGTACATGGAGTGGTTCTTATTTTATTCCTTGCCAAGTTTTTATTTAGTTGCTCTTTTCACTCTTGTTCAAAATTGTTTATGTAAATTAGTAAGCTTTTAGCAGACAATTTGGCAATATGTATCAAGAGAATAAAACTGTTCAGAATCATTGGCCTAGTTATTCCACTTTTGGAAGCTATTCTACAGAAATAACATAAATATAGGGGGAAGCTACATGCGTAAGATGTTCATTGCAGCATTATTTATGTTAATGAAAAACGGGCAAAAGCTAAATGTCCAGTGATACAGGAATGGATAAGTAAACTGTGGTATATCTCTCTGGTAGAATATTAAGTAATCCTTAAAATTATGGTTATGAAGCCAAAGTAATAACATGGAAAATTCTTGTGCCATAAAGTTAAATGAAAACGTAGGACACAAAATTGTGCAGATATACTATAATTACAACTACATGCGGAGGGAATGAAATATAAAGGAAGTAGAAAGTAAAAGAACAAAATGCTAACATAGATTGTGTTAGAATGATACGACTAATTCTTTCTTTTTCCTACTTTCCAGGTTTTTATAATATGATTACATTATTATTTAGCTGGAAACAAACAGTAAAAACAAAAAATTTCTCTTGTGCATTTTTGTATATGTCTGTCTGAGACTGGAAACACCCTAATGTTAAGATACCTGGCTGGGCGCGGTGGCTCACACCTGTAATTCCAGCACTTTGGGAGCCCGAGGCAGGTGGATCACCTGAGGTCGGGAGTTCGAGACCAGCCTCACCAACATGGAGAAACTCCGTCTCTACTAAAAATACAAAATTAGCTGGGTGTGGTGGCTCATGCCTGTAATCCTAGCTACTTGGGAGGCTGAGGCAAGAGAATCGCTTGAACCCGGGAGGCAGAGGTTGCGGTGAGCTGAGACTGCGCCATTGCACTCCAGCCTGGGCAACAAGAGCGAAACTCCGACTCAAAAAAAAAAAAAAAAATTTCCTTACAAACAACACTAAGGCCACTGTACAGCATGCAGCACCTCAGGCTGCCTACAAAAGGCCTGACAACAATGGATCAGAAGTCAGAGGATCTGGCTTTTAGTCCCAGTCTCAATTTCACAGTGTGACCTTGAGCAAGTTTTTCCTCCTTTCTGAACCTCAGTTTCCTAATCTGTGAAACAATAGATTCGACCAGAAGGATGCTTAAGAACCTGCCAGCTCTGAAATGTGATGATCATGACATGGATGGTGATGAAGATGATACTATTGAACCCCAAGTGCATTCAGATCCATCGAATGGGAGACTAAGAGGCAGAAAAGTATCTCCCCTAGAATGGGTGCAGGCCGGCTGCTCCTGCTTGTTATTTCTACATTCGGAATTGCTACACTCCATCCTTTACATCCTGAAAAGCATAACTGAATAAATATAAGGCAAATCACGCCCCTCTGTTCAATATTTGGTCATTTCTCTCCACATCACTTGCATGCAGCCCTGATGACTTGTAAATATAAGTGCCTCTGAAATATGCAGGAGAGTGTTTGGAGCCAATCAGGAAACACTGCTCCACCCCCAGCCCTGATTTCTCATCTTGATAAAGTGATTTTCCTCAACAGGCAGAGGATGGGGAGTCATAAATCAGTGACAACACAGCTCCTTGGGGTCTGCACTGCCCTCTGCTTGGGAACGATGCCTCTCTTAGATGATGTGGATGCACCAGCCTGGGGCTAGAGAATAACGAAGAGAAAGGTCTGGGGTTGTTAAAAACAGAATCATTCTGATGGGAAGGACAATTGAAACCCCAGGATTTAAAGAGAGCAATAAAGGTGATGATGGGGACCAAGGGGAACTGTGAAGCCCACGGATACACAGTGCCGCCTCCCTCATCTGGCAGGAGGGAAGGAGCTGCTGGGATTGGTGCCTTTTCCACGTGGCTGAAGTTTAACTGTTGAAGTGCCAGCATTGACCTTTAACCCCATTAAGATGCTTCTCGATCTTCTTAAATGTCTGTGTCAGACATAAGTTAGCGTTTTTCTAATAATACAAGGGAAAGGAACCAAGAGTTACATCATCATATATTTATTTGGGTGATTATTTGGGGCATGCCCATATTCCCCATGGGACCATAAGTTCCGTGAGGATGGGGACTGTGCATTCCAGCCCTCAGGATGTGCCTGGCACAGACATATTTGTTGAATGAGGCACTCAAGACCTATTTGTTGAATGAGTGAGTGAGAACCCCCTGACTGCCAAGAAGCTGTATTATGAAGAACTCTCTGCACTCTACGTATTAGAACATGGCTTTTGCTAAGCTAGGCAAAACTGGAGATGTATTCGAGGGCTTTATGGGGTCTATAAAGGTGCTGTTGTACTGAGAATTGACTAGGACCCGGATGGAGCCCTGCGGATTCCCAGGAAGAACTCCTTCTCTTCACCCCTGCTTGTCTTTGGACTCCTTCGGTTTCTCTCTCATTGAGGCCCATCTTTTTCTGCTCTGCAGAACAAGGATATCTTCATCTTTTATTGGTCCTCAGTTTCCAGGAGTGAGATTGGCCCTTCTTCATTTTTTCAGTTCCTCAACTTCCCAGGATAGGACTGTAGTTGGCCTGGTTTGGCTGGTGTGCATCTCAGAACTGATTAACTGTGGCCAAGGAGCAGGTGGTCTTGGCACCGATAGGATGACTGCCCTGGAAACCGTGTAGGTGGAATGGGTGTGGGAGTCTCCAGACAAAGGGGTACGGCTCCACAAAACAGTAGGCACTCACTACGTTCACACCATCTCCTTTAGTTTTTATCACAATAATCTTGTAAGGCAGGTGGGCCTGTTGTCTTCACAAGTAGAAAAACTAAGGTTAAAAAAAGGATAAGAAATTCGGCTGAGGTCACACTCCTAACAATAGGTGGAGACTAGAGGCAGGAGCGACAGGAGAGAGGTGGCATCAAAGCCTGGGGTGTCCCTCTCTGCCCTGCAGGCTCCTTGGTCAGCCTCCCAAACATTGGCCACTTCTTTGTACTGTGGTAATTGCAGCAGACAGGATGGCCCAGAGGGCTGAGTGATCACTGACCCCAGGAAATGCCCTGCAAATTGCTCTTTTGGAAAAGCCCCAAAGTCAGCTTGCTTTTGGCTGTTTGTTTGTCTCTCTGAAAGCTGGGTGAAGGTTGTGTCCTGTCTGCTCTTGGGAGCCATGTACTGCAGGTTGCCTTTTTGCAAAATTAATTAGCAAATCAAAGGTCGGAGCTGCCTCCTCAGTGATTGCTTGGTCCTCCAGAATAGCTTTTTCTTCCTCACTGTGGCCATTGGTGTCCTTTAACTCTTCCACAGCCATGGAAGCTGGGTCAGTTATATCTGCATCTCTACCCCCAGGAACCAGACTCATGCACTGTGCCTTCTATATTTAGGAGGTTTTTGTTTTGAGTCTGAGGGAAGATTATTCTTTGCCACTGCCAAGAAGCTGCGCAGGTGTCTTTTGACCCCAGCTTATCCCATCGCTGACATCATCATCTTTCTCATCACCAGGTGACACTTTTCTCCAGATATGCCACTGGTCATGATTTCCCCAAGTTCTTTTAATGTTTGACTTTCAACAACCTATTAAGCACAAGCAATATGAAAACCATATCTTTAATATTGTCACAAGGCTGGAAAAAAATCTTCTACAGTGTCTACGTGGTAGAGCAGCTTGCTCATGACATTTGTTTTGTAATAATACCTCATATTCTGAATATCTCCCTTCTCCATAGGTCAGATCAGGGAAGTAACATGGAGAAGATGAAGGGGAGGAGGCAGGGCAGGGAGACCGTGAGAATATTGTCAGATTTCAACCTTGGGGAGCATTTTATAATTACCTAATAATAAGATAGCTTGGCTTACCTAGGGAGTTCTGTTTTTCTCAAATAATCATTCATGAAAAGTTCAAATGGACATAAGTACCAGTTAGGAAAAATATATTTGAGAGAACTGGTGTCATGTATTTGAAAGACTGAAAGATTCATTCAGTTAAATTTCTTTTTTTTTTTTTTTGAGACCGAGACTCACTCTATCGCCCAGGCTGCAGCGCAGTGGCATGAGCTCCGCTCACTGTAAGCTCCGCCTCCTGGGTTCACGCCATTCTCCTGCCTCAGCCTCCCGAGTAGCTGGGATTACAGGCACACACCACCACGCCCGGTTAATTTTTCTATTTTTTTTTAGTAGAGACGGGGTTTCACTATGTTAGTGAGACTGGTCTCAAACTCCTGACCTCGTGATCCACCTGCCTTGGCCTCCCAAAGTGCTGGGATTACAGGCGTGAGCCACCGCGCCTGGCCTCATATGGTTAAATTTCTAAAAAAGATTGTAAACTCCTGGTGGGAAAGAGCTTTCAAATAACAGAAAACAACTTAAAATGTATGAAATGATGAAGAGATTTACTATTATTTCATGTAACAAGGACAGTTTTTTGGGTTGGTCAATTTATTGGTTTAATAACAACATCAAAAACCCCAGCTCTGTCCATCTCTACTTTCTGTCATTCTCAGTACACTTGCTAGCTTTCCTCACAGTCACTAGATAGCTGCACTATCTCTAGGCATCACATCCTCACACATCGCCATCCAGAGGCAGAAAAGGGACAGTCTTTTCTTTGTGCCTTTTTATTTTATTTTATTTTATTTTATTTTATTTTATTGAGATGGAGTTTTGCTCTGTCACCCAGGCTGTAGTGCAGTGGCGCCATCTTGGCTCACTGCAACCTCTGCCTCCTGGGTTCTAGTGATTCTCCTGCCTCAGCCTCCCAAGTAGCTGGGATTACAGGAGTGCACCACCATGCCCGGCAAATTTTTGTATTTTTAGTAGAGATGGAGTTTCACCATCTTGGCCAGGCTCGTCTCGAACTCCTGACCTCATGATCTGCCCACCTCAGCCTCCCAAAATGCTGGGAACCACCGCGCCTGGCCCTGTGCCTTTATTTAAGACTAAGAAACCTCTCTCGGAACAATCTACCCAGTCAGTGGCTACTAATGGATCAATGGACAGAATTCAGTCACATGTCCTTTTCAAAGCCAGTCGCCAGCAGAATTAGTAGAATGATTTTGAATGACTAAGACTGTTGGACTGGGGCTGGAGCGATCCATCCTTGAAATACATGACTACCCAATATCTGAACAGTACATATATTCTCTTAGCAAAAAGGTAGCTATTGGGTAGGGCATCAACAGTATCTGCTACAGGGTTCACTACACATTTCTTGATTTTAATCTATTTTATTCTGCTTAAACCCCAGGACATTTGATTCACTGATACCTACTGAGATAGACATCATTAAGCCTCACATAATAACAAACTGGTTTCAGAAAAACTATAAAAGTGCTCTAGAAAGACAGTATTCAGAAAAGATTTCCTTGAAAAAGCCCGAAAATTGGTCTACAACTTCATGACGAAGTGATTCCTTTTCCCTAACTTGATATAATCTAATTCTGTGTCTCATTTTGAAATGCCAAGGCAGCCCTTCAGAAAACACATGACTCCATCAACCACACTTGCTTGTTTAAATCCATTTGCTTTTTCAGTTAGCACTGGGCCAGAGGGAGGATGACTATATGATAATTGAAATAAAAGTTTTATCCATATATACCTATATGTGTGACTGTCTACCTATCTATCTATGTGCACTCATCTATCTACCTGCCATCTCTCATAACTGTCTACATTCCACAAAAGCTGAGATGTGCTCTTTGACATTTTCATTAGAGGAACTTGGGAATCCCTCTCATAGGATGACACTCATTGCAAGCTCTTTTTTTGCCGCGTTTCCCCTCCAGTTTGACACTTAAAATCTTTCCATCGCATGTAGCAGAAATCGACCGTGGTTAATTTATAAGGAAAAATAATTTATTTGGCGGACACAGGGTAGTCCATAGAATCAAGGGAAGATCCAGGGATCTGGGCACAGGAACTAATTACGGCTAGTTGCTGGGATGAATTCACTCCTGCATGCCAATCCTGCCCTCAGATTCAAGAGTCTGGAGAGAACATCCAATTGGCTGCGCTTGGCTACGGGCCCTTCTGTTAGCCAGAGGCAGCTGGGGCACTTTTATTAAAGTGCCTATCAAAACTGCAAAACTGGGGGAGGAGTCTTTCCTCATCAGGAAATCAGCATTTGGGGCTGGATGCTGGGCAAGCAAATACAGACACCCAAAGCAACAATGAGCACTGCCTGAAAACAACACAGAAGCAGCACATGGAGCAAACAGGATTCATAGAATGTAACAATAAAATAACTTTTCTTGTTTTGCTTCCCATGTCTCTTTAAATCTACTTGGTGGAGGAAACCTACCCTCTGACTGTAAACTCTACCCCGACTGTAAACTCTACTTACTTCTAGATAGTAAAACAGGCCATGGTCACTTTAAGATGCAAACACAATCTGGAATTCAGTAACAGAATGTTAATTTTATTACCACTTTAATTTTCGTTCAAGGATAAGACTCCTCCCCAGTTCCCTACCTGGGATCAGGGATCAGTTGCAGGCAGACTGTCTGCCTTTGGTCATGGGAGTGGTCAGCTTTTCTGTCCCTCTCATCCCTCCCTGGTCACAGCGAGGGTGGAAGACATGGGAACAAGGACAAGAAAGTTTGTATTTCACTGGTATTGTCATCAAATGTCCTTGTGTTCTCATAGCAGAGCAGAGCTTTAAAGCTGACTCTTTGTCTCTGGGCACCTTCATGGATTTTTTTGAGACTCCTCTGCTGTGTCTTTTTGACCACAACCCTTTTGCTCTCAGCTTCCCAAGTAGCCCACCTCTCTTGCCTTCTAGGTTTCATGAAGCAGATGACAGACACTAGTCTCCTGTGCTCCTGGCCTCTGACAGCAAGGGTCACATAGTTAGTTTTCTGAATGATCCCGTTGTATCCCCCTTCACACGGCTTTAGCTGAGGGATTGGCATAGCTCTGATGGGGTGTGTGTGATTCTCGGCACAACGCTCTCCAAGGAAATTGTCTTAAGATAATCCTCTCCCCAACTGCCATACCCTCAATTCCTTGGGTTCAACAACATGAAGGGTTCAAGAATTGCAATTTTTTTTTTTTGATACAAGGTCTTGCTCTGTCACCCAGGCTGGAGAGCAGTGGCACGATCATGGCTCACGGCAGCCTTGACATCCTAGGCTCAAGCAATCCTCATGCCTGAGCACCCCCACAACTCCCCAGTAGCTGGGACTACAGGTGCCCGCCACCATGCCCAGTGAATTTTAGTAATTTTTGTAGAGACGGGGTCTTGCCATGTTGCCAAGGGTGGTCTCAAACTCCTAGGCTCAATCCATTCATCCCCTTCAGCCTCCCAAAGTACTGAGATTACAGGCATGAGCCACCACACCTGGCCTGTAAATAAGTTTTAAAAACCTTTGCCAATAGATGACAATAGTATTTTGTTTTCATTTGCATTTCTTTAATTACTAGTGAGAGTACACATTTTCATATGCCCTTTCTGTGTCTAATAGTAGAAATAATTAATACACAACTCTTATTACGCACTAGGTACTTTACTTAAGCCAACTCATCTAATCCTCACATAGACACTATGCAGTAGGTACTGTTATTATTCCCACTTGACAGATGAGGTCCAGATTGATAAACTCGCTTGCCCAAGGTCACGCAGCTAGTGGATCTGGCTCTGGCGTGCTCCTGCCTGACTTTTTCAACATTCCCGCTCTGTTCATTCTACTTTACTCTGTGTCCTCCTCTTCTTTTCTTTCCTTTCCTTTCCTTTTTCTTTTCTTTTCCACTTCCTCCTTATCCTTCTTCTTCTTCATTTTCCCAGGGAGCACTTTGACCTCACTAGCTGTTGTCAACCTGTTCGGTTTGAGTTCAACACACAAATAGTGAACACTTAGCATATGCCAAACACTATGTGAGGGGCTGAGAGACAAATACGACTTGGAGGGACCCTCAGGAGATAACCATCTAATAGGGAAATTATGGGCTGCACACAAAGAGCACATCATGGTGTCCTAGGCATGCTCACAATTCCCCCTCCACAGTTACTGTTCTCAGAGACATTAAATGACCTGGAGGTCATACAACTCAGTCGTGGTGGAAGAGAGAAGACAGTATGAGGATTTCTGGCATACAAATCAACCAGTCTCAGGTTAGCTCTGCAGACCTTTTCTTCTTTTACTGTTTTCATTGTCACTCCATGTCCAGGGCACTAGAAATAGCCTTCATATCCATTTTGGGGCTATTCCTGGAGCTTAAAGCTCATGGAAGGATACTCTCTGGTTAATTGAGGTGTTACTCTAGCAACAACAACAATACAAATCAGAATAGTAGCTGCAAATTTCACATCAAAAGACTCAGGTGTGGAAACGTGTAACTTCATTTTCTTATAACTCAAGTTAATTTCTGACCCCAAGCCCGTATTCTGCTTGATGCAAGAAATTTATTCTAGTGACTTTCAAGTACAATCAATAAACTTCAGTATTTCTCAGTCTTTTTTTAATTTAAAACTTAGTCTATTCAGGATGATTTCCACTTTTCTGAGCTCCTGGAGAAAGGTGGGATTCCCTAAGTGGTCCCCTAGTAGCAGTGTGCTTCTGAGGTGGATAGTGGTGTCTGTTTGCAGTTTCTGCGGGCCTCATAGTTGGGCTTGGCTGGGGTAATAAACAGTCCTGCTCAAACAGAGACTGCACTGTCCTGGTGCTGGGGATCCCTGAGTTGTAATCACATCCCAATCAGATTCACTGTGGGGACAGTCCACACCACATCCCTCTGCTGCGTGACCCCTCATCCCAACAGAGATCCCCTCCTAGGGCTCTTTCTCTCTCTCAGTTAACTTCCTTGACCCACTCATAAGAACCTGACTCACCCTCTCATGTCACTCTCAAGGCCTAGAAAGCCCAGGGGATAAGGGCTTTCTCTCCCTTTGCCTTATGGCCAGAATGAGATGGAGAAGAGGAAAAAGAGAAGAAAAGAACAATGTGGTTATCATCTCAAATATCATTCTGTTGCATCAGTACACATTGCCTCCTCCAAAGCAGTGCTATTTTTTCATTTCCAAGTTGAAATCTACCAACATGCCTCTTTTGATCCCTTTTAACCAGGTTTCTACTTTCTTCTCAGATTGTTCAAAGAAACACTGGGAACTTTCCCCTCCCTGAGGAACTTCCATAGATGTACACCTTTGGTCTCCATCCCAAACTTGCTGACCTGTGATTGTTCATCCACTGCCAGCCATCTCTGTCCTCCACCTGCACCTGGGACCTGTTGCCCTGCACCCATGGACAATCTCGGCTTCCATCCAGCTCCACTTTGCACTCTCTCCACTCTTGAATCGCATGAAACCAACCAACTGGTTCATGTGTTTATTTTTCATTTCCTTCTTTTGTTCTATGTAAGTGTTTGTTTATTTTTTAACCTTTTTACTTGCCTTGAATCCTTTTTGGAAATAGATGAGGTCTAAATTAAAATTGTAATAAATAACACGAGCATAGCCTTTTTAAAGTTAAATGACTAGAACTACCCACATTATGCCAGATGTGGATACACCATAATTTTCCTGTCTCCAAATTGCTTTCATTTTGAATAGATTTCTTTGTGTGAAGCCTTTGATGTTTTTCCCCCTTCTGAGTCAGTAATCCTAGTTAGGCAAAAGAAAGAAAAGGAATAATGGTGTTGGGTTATCTGTGATATCCCAGGTTTTCTGCTGGACCTGTTTGTCTACATTGTCTCACTGCATGCATCCCAAATTCCTAGCTGGAGCCAAAGCCATATTTACCCTAAGGTTCAAACAAGCCTATCCATAAGACTGCAGGGGGAAATGGGTGGACAAAAATGCAGAGATTGGTTTGAGTCTCCTGTGAAAAAAATTAGTTTTCTAAGCTTGAAGAGAGAATCCACCTGGAAGAGAAGAATTTGTTAATTCGTTCAACAAATATTTATTGAGCATCTATAATGTACCCAGCACTGTGCTAGAGACACAATGGTGAGAAATTCAAGGGCGGTGAGCCAGTTTTGGAGGAGAGGAAGAGTTCTGAGTGCAGCAAGGGCGAGTGTATCGCTCGGCTTGTCCTCTGGACCAGACAGTCCTAAGGCACGACAGCTGCAGTGCAGAGCCAAGAAACACCAAAAGTTGCTCCAGTTCCATTTTCAAAGGAGAGTGAGAGAAAAGTCGAGGCCAGTGTTTTCTGCAACCTGCAAAACAATCCCTCTTCACAAGCATCAGGAAACTTAACTTGGAGATGTTCTTGGACACTAGGAGGGGACTTAAAATGAGACATCAGTAGAGTCTAGGGACATTGACCCAAACAGCCAAGGCAAGAAGGAGGGGCAGAGCAAGGGCAGCTGACAGGACTCGGGCCCTGGACTCGACTGAGGCATGTGCTGGGGCTTGCAAGGACTTACCAGGAAAAAATGGGGGAAAGCTGCAATTTCCAAGTTAAGAGGGTGGAGCTGGAGAAACAGCTTTGGGACTTTTGCCAAGTCTTTACTTGTATCCCCAGGCTAATGTGGCCTGGAGTGGGTTAAGTTATTTCACATTGGGGCTCAGAGGAGATAACGCTCTTTCTCAAGGTCATTGATTTGGTAAGTCTTTCTCCAAAGTCCCAGACCCAGTCCACCATACGGTATTATAGAAGAGCTACAGGGTTCCCATCTCTGCTCTGCTGTCAACACATTGTAAGATGTTGGACAAGTGAATGTATCCCCTTGAGCTCTACTTTTTCATCTTTTGAAGGGAGGTGTTGGACTAGAGGAGCTACAATATTCTGTGATTCTTGGGCTGATTTCACTGGTTCTGGGTACTGTTGATAATCTGATCCAGCCTTACCTATCCTGACGAATCCCCCTCATGTCCTTGGCCCTTTCACTGTAGCCAATCCAATTTTTTCACTGTCCCTAGAACACAGCACACTCTTTTCCATTCCTGACTCTTTGGCAAATTCCTCCTTAGGGACACTAAACACATCAGAATGCACATGCTGGTCAGACCATGGTCTCTCCATTGTTGGGAGGGACATGCCCACTACCTTCCCTGATGCAGACTTTCAAGGTGAGCGTATGTCAGCTTCCCTGGGCATCCATTTACATCTCTGACATTAGTTTGTCCAGATGCTTTGTGAATTCATTTCTATTTCCCTCATGTACTACATCTTGGAGTAAATTGTTCCACAATTTTATTACCTATTCCTTTTATTTGCTCTAACTATTCCTCTCTCATCTTCCCCTCCAGCGAGTATTTGGGTTGAATAAGTCCTTGTTGATCTTCTGGTTATTGATGAGTTTACTGATTGCCATTGTGTCCTTTTCCAGTCTGGAGGGTTCTAACCCTTTCTGGCCTGTCTTCCCTCGGCAGCCTTGAGTTATTCTCTTCCGTTCCTTCTCCAGTATCTGAACATCAGAGGTTCAGTGACTAGAACCCAGCACAAATCAGTGAGAGGTGGATGTATCATGTTTAAAGAAATGAGGGGGTGGGGGCTCAGTTATTTTCAGCCACCTCCTCCCCTCGCTGATGCCTGACGTGTTTTCTTGGCTTTTGGAGCAAAGCAGGACTTTCAACTCATGTATTGGAAGGGAAAATTCTTCCAAAGGCCCTCTCCTGACTTTTGACAGAGATGTTAGTCACAGAGTTTGGATTTTATTTTTAAACGTATCTGCACATGCCACGTTAAATTTATCTGCCCCTTTTCTTGCCAAATTATACAAACTCGGTGGGTAATGATAACTAACATTTAGTGAGCTCATACAATGCCCTAGGCACTGTATTAAATGTTCTCCTTACAGTATCTCTTTTAATTCTCTCTGCAACCCTATGAGGTAAGGACTATTATTACACAATGTTGAAGACAAGGATATTGAGAAACAGACAGATTAAGTAACCTGATCATCACACAGCTGGCAAACGACACAGCCTAGACTCAAACTCAGGGAGTCTGAGATTTTCAGCCTTGATGCTCTAACCAGTCGACCCTGGCTGTGGATTGGAATCACCCGGGAGCTTTGAAAAAAAACACTAATTCCCAGGGCCTCACTCAGGGCAGTTAAATCAGATTCTCTGGGGATATCTTCAAAAGCTCCCGGAGATGATTCTAATGTCCATCCAGGGTCAAAGACCAATGCTCTGGTGCCTCCTCCTGTCAAAGCCTGTCAGTTTCTTGCCACTGTACCTGGAGGATTATAGTTGGAGCCATCTGCAAGGGAAAGATTTGTCATGTGACCTTCCCCTCCCGAACACGTATAAAGATGTTAAATTATACCAGTCTTGGCATACACTCTTTTTTTTTTTTTTTTTTTGCTGTTGTTGTGGTAAAATATAAACAACATAAAATGTATCATGTTAACTTATTTTAAAAATATTTACTTTTTAATACATAAACTGGGCCGTTCCACATATGTATTTTTTCCTTTTTAATTATGGTGAAATACACTAACATAAAATGTGCTGTCTCAGTGCTCCTGAAGTGCACAGTTCAGTGGCATTAAGCACATTTGCATTCGGCCACCGTCACCACCCTCTATCTCTACAACCTTTTCATCATTCCAAAGTGAAACTCTGCACCCATTAAAACCTAACCCCCCATTTTACCCCTTTCTCAAGCCACTGGCAACATCCATTCTACCTTCTGTTTCTGTGAGTTGACTACTCTAAATACATCATAAAGGTGAAATCATACAGTATTTATCCTTTTGTGTGTGACTTTTTTACTTAGCATGTCTTCAAGTTTCATCCATGTTGTAACATGTTAAATTTCATTCATTTTAAAGGCTGAATATTTCATTGTATGTCTATATCATATTTTGTTTATCCATTTATTGCACAGATTCTTGAAGAGAAAATTTTAACAATGGACCATCTAAAGAAGCCTAAATTTTTTTTTTCTTTTTTTCTTTTTTTTTTTTTTTTGAGACAGGGTCTTGCTCTGTCATCTATGCTGGAGCAAAGTGGCTGGATCTTAGCTCACTGCCACCTTGACCTCCTAGGCCCAAGGGATCCTCCTGCTCAGCCTCCCGAGTAGCTAAGACTACAGGTGTGCGCCACCATGCCTGGCTAATTAAGAAAAAAATTTTCTTTTAGAGTGACGGGGTCTCACTATGTTGCTCAGGCTGGTCTTGAACTCCTGAGCTGAAGCAATCCTCCTGTCTCAGCCTCCCAAAGTACTGGGATTACAGGCATGAGACACTGTGCCTGGCTGAAGCCTAAATTTGTTCCTACCATTTATTTTCTGTCTCTAAGCCATTCTCTTGATAAAAGAGATATCATTCTTTCCTCCCCCTCAAGTTTCATGGTGACTTAACCTTTCAAAAAAGCCTTTCTTAGAGAACTTTGTCAAAAGCTCTTTAAAAGTCTAAGTGGGTTATAGGTTTTTCCTCATTATACCTACTCCTCCTTTACTTTCTTAAAGAATTCCACTAAATGCATGTTTCATCACCTGCATCTGCCCACGCCCACATTTTCTTTGTGACCCAAGGCAATTCCCACCTCCTTCAAGAAGCCTTCCTGGACACTATGCCTCAGCGACTCCCTCTCCACTGAACTTCTCCAGTATTTATTGCCTGGAGCAGTCAATCTGGCATTTACCTGCTATTTACTTCTTGCTTGCACCTCACGTTCCCAATAAGATGATCATCCCTTAAGCACTGCTTATCCTCTGTGTGTGTCCTCTCTAGCCTCAGAACAGAACTGAGCAAATAACAGGGGTGTGAAAATTCTTATTTAATTGAAGTGAGGAAGCCTGCTGCCTCCCACTCAAATCAGGGCTTCTTGGCTAACATCTGAGATCCAAGCTACCTGCAGCATTGCCAGGATGTGTTAAGGGCACGTTCTATCCCCCTCATTTCCCAGATGAGAGCAGAGCCAGCACAAAGCAAAATGGGTGGGGTTCAGGCAAAGTTGTCTTCATCAGGACTTCACTTACTTCACTTGGCTCACACTCCCCCTTTCTCTAATGATCACTCGTATTGTTTCTCTTATTCTTTTTTATTCCTCCCCATCTTAGTTCCCTATTCTGCTTTCTGACCCCTTAGGGTACTACCTCATGCAATAAGTGTGGATAATGGGTTTTCATTGTTTTTGGCATATCTGCCCCAATCAGGATCCTACTCAGGTGCTGGGGCTGTCATAACAGTCTCCTAGTTGGTCTCCATCACTCAAGTTTAGCCACTGCTACTGTTCTCACTTCATCAGCCTTCTGCCCCAAACTTTGTATTATTTCCCTTGCCTGGACTATAGGAAAAATTCCAGCCCCATTCCATGGCATTCAAGGCCTCTCTGGCCCTCCCACGGTCACGCATCGTCTGCTGCTGCATCCCTCCATGCCTTCTATCAATAACAATGTCTTGAATGCCTTCTCTCCGGGGGCTAGGGTTCTAGGTGCTTTATATGGTCCTGGTACAGAGGTGTGCTCAATAGATCATTCAAAGGGAATGGCTGTTTATCTCCCACTCCTGCTAAGGTGCTGCTAATGTATGTGTTGCCTCGTTTAGATAAGGCATTAGGCCAACCTACTATTTCACTGCTATGAGGATTTTAGTCCATGGAACACCAGAGGAGAGACATTTTGGTGGGGGCAAAAGCCTTTCTGGACCTCTCAACCACTCCAGTGGTTTTCTACCCCCAACCAGGCAGGAGGTTCTCCCTCCTTATGCCCTACCCAGAGATATGGTCCTGCTCGGGTCCTCTCAGCACCAGGCCAGGCCCAAGCCCTTTTTGGTTACAACCTGGGATCTTTTCCTTTTCTTTTATTTATTTATTTTTTTTGAGGCAGAGTTTCGCTCTTGTTGCCCAGGCTGGAGTGCAATGGCGTGATCTCAGCTCACTGCAACCTCCACCTCCCTGGTTCAAGCAATTCTCCTGCCTCAGCCTCCCGAGTATCTGCCATTATAGGCATGTGCCACCATGCTCGGCTAATTTTTTGTATTTTTAGTAGAGACGGGGTTTCTCCATGTTGGTCAGGCTGATCTCGAACTCCCAACCTCAGGTGATCCACCCGCCTTGGCCTCCCAAAGTGCTGGGATTACAGGCATGAGCCACCGCGCCCGGCCCAGATCCTTTTTTTAATGGGATACAGATCTCCTTCTGGGAACACTGCTTTAGGTGACCTTGGCCAACGCCCATCCTGTCCTGATCTTATCCAGGACCTCTGTGGCTTCACGCTGGTCCTGGGAGATAATCACAGACACAGATCTCTAGTGTTCAAATGCCTTCAAGAAGGGTGACCACACCTTATGTTCTTCCTTGGGTCTAAACATCCGAAGAGTTGCCACTGTCTTCCTTGCCTGGAGTTGAGCCCTTGGACTTGACCCTTTATCCTGCTCATCTGCCAGGAAGCCTGGTGTCATCCCTGAACCAGCCATGCCTCTGATCTTCACAACCCATACCTCACTTCCTCTTGATTTATCCTCAGCCCAAATCTGACAGTCTGTGCCAGCTGAGCAGGAAAGAGGAAAGCAGAGAGGTGCTTATGAGTGCTCAGGAAGAGAGATGTGATTACCCCTGGGTGTCAGCCCGAGGCCAAGCTACAAAGCCTGCCTTCCCAATCTCTCACCACACCCTTGACTTAGGACTGTATGAAGAAAAACTAGAAATGTAACACAGGGAACAAAAATGGTTCCAGAAAAATTGCGTGTATGTGGGATTGATGAACACTTTTTGTGGGTTTCAGAGCTAATTCTCCCCTCTGTTGTGATTTGGAATGCTGCAGGTGGTTAACTGGGTTGAAAAACAATTAGCATGTTTTACTATAATATACATTTTCTATTAAAGAGTTTTTAAGTGCTAATATAAATATTAACTAATAAGCAATTGGAGAAAAAAATTTATATGGAAAAATCTCAGTTCAAGCCTAGCTCTGAAAATTACCAATTGCATCCCTGATTCCTATCTGTAAAATGAGGATAATAATCATTCATTTATTAAATCATTATTTTGTACCTTTAAAAGAAACCACCAAACAAACAAAAACCAAGCCCTGTTCTGTAAGCTGGGGCTATAGTGATGAACAAAGCAGGCAAGGCCTCTGCTCCTGTGGAATTTATATTCTGGTCAGGGGAGACAGACAATAAATATGTACAATGTCAGATGGTGATAATGACAAGTATTTGTCATTTTTGAAAAGATGGTAATACATCTCTGATGAATTGATATTTGAGCAGAGATTAAAGGAAGTGAGGAAATGACCTATGTGGACATTTGGCAAAAGAGCTTTCCAGGCAGAGAGAGCATCAAGTACAAAGGCCTTGAGGTGAGAGCCTTGGGTGTGTGAGGAATAGCAGAGAGGCTGGGGAAGCCTGAGAGAAGTGAGGATAGGGAGAGCGCTAGCAGATAATGTCAGACAGGCCTTGTGGGGCTGCTAAGGCTTTTTCTCTAGAGAGCTGGGGAGCCATAGAAGGTTTTTGAGCAGAGGAGTGATAGGATCTGAATTAGGACAGCTTCCGTGTGGAGAACAGACTGTAGGTACAAAGGTTAGAAATGGCAGAGCAAACATCCAGGGGAGAGAAGAGAGTGGTTTGAACTAGGGCACAAGTAGAAGAGGTGGGGAGAAATGGTAAGATTCTGAAAATATTTCAAAGATAGAGACGACAGGATTTATGGATGGTCTGAATGGAGGGTATGAAATGACTTCAAGCTTTTGACCTTGAGGAACTGGAAGAATGGAGTTTTTACTTACTAGGATGGGGAAGACTGAGGGAGGAGCTGGCTTGGAAAAACAAATCAGAAGTTAAGTGTTGGGTATGTTAAGATAGAGATGTCTCTTAGATGGTCATGCAGAGGAGGGGCAGGCAGTTGGTTCTATACATCCAGATTTTAAGAGAGAGCGAGAGGGCCGGAGCTGCAGATACAAACTTGGGCATCATCCGCACAGAGAGGTTTACAGCCAGTGACTGGACAAGCTTATCTAGGTCTTCAGTGTAGCTGTCTCCCTCACATGGCTGTGAAGGTCAAAGGGGATAGTATATGGCAAATAGTTTTGTAAACTGTAAAGTGCTATACACAAGGAAAGGAACAAGTGTGCAAATACGGTAAAGAGCATAATGTAGAGCAGGATTTAAAGAAGTATCTTCAGGTAGAGACAGAATCATAGAATACATGTGCAAGGAGAAGCTTACAAACCAGTGGATCAACCCCTTTCATTTTATCCAGGAGGAGCTAAGGTTGGAGAGATTAAGAGGCTTGTCCAAGGACACTCAGCTCATCAGTGGCCCAGCTCATCCTAGGACTGGGGAGCCCTAACTGCTGGTGCGGTGCTCTTTCCACCACATGAAACACCTGCTCACATTTACTGCTTCAGCTCTCTCTGAATCTGTTAACCAGGGGCAAGTAATTCTTCAAACAGAAATCTAATTATATCGCCTTGTGCTTTTATACATGCTACTTCCTCTGCCTGGAATACTCTGCCTCCTCCTGCTTCTCTGTCTGGCAAATTCCTGCCTTATCTTCCATTCTCAGCTAGAATGGCCATTTCCAATGAAGACTTCTTTGTCCTGTTTGGTAGGATGGTAACTGGCTCTCCATGTGCCCGCAGAGCTCCCATCCTGTGGCAGTCCTTGCATTTGCTATGATTACGTCTGCCTCCCCTGCCTGCCTGTGAAGCTCTTCCTATGACCTCTCTGCCTAGCTTAGTGAGTGACACTTAAATGGGAAGGAAGGAAGGAAGGAAGGAAGATCTCTTCTTTCACATTAGTTCAGGACAATGGCAAAGCAGTCATTCAGTGACACTTCAGTTCCTCTGACCTGAGCAAGGTTTTGGTTCACAAATTGACAATGACTTCTGGGGTGGGAATTTTCTTTTTTCTTTGCCATCCCCAGGCACAATGAGCAGGCAATTCTGGGAGCAGAAAACAATTTGGACATTATACGTGCTGTCTTTTTATTTTCAATTCTCTGTCTCCTATTAGTATATGACTGGCTGTTTGCCTTTTGCTGCAAGACAAGGTTTGTGTTTGTGCCTGGGCTATGCACAAGCATGTGTACACACACACACACACATAGAGGGGAGAGAGAGAGAGAGAGAGAGAGAGAGAGAGAGAGAGAGAGAGAGAGAGAGAGAGATGGCCTCTTGGGAGAGCCTGCACTCATTTTTTAGCTTTATCTCCCAGAAAATGCCCTCAGGTGGGAGGAAGAAGACAGTGTTGTGCTCCTAGCTTTTCCACCCTTTCCTGCTCTTGAGCATGAGAATTTGGATCTATTTCTTAAACTCTTTCAACCTTAGTTCAAGATAAGTTTGGAATTTCTAGGTCAAGAGTGAATCCTAAAAACTCCGTCACCCCCTATATTCACCGCTCTTTAGCTTGTTTGCTTGAGATAACACTGTGTTAATTACTATATTTCCATTCTGCTTAATTACAATGTTTCGGTAGAAGAAGAATTGCTCCTAACAGAAGCAATTATCTTATAGGTTATTGCAAAGGTCTAAGGAAGGTGGCAGAAGCTGGTTGTGATACTGTGGTGATGGAATCAATGCTCCAGGTTTTGTTCCAAGTAAATGATTCAGAGATTCTAACCAGGCTGGGTTTGCCAAAGAGCAGGTGGTAAGCCAGGCCAGTAAAGAAACTGTCTCTTCCGGAGGGTTGGGCTTCTGAAGCTCTCTTGTATTGAGAGCTCTTGAGTAATCACTGTTAATCAATACAATGCTTTAGGATGCAATTAGGATTAATTAGCCCAATGTTGCTAGCTGCCCTGCTACTTGGTCTGTCTCTTTGGGTGCCTCCTTGTCCTGGCTCCTGCTTCCCCTGAAAAGGAAAATTTCCCTCTTTGTGTCCCCAGCCTGGAGTCTCCTCTCTTCCCTTCCTGTGCCAAGCCCCCAAACCCCCTCTCCACTTTATAACATGGAGAGGGAGAGCCAGGAAAGGCCTTGACATGATAGTGGGAAGAAAAGAATGAACACAATCAAAACATGGTAGCAAACAAGAGGGCAGGTGAGAGAATGTGTGAAGGGTGGAGAATATTTTGGTTATCTTTCAAGGGAGAGCTGTGGCTGACAGAGCCACTCAGAAGGCATTTTGTCTATTCTCCCAACCAGACAAATTGGAAGCTCTCCTGTTCATTCCCTGGTCCTGCAGTATGGAATAGCTTCGTGGTTTTTTGTGTTAATTAAAAGGTATCTCTATATTGCACATACTTCTATTTTTTGTGATGACAAAAACATTCCCCATGGCTCTGCAGGGAATGGGGGTTGGGGGGGGGGCACGCTCATTGCAGTGGAAAGGTTCCACGGTGGAGATCAGGAGACCTATCCCTATCTCAGCCTGGGACTCTGGGAGAATGGTCCAGAGCTCATTGTCCTTGTTGATAAAATGATAGATTTGGACTCAATATCCCATGCTGCCTCTTCCAACTTGATTTTTACCCCAGACTGGGCTACCAGACTGGTATGCCCACACATGCCCGTTTCCTTTCTTTTCTTCTCTGCATCTCTGCCTTTGTGTCCAGAGCGTGTTTTCCCTTTGCAAGTTTCTCTCCATTCTGCACATTATGAGTTTCAGCATTTCTGTTGCCCTAGAAAGTCTATCTTTGAGATCTTGCACTGTTTCTCTTTTTACAGTGTCTCATAAACTCCCTTCTTGGATTCAGAACCACCCTTTCTTTCCCATTATCCTGTCAAACTGCTTCTTGCCATGGTCCAGGGGTAGGAGGATGGCAGGCAGGAGGTGCTTCTCTGGGGCTCTTAGTGTCTCAATTCTTCTGCTTTATCTGGGTTTTCCTTTACCCAGAATTTTATTATGTAAAATGCTTCACTCAGACTTTGTTCTAATTATCCAATTTTTGGCATACTCTAGAAAGTCTTTTGATATTTTCCTTCCTCCAACTTATCTATTTTTATTTCATAGTTCTCTTTGGTTATCTCTTAGAATCACACTTTCCTGGTTTTAATTTTTCAAATCCTTTGTCTTTCTCACTCGTTCTTAGGTCACCTTTTTTTACATTTTCAAATATATTTTTTGTTCAGCAGAGGGCTCCCTTCCCATCCCTCTTGCAGCCCGGGCAGCTAGGATTTGAAGCTTGCCCCTTGAATCTTTCTCTCCCGCCTTCTAGCCATCAGAAACACTAGATCACTTAAACTTGTAAACAATTCGGCCTCGCTCCTTGTGATTGCGCTAAACCTTCCGTCCTCAGCTGAGAACGCTCCACCACCTCCCCGGATCGCTCATCTCTTGGCTGCCCTCCCACTGTTCCTGATGTTATTTTACTCCCCGTATCCCCTACTCGTTCTTCACAATTCTGTAGGGTGCGTATTACTAACCCCAGTTTACAGCTGAGGAAACTGAGGCTTGGAGAGGTTCGCTCGGTATCGTACAGTTTGCAAGGTTAACCCTAATCCGGCCAGTTCTGGCTTTCCAGCCCAGCCCAGCAGCCTAGCCTCCCTCTCTGCCGCTGCAGGTTATAACGGCTCTCCCCCGTTTTACACGAGGTCCCTTCCCCTTCAAATCCACAGGCAGGAAGATCGTTCCGAACTGACGGGGCTGGGGAATGTGGGAGTCCGGAGTGGGGTTTGGGGGAGCTTCCTCAGGCCCTGAGTGTTGGGGTGGGCAGGCCGCGCCGATGGCCCTCGGGGATGTCACATTCGAGATGGGGTGACCGAGAACGGCAAGGCGGGATGTGGCAAACGGCGGCAAGTGCTCGGAGTCCTAGGTCTTGCCGCCGGAATGCCGGCCGGGGAAGGGGCTTCGGCCCACCGGGCTGGTCACCACACTCGGCAGGCCCGGGGCGGGAGTCGGCCGAGCAGCCGCGGGATGCAGGGCGCCCCCTCGCGCTCCTCCGCGCGCCTCGAGGCTGGCGGGTGCAGCGCCCGCCGCGGCAGGTCTGCTCCAGCCCCCTCCTCTTTTTCGCTCCCGCTCCCCTCCTTCTCTCCCTTTGCTTGCAACTCCTCCCCCACCGCCCCCTCCCTCCTTCTGCTCCCGCGGTCTCCTCCTCCCTGCTCTCTCCGAGCGCCGGGTCGGGAGCTAGTTGGAGCGCGGGGGTTGGTGCCAGAGCCCAGCTCCGCCGAGCCGGGCGGGTCGGCAGCGCATCCAGCGGCTGCTGGGAGCCCGAGCGCAGCGGGCGCGGGCCCGGGTGGGGACTGCACCGGAGCGCTGAGAGCTGGAGGCCGTTCCTGCGCGGCCGCCCCATTCCCAGACCGGCCGCCAGCCCATCTGGTTAGCTCCCGCCGCTCCGCGCCGCCCGGGAGTCGGGAGCCGCGGGGAACCGGGCACCTGCACCCGCCTCTGGGAGGTGAGTCCCGGGAGCCCCGGGCGCTTCCCCTGCGCGGGTTGGGGCTGCAACTTGCAAACTTCAGCAACTCGGGTGGGTATCGGGGTAGAGAGGTAGGGGTCCGGGCTCTGGCAAGTTGAAGCCAGGTAGGTGAGGCTGCGGGCGGGAGGACAGGGGGTCCCCTGGCTTCCGCGCCTCCCGCTGCCACCTCGGCTTGAGAGCCCTCATCGCTGCTGCGTTCCCGCCGCCAGCCAGCTTGGGTCCGGGTTGCACTGGGCCCTGCCAGGGCTGTGGTCGGCGCATCTGGGCTGCAGCGGCGATGGGGACCCGGGACCCAGGCCTGGAGAAGGAGACGGACGAGTGAGGCTGAGGGACGGAGGGACAGAGGTGCGGAGATGGAGGCTCAGAGAGGGCCGGCTAGTAAACAGCACTGAGGGAGAGTGCGGGCGGCGAGGCGCGTGGGAACGCGTGGCCCGCCCAGAGTGTGAAATCTCCCGCTCAGGGACGTCCCTGCTCCACCGCCGCCGCCTGCGGAGCCGCCGCCCGGATTCTTCCCAGACCCGCCTCCAGGACACTCTTGCCCTGACCAGGCCTGCGGAGCGTGAACTCTGCCCACCAGGCTCCAGGGGCAGTGGCTCAGGGCCCCGCACTCCCGGCTGGGAGGGTGGAGAGGGGTGCGGCAGCTGGAAGCAGGGACGCGAGCGGCGATTTCCCGATTTATGTTTCTCATGGTAATTTGTCTTTGTGGTTGGGGCTGCCCATTCACTTTCCGCTCACGTCCTGCGGGAGATCCAGCGAGGAGGGAGGGAGCGGGGGGCGCTCGGGCACAGAGAGGGATGCAGACGGGAGAGGGGATCGGGGACCCGCGCGGGGCGGGAGCCAAGAGGGAAGTGGTCGCCGGACCGGCGGAGGAAGAAGGCGAGGCTCGAGAAAACCCGGCCCAACGGAGCCGACTCCTTTGCCCACCGCAAACTTTAAACAAGGAGGAGGATCACCTGCAGCGCCGTTCTGGCCCCCTCCTCCCCGCCCCCGCCCCCCACCTCGAGCCCAGTCTTTGGGTAGTTCCGACTGCCCGCCGCGCCAGGCGGGAGTGGGCCGAGAGTCTGGATGGGGAGAGAGGAGCGCTGGATTCTGCCCGCACCCCTGCGATCCTGCCCAGGCTTTCTGCAGAGGGGCGGGGTGAGAGCAGCAGGAGCCGGGAGGGCGGGCTACCCTGGCATGCACTCCTTCCCGGCCAACGGAATTGGGACTGAGGGTTTGGAAGCTTGCCTGTGTCTAGACCTCACCACGATCCTACCTTCTCTGGCCCTAACCCCATCTTTTTCCTTCAGCCCCTAGTGAATCCGACCTCCTTCCGCTTTTCTCAGGCACCCCAACCCACTTCGGCCTCGGGGCCTCTCTCCACAGCCCTCCCTGCCTGCTTGCTCCTCGGCCTCCCCACTTCAGCTCATCTTTTTAAGCCTGTTCTCTTCTTGACAATCAGCAGTGGCCTCTCACCTTTTCTAAGCCGGGACAGATGACCTTGAGGAAGGGGCAAGAGGGGAACTTGAACCTTGTAACTGGACCTCAAGATTACGGAAAAGGGGGGCAGATTTGAAAGCAGCTTGGAAAGAAACAGCCAGTACCTTTCCCGAAGTCTAGATTTTCAACGGAGGAGGAAAGGAGATAAAATATAGGAGAGATGGGGGAACTTGCCACTTGGTCACTCATGGGGCGGTGAGAACTGTTCTGGGCCTTGGGGCGTGGGGGTAGACCACTCGGGGCAGGGCTGCCTCTGGCTTGCTGTGTTGGGAAAGGTGTGTGTAGGTGAGTGTGGGTTTCAGGGGGAGCTCTTTTCTCCATATCAACACCTATCACCACCAGTTTGGGAAGGAATGGCAGATCTTCCATCCCTTTTCTTTTTCCAAGCAGCCAGTGCCAGAGCCTTCCTCCTCCAAAGCCAACAGTAGCGACCATAATCATCACCGTGGACATCTAACACTGTTTAAGCACCTACTATGTGCAATGCACCATGCTAAATGCTGGTAGATAAAAAGAGGTACAGGGCCGAGCCCATGCCCAGAGAGGTTAGTAAGTTCACCAGTTTGATCCTGAGACACTTGTCTATGTGTTTGGGGAGGGAGAACATGGAGAGGAACATGCAGTGGCTGTACAGGCAGCAAGGTGCCTGATGACCCAAGGGTTTAGGAGAGGAAGGGTTAAAAAAAACTCGATGACTCAGGTGGGACAGAGAGCTGGGCTTATTGACTCTGCCCTGAGATAGGACAGCCAGCACCTCCTTTCCCACTAGGGAGGGGAAAAAGTTCCTTTACCACTTCTAGTGCCAGACTAGAAAACCAGAGAAGCCGAGAGGTCCAGCCCAACACTGTAGATTGCTACCTCCCCATTAGGACTGGAGGAGCCCCAGAAACTTTCTTGTCTTAGGATGAACTTCCTGGCTTGTTTGAAAGACCCTACAGTGGTCACTTCTTATTGAGACTCAAAGCTGGGAGAGGCCCTGGAGATTGTCCATGTCAGGGGAAGCACAAATTCAAATGCCTACAGAGGGCAGGCAGGTCACAGTGTGTTGATCAGGCAATTAGAGTGGCCCAGCTTATGGACAATTGGGAGTTCAAAGCCAAACTGGCCAAGTGAAATGATCCTAACAAAATCAATTAACAGCCTTTAAGTAGCCTGACCCCTTATATCTATAGATAAAGATATTAAGATTCTAAGAAGTGAGCTCATCTGCCTTGGATATACATGTTATCTTGTCTCCCTGTACCTTGGGGATTGACTGGAATATCTCATGGCCTGGTTCTACCTCTGACCTGTTGGGCCCTTGGCTCACCCTCATTCTCAGGGCCCATTAAGATTCTTCTGTCAGATGATAAGTTCCTTGAGGGAGCCATCTTGTTTTACTCAAATCTGAGCACATCACATCCATTGATATAAGGTTCCACATGCAGAGCAAAGACTGGATTCAGATCTCCTGTCCCCATTCCCACTGGGAATCCAGTGGGTGTAAACCAATTTTATTTTTTACAAAAAAGAGAAAATTCAACCATAACTTTTTGTTTCATCTAATGTAGCAATAGGGTTAGATGAGATAAGACTAGAAGCTCACATTGGATGTTTGCAGATTCCAAGGAACATCCAGAAAGCCCTGATGCCTGAGTGGGGATCTAAAAAGAGGGATGGGAACCCATCAAGGGGATAGAGGAACAGCAGACATTTATGGATGGAGTATGTGTATTTAGGAAGATGATGCTATTGGGTCCAATTATTTGAACACTGACCATAACACTCCCGTGCTTAGTCTTGGTCACCCTCTTATATCCAATGATCTGAGTTAGCAACTCATTACCAGCCAACCAGTTCACCACTTTCATTGATGACTGAGGTGGTAGAATGGACAAAGAAGACAAAAAGACAAGATCCCTGATTAGAAGTGCATGCCACCTTGTTATGTTATATTGCCTTAAAGAACCCAGAGCTGAGTTCTGGTGCCCCACCACCTATACCCTGGCAGTAGACAGATGTTTCCCATGATCTTCAAGTGTTGGCTTTGTCACTGCCTGGGTACAGGGTAAAAGAGACCATCCAGTGGCAGTAAACTCCTGTGTTCACTCACCTACTATGTGCCAGGCACTGTTCTAGGAGCCATGGATACAACAGTAAACAACACATGCCTCTGATCTCCCAGGATGGGGTAAATCAGCATGACTAAGGGTACACAATTATCAGCATTGCCTCAACATCTGTGGTGATTTACTGTGGTGTTTTTTCCCCTGTGGGTTTGTCTGGGGGACCTGACAGCTAATGTGGAGTTGTCCAAAGGACTTGGAGTCCAGGGTTTTGGGGGAGGGTGAGAGGGCTAGGATCCCATCACCTTAGCTGTTTCCTAGTTCCAAGTTCCCTCTCTGTGCCTCAGATTCCTCACTCATCAAAGCTAAACACCTACTTTGTACCTGTGGTGTAAATAGATGCAAAGCCAGGCTCCTGGAGATCTGGGCATCTGGAGCTCTGGGGATGCACAAGTGCTTGGAGGGAGTGTTACTTATACTTAAAGATCTAAACCCCAGTGGGTTCTGGGGACCATCTTTTGCCTCATTCAGTCACCTTGATCACTAGCTTGTCTTCATTTCGTGTGTGTGTGTGTGTGTGTGTGTGTGTGTGTGTGCTGGAAATAGTTACTTCTAATGAATGAGTTTTCTTTACATTCAGATCTTTCCATATGAGTTTACCTATCACTAAGTTGGCCTTAAATTTATGACAACACTTAACTAACTTGGTCTTAAATGTATGGCAAGAGGCCAAAGCAAATGCCTGGACTAATGGAATTTCATTGAATTGACAGAATTGAGCCCTTCATTTATAGCTTGTGTGGACAACACCTGGATTTTTCACTGGCATCGTGCTATACTTTTGCAAACCCCCCTCTCTGTGACTTTTGGTTTGATGACATCTGCCTTAGCTGAGGAGATGATCCTCTAATGGGTAATCTGGAACAGGATCTTCGTGTATGCCATTCTCTATTTCAGATGGATCTCCTCCAATACTCTCCTTCTGAAGAAATTTCCTTTATAACCAGCTTGAATGCTAGAAAATGGCAGGGAGAAGTTCCAGCTGAGAGTCGAGTTCTGAAAGGAAAGGGACAGAAGGGTGCTGAATGTTGTGTGGCTCTGCCATGATACTTCCCTTCCCTTCTGTTTTAGTGAGCATGAGAGATGAAACCCAAACCTTGCAGAATGGCCTCTCAGTCCTGATTTGAGTGGGGGACTCACCAGTGAGAAATTATTCGACTTGGTGGCTTCAAAGTGGAATAAAAAATGAAGATGGTTTTCTGTCCAATTTGCTGCTGGGCACAGGAGAGAAAGCAGAAGGAGGGACCTCTGGGATGGGGACTGGGTCAGGAGAGTTTAACCTTGAGCTCTCTTCTTGGCAGTTGGTCTGCTGATTCTCCTCCACTCTCTGACTTGAAATAGAAGGACAAGGATTCCATCGGGCTTTCCCTGAGTACATGAAAGCTTTAAAGGCAATGCTGTATGTGCTGAATCCCGCCATGACACTGTCCTCATTGTTCTGCGTTTAATAAGGATGACTTAATCAGACTTGCGCATGGAACTTGTTTGAATTTGAAGCCTTGTCGATATTATCAGAGTATCTTTCATTTGAACCAGAAATGTCCTGGCCAGCATCTTCTGTGATGGGAAAGGTTGGTACTTGAAGGATGTTTAGTGACCATCTGTCCTGCCAGTCCCCTGAGGATCAAATTACAGGTTTCAGTTACAGAGTGGGGAGGCTGGGTTAGAAATGAGGGAGGCTTTTCTGCTTGAGCACCTCTGCCAAACCACTGGGTTCTTCATCTGTGAAAGGGAGGTGTTCAGAAGAATCTTAAAGCCCTTTCTGGCCCTCAAGTCAGTGGTTTTGAATGGATATTGCAGTCGCTTCTTGATTTTCCAGGAGTGGCTCGTTGACTTTTCTGTGGATTCTTTGTGGGGAATGTGAGTCTCAGGATAGTTTCCAGTTACCATCCAACCCCCCTGTTGTTAACCCATCTGACCGACTGCCAGTCACTGCATCTTCAGAGAATGCATTTTCCTTTTTGCCTCAGCCTGAGCCAAATATCATCTGGAAGGTAACTCTGCTGTATATTGAGGCATACATGTGCATATAAACATACATACATATATGCACATATAAATGTAGATGAAAGGTATTCCAAATCTGTGTGTTACCGGCTGACCATTGGATTAACCGCAGTTCTGTCCGCAGTTTCGTTCCCTGCCAGAGCTGATGTAAGCCCGCCCTGGGAGGCAACTTTAGGGAAATGGCTTGCAGGGTAACAATTTAGATCCATCCCTATTTGCCAGTCCCACTGGTCTACCTGAGCCATAGCTCCCTCCCTACTGCCCTAGCCATTGTCCGGAAGGCCTCCCAAGAGCCCCCCTGTTAGGAATACAAAAGAGCTGCAGTTGGCTCTTAATTATTCAGGGACAAGTGTGTGAAGCACCCAACTCAGGCCTCTTCTTTCCCTGCTTTCGGTGCCTTGAGTAACTCTATATCTGTAGTGAGTAGCTGGGGCAGATCTTATCATTTCATACAAACTTTTGTTTCTAGCAGCCAGCTCCCTCTGCTTCTCTTCCCTCAAGGCGCCTGGGGGAAGCTAGGAGCCCTCTCTGAGAGGCCTCATCCACTCAAAGCAGACTGCTTTTAAGGTTTACACATTGCCCTGTTGGTTGGTGTGTATTTCTGCCCGAAAGCAGGACAGAAGAGGAAAATACCACTAGCTCTGGCTGATGCAGGGTCAGACCCCTGCAGATTTCCCGGGATCCGGGCTTTCTTTCCTTCCTCCTTTGGTAGAGCCTGGACTTTCAGTGTTTGGCATCAGGGATACCCTAGGTCCCATCAGGAGTCTAAGTGTAGAGCAGTGTCCTTGTGGTAAAAGCTCCAAACAGGCAAGGTCTAAAGAGCACTTACATGAATGTCCCCAAGGCTGAGGGTAATGTTTCTACATAGACCAGGTGCCTTGGGGCACATGCTCCCTTTCAACAGCTCTCCAGGTTCCAGAGTGAGACTTTCCTCACTTTCCTGCTGGGCCCTGTCCAGAGAGAAGAGGGCTGTGAAGTGGGGTGAACAGCCTCAAGTCTACCTCTGTATACAGGTAACCGTGGCTTGGTCCAGCTCAACACATAATTCACTGGCTTCCGTAAAAACCACCTGCAGAGCTTTAAAAAATACAGACTTGACCAGCCCTATCCTAGACCTTAATTAAGATAGGATTTCTGCGGGGGGAGCCTGGGCACTGGTATTTTTTTGAGCTTCGAATAGGCAGCCATGGTTGAGAGCCACTGACCTAAATCTTCTTTTCTAGGCTCTACCTGGCCTCATGCCAATGGCATGCAGAACCTCTTAGCCCTCAACCCTTCTAAACAGCCAGGTCCTTTCTAATGGGCACCAGCTATAGCTCCTGGCATCCAGATCATAGCTACTGTTTGTGTTCTGAATTTAATGACTTTCTATTATAAGCTGATTGTGAGAGCTCCTGTCTGGTTACTTCCTTTTGGTCATTTTTTTCTTAAAAAGCATTTACAAAAGTAATGAATATTAATTCAACATTTTTGTATGTTTCGTCTAGATAGGTATGTAACCAAATTGTGATTGTACTTTTTGTAACCAGCCTTTTCACTTAACAGCATATTGTGATAATTTCCCCCTTCCTAAGTATCCTACTAAGATGGGCTTTATAATGGCTGCCTGGTATTCCATCATACGGATGCGCCATAATTTATTTAACAAACCCCCCGTGGTTGGACATTTAAATTGTAAACCATTTTTCACTATTATAAATAATGCTGCAGTGAACATCCTTGCACATTAATCTTTGTGCCTATCAATGATTATTTCCTCAGAACAGATTTCTAGAAGTGGAATATTGATGCTTTTTCACATGGACCATTTAGACCGTTTTTGACTGACTTCCTACAGCAATAAAAAGTTTTTGGATTCAGAGTTTAAGAAACACTTTTCACTGCTCTCCTCTGAGGCTTCGCGCTGACTGCTTCCCTGTCCCTGATTTGAGGTCAGAATCCCTTGACCTAGCCTTGGTCCTAGGCTCTGCCTCCAGATCAGTTCCACAGAATGCTGCCTCTCCCTTCATAGGAACTCCTAGGCTCCCTTGCCCCCACCTCCAGCATCCTTGTTTTTCCTTTCACCTGCTCAGCCCTTTCATCTTCGTACCTCCAGCCCCTGAACCATAACACTCAATGCCTTCCAGCTAGTGTTCCGTAAAAACAGCTGTGGTTTATACAGTTGTTACTATACAACGGCCTGGTAAACTTTTTATGTGCATTATCTCTTTTAATCCTCAGGTGCCTTATGTACACATTTAAAAAAAGATTTATTAATTTATTTGAGACAGGATCTTACTCTGTCACCCAGGCCGGAGTGTAATGGTGCAATCACAGCTCACTGCAGGCTCACCCTCCCATGCTTAAGCCATCCTCCCATCTCAACCTCCCAAGTAGCTGGGACCAAATGCATGCATCACCATGCCTGACTAACTTTTGTGTTTCATGTAGAGACGGGGTTTCTACCCAGGCTTGTCTCAGACTCCTGGGCTCAAGTGATCTACCTCCCTTGGCCTCCCAAAGTGCTGGAATTACAAGCATGAGCTACTGTGCCCGGCCCACATATTATTTTTATCTCCACTTTCCTCATGAGGAAACTGAAACCTTGAGAAATAAAATGATTTGCCCAAGGTCACACAGCTAATAAGTAGTAGACCTGGGATTTAAACCCAGAGCCTACACATTTAACCACTACATAGGCTTTTCTCAATCCTCTTGGTGTTAACTCTTGGCTTGTTGTCAACAAGTTGTTCACAAATATTCCCTCAGCATCCCATGGACATATGCTGTGTCTTTCTCCAGCAGAAGAGGGGCATTTCTCAGTACAAATAGCAGTAGAGTGGGGATGCTATTCATCAATGCCCCCCTTTCCTTTTTACTTCCTGGGTCATGTCCTCATCCCTTTATCCAGGTAACCCATGCTAGAAAACTTTTCTTGCTCCTCACTGACCAGCTGCCAAGATTCCAGCATGCCTTGCAGCTGAGCAGGTCCAAGTTATGACGTATTCCTATTACAGCTTCTCCAGCCAGTTGGAAGAATTTGGGTGCTACTTTCCCAGTATGGAATATAAGGCTGTCAGGGAGGCATGCTATAGTCATGACAGGGGATAGGCAGTCTGACTTCTACTGGAAATCAGATACTGTTTAAAGTGGAGAATTGGATGTTGGGGACAGACCTGATTTGGTTGAGGTCCTGAGAAAAAGATCTGAGGGGTTTAATTGTGCATAGGCTTCATCAGAGCCGACAAGGTGATGGGGTGGCTCAAAACAACACCATCTTAAATGGAGCTAAGAGAAATGTGGGGTCCCGATTGGGTTCTTCCTGGTCATTCTGTGCTTATTTATGAATATGGATTTGAGAGGGGACCCTGCCCAACTCAAGTGTGCTTCGTGGAGGGCATCTGGTGTCAGGAGGAGGTTGGGAAGCCTAGCCACAAAAGGTCTGGTGAAAGAAGCTCCTCTGTTAAGACAGGGAGAAAACGCTGAGGGTGACTGTGGTCAACCACAAAAGAAGCAGGACTTCCTATGGAAAAACATACTCTTCAGCTCGGGAGAACCAGAAGAGCCCAGAGTGAAAAGTACAGGAACCTAGGTTTTCTAGAATGAGCATCTTCCCAACCCGATGGGTAAACAGATGGGTAAACAGTAAACTGTTTCAGCACTGGCCAGCAGTTCTGCTGCCTGGTTTTTGCAGGACTCCTGCCCTGGGAACAGATGGTCATCCAACCAGTGTACCTCTATGTCTTTGCGGCTCTGAGGCTGGAACACCACTTCCTTTCCTGATTTCTTTAGAGCAGGAATTCTCAAAGCGAAGCCCCTGACTCGTGGCATTAGTGCCACCAGAACTCGTTAAGAATGCAACAATTCTTGGGCTGCACCCCAGACCCACTAAAAAGGTTCAACCAACCTTTTGCTGGTCTGGGGTCCAGCAAAAAATCCTTTTTTTTTTTTTTCTTTTTTTGAGATGGAGTCTCACTCACTCTGTCGCCCAGGCTGGAGTGCAGTGATGCAGTCTTGGCTCACTGCAACCTCTGCCTCCCAGTTTCAAGTGATTCTCCTGCCTCAGCCTCCCAAGTAGCTGGGATTACAGGCACCCGCCACTGCATCTGGCTAATTTTTGTATTTTTAGAAGAGATGAGGTTTCACCATATTGGCCAGGTTGGTCTTGAACTCCTGACCTCAAGTGAAACACCTGCCTCGTCCTCCCAAAATGTTGGGATTACAGGTGTGAGCCACTGCGCCTGGCCAACCTGTGCTGTTAAAAGCCCTGCAGGTCATTCTGTTGCATGCTACAGTTGGAGACACTGCTTTAGACCACATTAGGTCATTCTTTCTGTTGCTGGATGCTTGTGGTGCTTATTTGAAACTCACAACCTGCAACCCTTTACTAGGGAAGCACTAGAGAACCTTGGAATGAGTATGGGTTTGAAAATGAGACAGACTTGGCTTCAAACACAGCGTGGCTGCTTTTTGGTTGTGAGTTTTGTATAAGTTCCTTTCCCTTTCTGAGCATTCTTTTCTTTTTTTTTTTAACTGTAAGATGAGGTAGGGCTGTGTTTAAAGGAAGATTAAATGAGCTCATTACTTAATAATCCTAGAAAGTACAGTCAGCCCTCTGTATCTGTGGAATCCATGTGAGGATTCAACCAAACTTGGATTGAAAATATTTTTAAAAAATGCATCTGGGCCAGGCGCGGGGGCTCATGCCTGTAATCCCAGCACTTTGGGAGGCTGAGGCGGGCAGATCAGAGGTCAGGATATCAAGACCATCCTGGCTAACAGTGAAACCCCATCTCCACTAAAAATACAAAAAATTAGCCGGGCGTGGTGGTGGGTGCCTGTAGTCCCAGCTACTCAGGAGGCTGAGGCAGGAGAATGGCGTGAACCTGGGAGGTGGAGCTTGCAGTGAGCCGAGATCGCGCCACTGCACTTCAGCCTGGGTGACAAAGTGACTGCGTCTCAAAAAAAAAAAAAAAAAAAAATGCACCTGAGGCCAGGCACAGTGGCTCACACTGGTAATCCCAGTGTTTTGGGAGGCTGAAGCCAGAGAATCACTTTAGGCCAGGATTATGAGACTAGCCAGAACAACAGCAAGGCTCTCCCTACCTCTACAAAAAAAGGGTTTTTTAAATTAGCCAGGTATGGTGTTATGCACCTGTAGTCCTGGCTGCTTGGGAGGCTGAGGCAGGAGGATTGCTTGAGCCCAGGAGCTCAAGGCTGCAATGAACTGTGATAGCATCACTGCACTCTAGCCTGGGTGACAGAATGAGATCCTGTCTCTAAAAAAAATTAAATTAAATTAAATTTTTAAATGTATCTATGCTAAACATGTACAGAGACTTTTTTCTTGTAATTATTCCCTAAACAACACAGTATAACAACTATTTACGTAGTACTTACGTTGTATTAGGTGTTACAAGTAATTAAGTGATGATTTAAAGTATACAGGAGGATGTGTGTAGGTTATAGGCAAACACTACACCATTTTATATAAGGAACTTGAACATTTGTGCATTTGAGAATTTGCAGGAGGTCCTGGGACTGGTCCCCCAGGTATACTTAGGGATCACTGCATCTTCTTACCGACATCACAGTTGCCTTTCCTACAGAATACTGTCTTCCCAGTGAGTTTTCCCTGAGCCCCTCAAAGAGAGGTCTGGGTGTAGGTTCCTCTGTGTCCCCTCACAGCACACACCAATGTGGGGCTCCCTCAAGTTAGGGATCAATTAAGGCTTGGGCTGCCAGCTCCCTCACTCCCTGGACAGTGGAGAGTCAGGGCAGCTTTCCTTCCCACCCCTCATCCTCCTGGGACCCTATTCTGTGAGCATGAGCAGGTTCTTCCCTCCAGTGGACCTGGGTCTCACCAAACCTGATCTTCTGAGGCCTATGAGTCCCTGTGTCAGCACACAGTTTAATCTGCCGAAGCCATAGATGAACAGTCTTGAGGCCCAGACATCGCATGGTGGCCTCTAACTTTAAATAGGTAAGAATCTCAAGTTGCTGGTGTCAAGCCAGGCTGGGAATGTGAGTGGACCCTCTTTGGAGCTGCAGGTTGCCTGAGTCTTTGGCACAAGTCTCTACTGAGTGGTCAGCAGGTGGAGTCTTGAGTTTCTCAGAGACAGAGAGCTCAGGTGCCCATGAGACGGCCCATTTGATGTTTTGGGTGACAATGCCTAATATAATTATTTTATTTCTCTGAAGTCTGTTTCTCTCCCTGTGGGTTCCATCTCTTCTCGCTGTGGCTGGGTGTTCATCCCTCTTCCATGCCACAGTTCTTCAAACATTGGAAGTTGATGAGCCTGCCACCTCTTCCCCAGTTCAGCAGTCCTCCTCTGGCTTGTCTCTTCATCTCTGGGCATAGGACTCTGAAGATCTCCCACTTCTCTACAGTTGAGGTCTCCAGGACCAAAGATGGCCCTCCAGGTGAGGCCTGACCAGCATACCCGTATGCTTAGCTAGTGCATCTCCTGTTAACATAGCCTCAACTCTGATCTGGCTGTCTTTAGCAGCCACACAGCACTGCTGATTTCGACTGAGCTTACAGCCAACCAGCACCCCAGGGTCTCTTTAACATAACGCACTCAGCCACATCTTCCCAATTTTACCTTTGTGTTTGTATTAGTTTTCTAGGGCAGCTGTAACAAAACACCCCACACTGAGGGGCTTAACAACAGAAACTTATTGTCTTCCAGTCCTGGAGGCCAGAAGTCTGAGATCAAGGTGTGGGCAGAGCTCCTTCTGAGGGATATGACAGAAGATCTGCTCCGTGCTTCCCTCCTGGCTTCCGGTGGTTTGCTGGCATTCTTTGGTGTTTCTTGTTTTATAGAAGCATCAATATAATTTCTGCCTTCATCTTTGCAACATGTTCTCCCTGTGTGCGTGTGTGTCACCAAATTTTTCCTTTTTATAAGGACACCAGTCATATTGGGTTGGGGCCCACCCTCCAGTGTGACTTCATCTAACTACATCTGCAACAATCCTATTTCCAAATAAGGCAATAATCTGACATACAGGGGGTTAAAACTTCAACCTGTGAGCTTTGTGGGGGGACACGGTTCATCCTACAACAGTGCTGCAGCTTTTTGACCTCCTGTTTCGAGACTACATTTTTCCCTAATTTATTTTATCTTGAAAAAACCTTTCCAGCTGATGAAGATATTTCGGATCCTGCCTCTGTCAGCCAACGTATGTGCTATTGCTCTCAGCTTCAAGTGCTTCTTGTATATTGATCCAAGGATTTGCTAAGAGGTTGAATGGGGTGGTGTGGGTTGGAGCTCTGCAGCATGGCCCCTGGACACTTCCCTGCAGGCGGCCAGGATCCATTGCTAAGCCCCCTTGGGGTACAACTGTGCAACCAGCTATATGTCCCACTAATGCTACTGCCTTCCAGCTTCCTCTTTCTAGCTTATACACAATGATTTCATGAAGAGCTTGTCGGATGTTTCATTTAAGATCTGCTTGATGGGCAAACCCCATTTCCCTTGTCTACCAACATCTCCTGTCAGTGGAGGAGATGCGCTTTGCCTGACAGGACTTTGCTACCAAACACACGCTGTCTACTGGTGATCTCAGCTGCCCTTCTCAAATGCCCACTAGCCTTCGTTTAGAGTCTCTGCAGGAGGCACATTGAGTTCATCTCTGTGGTTTGCAAAACCCACCTCAGACCCCTTTCTGGTAGTGAGGACTGTGTGGCCCACTGGAGGCCTCCCAGCCGCCCTAGTGCTTGCCAGGATCCTGTCAGGATTCCCATGAGATCAGGAATCTACAGCTGTTCTGAGCCTCATTTGCATGTTCCCTGTTCCCTAGATGTGTGTCCCGGCCAAGTGGCTTGAACACATTCAGAGCAGCTGGAGCTTCTGTAGGCCTCTCACCAGCCTCCGGCTTGGCCCTCCTGTGCCCAAAGCTCCTCTCACCGTTTCCTTCCTGTGGAATGGGGAAGACAGAAGCCAAGCTGGAGACAGCTGTAGGATGAGCCAGAGAAGCCTCCCAGATCGATGAGCAGCAGCCTTGTTCCCCGTCAGCATCCTTTACCCTCCAGCTCCCCTCTTCCCTGAAGCCTTTCCCTCTCTCCTTTCTATTCTGGCTCTTTGACTCCGTGGGGAAAGCACATAAGTGAAGATGGGGTGTGTGCTTCCAGAGGCTGGATGGGAATGCGTGAATCTGGCTAGATTGGGAGCAGGGAAGAGAGCTAGATGTGAGGGCCTCAGACACTCTGCTGAGGAGTGGGGCTTGGAAGCCAGCTTGGAGTGGGAGGAAAAGCCGGGAGCCACACAGACTGGGTCTCAACACCTGCTTTGCCATTTACTGTTAGAGTGGCCTTTGGGCAAATTATTTCTCCTCTCCAAGGCTCAGTTTCCTCATATGTAAAATGGCCATCATACCTACTTCAGAAGGTTGTCATGGGAATTGAATGACACAAGTTCCTTTCTGTATAGCAGGTCACCTGGAAAAGTACCTGGGACCTCAAGGTACCAAGTGAACCGGTCCTTTTGCAGAGTGGACTAGCGAGCTGGAGCCCAGGACTCAGCAGTTTGCAGAAGCGGGCGGGTGTTGTGAGGATTTCCTGGTTTCCTGAGAGCTTACACTGTAGCAGCCTGTTTTAAAAGCTGCATGTGTTTTAGCTCATGAAATTCCTCACAGCACCCCCATTTTACAGATGGCATGACTGAGCCAGGCTGAGATAGGAAGGTATGAGATAACTAGTAAGCCAATCCCAGGCTTCCTAGCCATTTGAGCCAGTGCCTCCCAACTCTCTCCTGTGTCTGACCGGTGTGTTCTTTTCATTCCCGCTTTTCCTTCATCCATTGCATTGGCTCCATCCCTGGCTCCATTATGCAGGACCCTGCACTGAAAACAGTCCTTACACTGTCTCCTCCTCATGGTTGGGTTGGAGGCGGGAGGCAACTCAAGGCTCTGTCTGTCTCTAAGGACACCTCTCCAGGCACCTTCCATGAAGTCCTAATCACAACCAGGTCTGTTCTCTCCACTCCCTCCATCCATCTGTAGAAGAAATGATGTCATCAGTTAGACTACAGCTGATGGAAGGCAATTCTGGTGTGGCCTGGCTGGAGAGCTCTAGGACTGGGGTGGAAGGATGAAGGAGGAAGAGGAGGGGGGAAGGTAGTGTGGATCCCCTTCTTGCCTCCTGCAGCCCTGAACCTCTGGATGCATGATGAGAGGAGGTGAGGTGCTCCTCTTGGCAAGATGGCTGCACACCTAATTAACCTGTGGCTTTAATTACACTTCACAGCCCAGTCCTGCTGGGAGGAAGGATTGTTCAGAGATTGTCACACTGGGCTAACTGTCTGCAGCGGTTTCTACTTCAGGAATGCCTCTCCTTGAAAGGGTAGGACCGGGGAGGATGGCTCCATACAGACCTGGGGCCTAGGTGGGGTAGGGACGGAGGGGCCATGCCTATGGCTTTGCCCTGGTCACCTGCTGGGGAAATCTTCTTAACCTAGGATGAATCTTGGCCTGGTTTGGTGCTGTGGCCTCCTCCAGGGGCACAGAGGAAAATGATGGTAGGGATTGGGAGAACATGGGGGAGAAGGCATAAGAAGCCTTAGGGGTGGGTGAAAGCCTTCAGCCCCAGGGATTCTGATGGGATCTGCTTCGTATTCTCAAATAACAACTACCATGTATGAGGACTTACTACAGGCCAGTCTCTCACCGAAGTCCTCATAAAGGCCTCTGAAGGAGCGATGAGCCCCGGTTTACACACGAGGAAAAGACCTCAGAGAGGTTAAGAAACTTGCCTAACATCTCACAACTATATAGAGGTAGAGGCAGGATTTGAACCTAGGCCACGGCGAAGCCAAAGTGTGCTCTTTCCACGTGACTGGGCCTCTCCTGTGGCTCCTGAGGAGCACAGTGCCAGACAGAGCCCGGGAAATGCATGTGGTGTTGGAGGGAGATTGGAAACCAGGAGGGTCAAGCAATTCGAGGAGGCAGAGTTTCCTGCAGGGATGTTGTTCAGAAGCGCTGTCTTGCTGGGAGCCCCAGAGCGGGGTTTCTGGCTCATTCTGTGTCCTGGAGAGGTGATGGGAAGCCACTCTATCCTTCAGTACAGGAGGTGCTTTCTCAACCAGCATTGCCATGGCCTCCTCCTCTCTCTAGCCCTGTACTGGTTCCCAGGCTGTCCCTCTCTTGTGGCCTCTCTGGGATAGCAGCCTTGGTGCCTGTTCCTCTGTTAGGAGCGTGTGTCCTGGGCTCACTTTCTGAGCTCCCAGGATGCAGGCATTAACCTTGGGTTGCAAGCTCTGTGCATGTGTGTGCTGGGCAGGGCTTCATTTCACAGAGGCCCAGGGGCAGAGTCTGCTGTCCTGGGGAAACCCCACCTTCCAGCTGGGCCTGAATTCAGGATTTCCCCCTTCTTGGGCAAAACCCCAGATTCCATCTCAGATCTTTCCATATGCACAGGGAATGTGGGTAAATCAAGGCCTGGGACGAGCCCCGGCTGCCCCACAGTCTCCTACACTGAACTGCACAACCCTGACCTTGCTCAGGTGTGACACAGAGGCTGAATGGGGTGACCATGTCTTGGATGATCGATGTGACAGGCATTCTGTTTTCTAAACACAGGCTCCCTAATCCCCAGGGGGCCATCCCAAGAGCTGTTCCTTCATCTCATGAATAGGGAAACCAAGGCTCTGGTTGCTAAGTCTTCGACCCCAAGACACACTCTGTCCATTCCTCTGCCGCTCTGATGGGGGTGGGAGAGTGAGGGTCGTGAGATGGCAGCTTTGGGGGGAAGGGGCTCAGCTGTTACATGAGAGGAGGGGCTTGCTGTACATCTCCCCTGACTTCTGTGTGCTCAAGAATGGCCTTTGGGCCTATCCACTTGAGAGTAGGCTCCCAGGACGGGCTGTCTGCCCCCATCTTCACAGAAATGTCCTGGCCTCAGTGAGAGAGCCCGTGGCTGTCAGCCCACATGTTCAGCCTGATTCACACCCGCTATTTGCTGTAGAGGTTTGGGGTGGTGAGTCCCAGATAATACACCCTCACCTGCTCTGGGCTAAATGATGATGATATTGAGAGAAACCTTTTTTTTTTTTTTTTTTTTTTGAGATGGAGACTCACTCTGTCACCAGGCCAGAGTGCAGTGGCGCAATCTCAGCTCACTGCAACCTCCACCTCCCGGGTTCAAGTGATCCTCCTGCCTCAGCCTCCTGAGTAGCTGGGACTACAGGCGCATGCCACCATGCCCAGCTAATTTTTTGTATTTTTAGTAGAGATGGGGTTTCACCATGTTGGCCAGGAAGGTCTCCATGTCTTGACCTTGTGATCTGCCTGCCTCAGCCTCCCAAAGTGCTGGGATTGCAGGTGTGAGGCACTGCGTCCAGCCGACACCATTTTTTAACGGACCACTTCGCTGTTGTTGAAGGACATCTGCATCCTCATTTACTTCTTCCAGAAGCCACAACTTCCCTTTCCTGAACTCCATGCCAGACACTGTTTTAATGCCTTCTGTACATTATCTCACTTAATTCTTACAATTACTAAGTTCTGAGTTTGGTACTGTTATACCCATTTTAGAGGTGAAGAAATTCTCCAGAAAGGGTATGACCAAGGTCATACATCTACTAAGAGGCAATTTTAAACCCTTGTCTTCCAATTCCAAATTCCATGATTTGTCCCATCCTACCACATGGCCTCTGCTGTTGGTGTGAGCATGCTGGGGTATTATGGGGTGTCAGGACCTGGCCCTGAGCCCTGGGGTTCCAAACTTCCTGAAGGCACTCCCCGCCTCTCACCCATCCAGAGCCAGCCACCTCCGGTCCTCCAGGCCCCACCATCAAAAAGGGACTCAGTTCATCCAGCGAGGAGCTTGGGCATCTGCATATTTTTTAGGGCTCCCGGGTGAATCAGGCACCTTTTCCTGCCTTTGTCTTCAGCTCCTGGTGCTGCCTGTACTGCATCACCATGCCGTCTCCCTGCTATGAGCTTCATTTCCCAGGGCAGAGACAGAGCAGCATTTGTCTTTGTGTCTCTTTGCCCAGCCCAAAGCCAGGCACCAAGGCCTCAGTAAATGTGTGTCGAGTTATTGTTAAAGAGAGAGCTAAAGCCATGAGACATCCCAGTTTTCCCCTCCTATATCTTTCTTTCTAAGCCTGGATGGAGAATCTTCTCAAAAAGAAGATCCTTGATTTTCTGTTTCCACTGTAGGGTGAGGACCAGAGGTCCGGAACCCCTGCAGGATTGCAAGGTCACTTGATAAGCCTCAGTGGCTGGAAATGGAGCAAGGGACACTGGCTGGGTGCTGTGTGGAGCAACCATGGAATAGCATTGTCTTTCTTTTTCTTTCTCTTTTTTTCTCTCACTCTCATACACACACACACAGACACACATACACACACACACATACATGTGAACGGAGGGAGTAAATCTTTAAATACAGTGGTGGGTGGGCACGATGTGCAAGGCTTGGGGGAACACATTTTATACTCTCTGTGTTTATCCCTGATGTGTTCACAGGACCCTCCCTCATCCCACAGAAGAAGCTTAGATAATTAAAACCTAACACAGACCCTTCCCTTACCCACAGTCCCCTCGCCTAAAGACACCCCCACTGTGAGTTCCTCCCCAGAAGGAAGTGAGGAATGGAGAAGAAAGTAGGGAAGTCTCAACCCCCGCTCCCTGCACTGAGAACCCCTCTCCAGAGAGTGGAGAGTGGAGTGTGGGTGCATTGATAGGAGTCTGAGTAAAAGCTCCCTTTCATCTCAGGCTGAAACACTGAGCCTTGATTTCCTGCCAGCCGCTCTGTCCATAAAGAAATTGCCCTGCCACGGGTCCACCGGGTCCGTGTCTTATGCAGCCTCGTTGAAAACTGGGTGGCATTGATGGAGCAGGCTGCTCTGGGAAGCTCGGGTTTCCTCTGCCCAGCAGCCTGAGCCACATCAAAGGTGCACTTGTGGTGGGAGGCAGGGCACTGCTCTTTGGGCTGTCCTTTGGTGACACCCAGCCCTGGGCAGCTGCAGCCCCCCAGCTCCAGCTGCAGGCCTCTGTGCCCCTCAGCTCCTGAACCCTGAGCCCAGGGAAAACCCCTGCCACTGTTGGTTGACACCTACCTGCTGCTTGGATAGCCATGCCTCTCTCCCCCTGTCTTCAAATGGGCCCAATTTGGTCCTTCTCCAGAAACCTGCACCTAACTCAGCTGGCTCCTGGATTGTCTATGCTTTTTCTTGTCTGCCAAGATTTTGAATGCGTAGCCCCCACCTACTGCATGTGTGTAATCCCCAAATTTGACATTGTTGACATCTTCTCAAAACCCTGTCCTTCCCCAGCTTCCTCCTGACTCTCCTCCACACCTCGTCCTCACTCTCTCCTCTGCCTCCACTCTCCTCTCCTCCCATTCAGATCCCACCCACCCATCAGGGCTATATCCAGCCATACCTGATGCACGAGGCCCCTTCTCCTGGGCCCTGAACTCTGGAGTGCCTTCAAATAATCCTTTAACAAATACCCACTGTGCATCTACAGGTGCCGAATACTCTTCCACTGCCTTAGAATGGAAAAGTACTGACAAGAACCCTGTCCCCATGGAGTTTATATTCTAAGCAGGGGAGATAGAAAAAACAGTGTTCGATTCTCAGTTTATTATTGATTAGAGGCCAGACCTTATGAAGCTAGATGTTAACATATAGGTGGATAAGTTGCAAGTGATTTTTACCAAGTTGAGATGCAAATTATTTCTCTCCAGTAGAAAAGATAACTCCAAAAGTTATGGTGTTATTGTCCTGTAGGACAGTTCTGTCTCGACATAACAGACTTATTTCTGCGTGCCTTTGCCGATCATGCAAACCCCGTTCTTCAAGTTCTTTTGAGCCAGATTTGCTATTCCTCATTAATGAGTTAAATAAATATACACATATGAAAGCATTTTGAAAATTATACTTTGACAGTGGCTTATACATTTTCTGTGTCTTTCCTTAGTTTGGTCTGCCTCCTGGCATTTCTGGAATTGGAATTATACTATATTGGAGTATACTGGAATTGGATTTATACTGTACTTGGTATCTGTCTTAGTTCATTTTCTGTTGCTTGTAACAGAATACATGAAACTGGGTAACTTATAAAGAAATGGAATCTATTTCTCACTGTTATGGAGGCTAAGATGTCCAAGGTCAAGGGACTGCATCTAGTGAGGGCCTTTTTGCTGTTGGGAACTCTACAGAATCCCAAGGTGGTGCAGGGTACCACATGGCAAAGGAGCTAAGCATGCAAATGTGCTCACTTAAGTCTTTTCCTCTTCTGGAAGGAGCCACCAGTTCCCCTCCCATGATAACCCATTAACCCATGAATGAACTAGTCCATTCATAAGGACAGAGCTCTCATGATCCAATCACCTCTCAAAGGCTCCACCTCTAACACTGCTACATTGGGGATTAAATTTCAACATGAGATTTGAAGGGGTTGTTCAGACCATAGCAGTATGGATAAGGGGAAGAATCAATGTTTCAATTGAGAAGTGCTTAGCAGATCTCACTTAGCTCTCAAGTGAGGGTGGAGGTGGCCAAAGAAGGTTATCCTGGCTTTGGCTTCCCTGTGATCTACCCTAGAGAATGAGGGGAGGGTCAGGGTCTGTGTATGTTAGAGGTAGTCCCAGGGGCTATCTAGTGAGCCCTTGTCCACCCTCAGCTCCTGAGAGCAAAACCCTGATACAGCCCTAACACTGAGTGGGGCAGAAGGAAGGGGGCAAGAGCAAGACCCGTGTGCATGAGTAGGTGTTGGGAGGTCAGGGGATGTCCCCAAGGGTACGCTGGCTTGCAAATTTGCCCCATGCTCAGAGGGCAAGGGTAACATTGTGGGAGTGTTCTTTTATGTCTAAACATTACCACCCTCTCATTCCTCATGCTTTTCTGGGTGGGAAGTTCTGCTTTATATTTTATTCCAATTATTCCATTATAGTTTAGACCGGGGATGCAAAGAGAGGCTGGAATATCTGGAAATGCAGCTGGGATTGTAGTGGGAGGGCTTGTTTGTGGTGCAAAGCAGCTGCCCTTTTCATCTAAGCAGCTGTGTTTCTGTTCTGAGAATGGGGGTGGTGGTGGTAGGGGATGTGTATGGAGCAGAACTGAACATAGATGGGGGGAGGGTGGTAAGGATGATTGGATGATTCTGTGGGTTCCCAGGCCTGGCCGTTGCTCAACACAGAAGACCAAGGCTTCCCTTGGCTTAAAAAAGCCCAATTGCCATCCTGGCTCTCTCAGCCTCCTGAGTGCCTGTTCCTCCAGGAAACCAAAGTAGCCCAGAGTAAGGGAAAGGGTTTGCCCCACCCCAAGCTTCCAAATCTCCCAATTCCTAATTTCAGCACTCAGGGCAGCACCAGCAAGCCCCTTAGAAGGTTGTTGTTTAAAATAGGGATTTCCATTCAGTTTAAAGGTTGAATGTGTTCAGTGTTTATTTAAATTGGTATGGGAAAGCTTTACTAACATCCTTTTCTAATTGGAGCTGAGGTGACTTTAAAAAGTAACTAATCAGTGGTGTGGGCCACTATTTGGGGAGCATTTGTTAGTTCCTGGAGACTGAGGGTGACAGGAAAGGAAGGACATTTCTTCTTTTCTCTCTCTTTCTTCATTTTCACGCTCCTGACTTGTCAGTTACTCCCATCCTGCTCTGTCGTCCCCTCATTTGGTTCATGTACCACCCAGCAGCCACCTCTCAGGGGTCATTTACCAACACCAGACATTGGAGACGCAAAGATGGATGAAATGCTTTTCCCAGCTGCAGACACTCCTAGTCCAGTGGACAGTGACCCTTCATGAGTGGACAGTGCTTTTAGGTTGACAGAGCACAGTCACATTTGTTGTGTTTTGAGTCTCGTGAGAACTGGGGAGACAAGCCAAGGCAAGCATTATCCATCTCAGGAGGAAGTTGAGGCTCAGAGAGGTTGCAGAACAGCTCCAAAGTCACACAGGTGGTGTTTGGCCAAGCCAGAATGAGAAGAGCCTTCTGGGTAATGGCCAAGCCCATAATCTCTGGCCATGCAGGGGCTGGCAATCAAAGGTTACAGGAATTGGTGGGATGGAGACAAAAACAGTCTGCATGGTAGGCAGGCCCCTGGGAGGAGGGTCCCCCTGAAACTGGAGTGTTTCAGGGATCAGGATTGCTCTCTCCATTGCCTGGAAAAAAGTGAAGAGCTCAAATGACCCCCTCAGGCCAACCACTCTTTCATCCCTGGAAGTCACATTCTGGTGGCCAAGGAGTCCTGAGTCCCTATTTATTCTCTATTCCACCTCCCTACCCTCAACCTCAGCCAGTTACAATGAGAGGAATTGGAGTTAAATATGCAATGAAGCCTGGGCAACATAGCAAGACCCTATCTCTCTAAAAACATACAAAAAATTAGCCAGGTATGGGAATGCACACCTACAGTCACAGCACTTTGGAAGGCTGAGGTGAGAGGATCACTTGAGCCCAGGAGTTTGAGGCTGTGGTGAGCTATGATCGCACCACTGCACTCCAGTCTGGGCAACAGAGCAAGACCCTTTCTCTAAATAATAATAATAATAAGCATCAAATGAAGAACATTTCTTCAGTGAGACAGGATGGGGTGGGGAGTCAATTACAAAAGGAGCTTGTGAAGTAAAAACTGGCATGATGTCCTTTAATAGGTGACAGATAATGTCCTTTCTGGCTGGGGAGGACCCTGATGCTGTCAGGGGTGGGGACAGGTGGAGGAAGGCTGTGGGCAGGAAGAGGGTGTGTAGGGGAGCAGTGGGGTCTGAGTGGTGGATTGGCTATGGTGCTTGAGTGAAATTGTGCTCATCCCTAGAAGGAGTGAGTGCTCAGGGCTTCTGCCATTCCTCTGACCTTTCATGCTGGCCTTCCTGAAGGCAAGAGAGGGTGCAAAAGAGATAACCTCTCAGAGTTCCACCAGGCCCTGGTTCTCCCATTCGGGAAGTTTTTCCTACAGAGTATTCTGGACTTTCAGGGAGGCAGTGTGAGGTTTGGTCAGACTGATCATCAGATTTAGTAGGGGAACTTTAAGAAAAGACTGAGTATGGGCCCACCCATGAGATTCAGATTTGATAGGTCCAGGTGGGGCTGGGAGCCTGAATGTTTGCTCTAAAAGAGCAACATCCTAATCCAAATACCAACTATTTGTTCACCGGAAATGAGGTGCAATCAATTTCCATCAGTGTGGAGGAGCCTGGTGGGAGGCCAGCCGTAACATATTGTTGCCTGGGTATGTTATATTTGCAGTCTGCACCTTAACTCCCAGCTCTCCAGAGAAGCTGGGGTGGGTCATTCTAAAGTGTAAAGTGTTCTAACACACTTTAGATTGGCCTCTTTAAGCAACAACAGTTTTACATTGTTAGCCATTGTGTTTGTGGTTCTCTATAAAATGTGTTATATGCATCCCTGCCTTCTTACACGGAGTAATGCAAGCATAAATGTAACCTTTTCTTGGTGTCCCAAGGGTATGTTAGAAACCTTAATTAATGGACTGGGCTCTGATTCAGTGGGGTGTATGGGACAATTTGCTTACGCCAAATGGCCCCCTGAGGTTTTGAGTTTTGTGCCTGCTCTTTCCTTTTTCCAGCTGTGCCTCTTGCTGACGGATGTCCCTTCTTGCTAGACACAATGTATCTGCCTAAAGCAAATTTTTCTTCACTTTTAATTTGCATTTCTTATATGGGCTTGGAAAATGGATAACTAAAGTTCTTATAACTGAGTAGGGCACCTTGTGGTAAACTTCCCATCCTCTATTCCACACCTCCTCCCGGAGTAACAGCAGTGAAACTTGGGCTTGCCTAAGGGGATGGCCTTGACAGGTTTAAGGGTACGTATGCTGTTTAGCTTTAGCAGGGGTTGGGCCATAAATGGATACATGACACAATTTTGACTAATGGGATTTGAGGAGAGGTTTTTGATTTCTAAGAAAGTTCTTCCTCTTTGTCAATAAAGAGCCACCAGAAGTCATTCTCTAGGTAGATGTTAAACAAGGAAGGCTGCCCTGATTGTTCTTGGCAGCTGAATTAAAACTTCAAGAACTTTCTTTTTATTATTATTATTTATTTATTTATTTATTTATTGAGATAAGAGTCTCGCTCTGTCGCCCAGGCTGGAGTGCAGTGGCGCAATCTCAGCTCACTGCAATCTCCGCCTCCAAGGTTCATGCGATTCTCCTGCCTCAGCCTCCTGAGTGGCTGGCATTACAGGCGCCTGCCACTGTGCCTGGCTAATTTTTTGTATTTTTAGTAGAGATGGGGTTTCACCATGTTAGCCAGGCTTGTTTCGAACTCCTGACCTCGTGATTCGCCTGCCTTGACCTCCCAAAGTGCTGGGATTACAGGCATGAGCCACCGCACCTGGCCACCTTCAAGAACTTTCTTTGGGAAGAGGCCCCCTGAGGATGGAGAATGGCAGGATGTGGAATTTTAGCGGCTGGCAGAGATGGAAAGAACCTGAACTACATGATTTTTTTTTTTATCTCTAAAGTTCCTCTCATGTGAATTATTCTATTTTCTTTGGTTTAAGCCTCTTTGAATTGAATTGGGTTTTGGGTTACTTGAACTAAAAGCATGTCAATGGTAAATACTGAGTGGATGAACTAATAGTGTGTGGGTGCAAGGGGAAGCCTGAGGTTTTAGTGGGGGCACTTTTTTACTGTGTTTCGGTTTCTCCAAAGGTGGTTTTATGTTTTGATTTGGAAGTAGGCTTATTTCTTTATGAGATTTCCAGGTGGGTAGTGACTGCTTCTCATTCACTTTTGTGTCCTCAGTACTTGTTGCAGTGCCGTGCACTTACTGGACATTCAAAAAACTTAAATTGACTTGAACTCAGCCATCTGCAGGTGTCTGCAGCGTGCTTTCCCCTTCTTGGTGGTAACTATACCTGCTTGTTGATCTTTACCTATCACGGTCACTGGGATGATAGACATATGACACACTATGGATGCTAGTAATTTTTTTTGTAGTGCTTCCCAGGTTACAAAGTGCCACCTCATCCTTATCTCCGGAAATAAGTATGTCCGGGGTCATCACCATTTTACAGATAAGAAAACCAAAGGACTGTGTGTTTACTTGAAGTTTAATTTTCTGACTAGTTCTTAACAAATTTAATTTGGAAATGGCATCCAAAGCATTTTCTTTGAGAATAAATAACCCTGTGCTCAAAAAGGAATCCCTCTTTTAGTATTTCTCCTAAACAAGTGTCCCACTGTTTGCTGAGACGTGAATGACTTATAATGATCAATGTCTGCAGGTCGGGGCTTCAAGAGGCTACTTTGGCTGGGGACTGCCCCTGCCTCCCACGGCTCCCTCCAAAGAACTGCAATTTGCTGTCAGGTTACAACACTTCAGGATTCACAGCTTGAGCTTCTCACTTAGTTAATTGGTGCTTATTCTTCAAATTGGGTTGTTTTCGCCAGTAGAAGAGAAGCAGGAGTTTGCATCCGTCTGCTGCTCTTGCAAGCTTTGCAGCAAGAAAATGAACTGGGAAACTTGAGGTGTTTCTTACTTAGAACGGTGATTATCCACACAAAAGCATTTGGGAGCAGGACACTGAGTAGGTCTGCTTCTGAGGGAATGCATGGGTTCTCCTGTGTCTATTAAGACTGGCAGGCTCCTTTGGAATGCAATGCACTGGGTTAATGGAATAGTGAAAGTTGAGCTCCACCTCCATCCCCCATCCGTGATGCCTGTCCACCTGACTCCAGCATAGGGCTCCAAGAATGATGCCCTCCAGACTCCTCTTCCCTTGCTCTCTCCCCATGATCCAATGGGTTTCACTCATTTGTGTTTTCCGGCACTTGGGTTTCTCCATCCTTGTGCTCACTGGGGCCTCTTGACATGCTAGGATGCACAGCCTATTCTGATTCTTGTGCCTTGGTTGTCTAGCTGATTTCTCTTTCACTTCAAAACACCTATGGAAATGGTTGTGGAGAACACTTATTTTGACATTGTTTCAAATATGGCATTACATGTGTATCTTGTCTCCTGGAGGGCAAGGATTGTGTTTTACATTGCTTTTGGAGGAATGAGCAGCTCCCAGCATGCACCTTATCGTGTAGAATTTAGAGTTATCAAAGGAGTTGGTTACCCAATAAGTGCCTGAGGAATGTCATCACCTCTTCTTTTTGCTATATGGATTCCCTGTGCTCGCTTCTCCTGCCACTAAGTACCTTGCCTGGCTACTCGCTGTGAGGCTGAATGCAGGTGTCGCCAGGCCTGGGCTTTCAAGGGCATGAATGGGTATGAACTTAGCTCATGTTGTCTAAGTGCATTCTTCAGTACATTATAAATGTACATTCAGTACATTATAAATGCATTCTTCAGTACATTATAAATACATTCTGGATTTTTGGTCACTGGGAATTATGAAAGGGAGATAGGTAGGAAGCGAAGAGTTGGATAGAGTGGGGCAGATGTATTGAGTATGAAGGGAAAAAGGTTTAAAGATTCCTCCACTTCCCTGACGGCTGCAGCTCTTTGTGAATTTTCTGCTGCCACCAGCAAAGGTTTAAAAAAACAGTGGAGGTCAGGGTGGGGGTGGTTCCTTCTCCAAAATCTATGGTTCTTGGACTTGTTTCTCTTTTTCTCTATGATACGCCTGCTGCTCCTCAGGCCTCCACAGAAAAACTCACCCCAGGGAGGCTGAGCTGTGGCCAGTGGCTGCCACCCACTGTATGAGAGAGGGTGGGGATGCTGTGGTCATTCCCACATTCAGACTCCCCTGAGATTTCCCTTCAAGCATTGGCTGTCTGAGTTTATGGTCTCTTCCCACAGCCTTTCCATCTTCTCCAGCATCACCCCCTATCCCTTGCCACATCTTGCTGGGGCCCAGTACTTTGAGCTCTGGGGGGCTCTTGGATATGAAATCTGCCCTGCTCCTCCCAGGGCTGCCTCCTGGGGATCAGCCGGCTCCCCATCTAGTGCAGTCCCTTGCAAAACGAGGCCAAGCCTCTGGGATTCAGTGTGGGCTCCCACTTCATCCTTATTTCTCGCCTCAGGTGGTTCTCCACCTGGAGCAGATCAACTACGACCACGTACGCAGGTGTCTGAAAGTATGGGGCTGTTTTGGGTATCCAGGTGACTGGGGTACCCTATTGTCATTTGGTGGCCAGGGATGCTAAATCCTTGCAGCTCACCAGGAAGGTGCATCCCTCAAAAAATGCCATGGCTCCCCTGTTAAGAAGCACTGTGCACCCCAGGCTGGAGTTCCGGCTTTAGCTGGAGTCACAGTAGGTTTGAGTCCCTGGGTTTGAGTTCCTGCTGTGCCACCTATTGGCCTGTTACTTTAGTTCCCTAGCCTCTGTCTCCTCACCTGCACCCTGGGGTGATGACAGTGACCCCACTTCACAGAGTTTAGATAGGATTAGATTTGTGAATATACCTAAGGCACTCTGGACAGTGCCAGGTGCATGCCAAATGCCAGAGAGGCATTTGCTGTTATGATGCCCTTTATAGCCTCTTCCTGCCTGACCTCCAAGGCCACCCCTTTGGCCTCAGGTTGAAACTGTTGTCCTGGCACTTGCCTCATGATGACTGGGCTGTGGCCACCATGACTGAGAACCTTTGCCCAGGGTTTGCACCTGCACCACCTCTGGGACCTGCTCCCCATGGCCCATTCCTTCCCAGTCCAGCTCCTCTCTCCTGCCCTTGCCCTATTCTATCCTTCGGGAGGGCTGCTCCTTTGTTCTGTTTTCTTTTGTTGTTTTTGAGACAGAGTCTTACTCTGTTGCCCAGGATAGAGTGCAGTGACTCAATCTTGGCTCACTGCAACCTCCGCCTCCTGGGTCCAAGCGAGTCTCCTGCCTCAACCTCCTGAGTAGCTGGGACTACAGGCGTGTGCCACCATGCCCAGCTAATTTTTGTATTTTTAGTAGAGATGGGGTTTCACCACGTTAGCCAGGATGGTCTCAATCTCTTGATCTCGTGATCTGCCCGCCTCAGCCTCCCAAAGTGCTGGGATTACAGGCGTGAGCCACTATGCCCAACCTGTTCCTTTTATTAGGAGTCTATTTTCATGGCTCTCTTTTTCTCTCTTTTTCTCTCTGTCCCCATAGCTGTTGTGGATGTTTGTTGTTTTCTTCTTTAGAACCTGTTTTAGCCTGTGTAGATTCTTAGGCCCCACTCCAGAGATTGTGCTGCAGGATGTCCAGTTGGGACCAAGTATCAGCGTGGAACCAGATGCTGGCAGTCTTCATGGAGCCAGCCTCCCGCTCCATTGGTCCTGTCTGCATGACTGCTCCTCCCTGGGGAGGGGAAGGAGAAAGGGAGGGTCCTTGCTGCCCTCAGCCCCAGGAGGTAGAGGCTCATTTGTGGTTACAGCTGGTCACCATTTGCCTCAGGTACAGATGTCGTTATCTTTGGTGGGTTTAAAAAAAAAAAAATCTACTTAAGGCCGGGCATGGTGGCTCACTCCTGTAATCCCAGCACTTTGGGAGGCCGAGGTGGGTGGATCACCTGCGGTAGGGAGTTTGAGACCAGCCTGGCCAGCATGGGGAAACCCCATCTCTACTAAAAATACAAATCAGCCGGGCATGGTCACAGGCGCCTGTAATCCCAGCTACTTGGGAGGCTGAGTAACGAGAATCGCTTGAACCCGGGAGGCAGATGTTGCAGTGAGCTGAGATCGCACCACTGCACTCTTGCCTGGGCGACAAGAGTGAGACTCCATCTAAAAAAAAAGAAAAATCTACTTAAAATTCTACATTTATATTTTCTTCCAGCTGGGGACATGCCTCAATTCTAAATTACTGCTTTGGGAAATGAAAGATGATAGAAGGTGAGAGGTGGCATTGCTTTCCCTTAGGAATGTGGTGTAGTGGGAAGGAGGGCCTCCGGGCTGGAACTTGACCGCCTGGGTTTCTAGCTCCGACTCCATCACTAGCTGTTGTGTGACCTTGGTTGAGTCACCTGCCATCTCTCGCCCTCATTTTCCTCATTTCTAACATGAAAGGGTTGGACAGGTTGGACTTGCTGAAGTTGTCTTCCCACCCTCAAAGTCTATAAGTCAATAAGTCTATTTAATTGTGCTGACAGCTTTAGAGTGGCTAATTAATGAGAGTTTAGTGGGAACACAATTAGGTGATAATGAAGGCCTCAGAAGTAAATCTCTCTACTTCTTGTAATGAGTTGAGCCAATGAGACTTGGAGTATCTTTTCACTGAGTGGAGCCCCTGGGAAGAGGGAACAAAGAGCCCCAGGCTCCTACTTGGGGCCTAAAGGAGGCCAGGAGTCAGGGATGAAGTCACACCTCATGAGAAGCTGGGTAGCTAGCTGACTGTCCTGCAGCCAAATGGGTGGACTAGCAGGGTAGGCCTGGAGCTTTGTGGGGTGGAGTGGAATTCTGGCAGCTCTGCAGACCTGGGTAACACTGACCCAGCCTTCCGTCCATTTCCAGAACACGTTCACCTGCTTTGCCTTGTGGAATCCTCTCACATCTGGTGAAATAGATAAGCCTGGAACTTTTATCTTCCCCATTTAACAGATGAGAAGTGGAGGCTCAGAGCAGTGACTGGCCCAAGGTCAAGGAGCTGATAAGTGACAGATCAGGATTCGGCAAGGTTCTTGATCCCAAAGCCCCGTCCTTTCCGCTCTACCTGACTAGCTCCTCCAGTCTGAGGGCCAACCTCTGCGGGCTGCTGTGAGTGAGCGACCCCAGAGTGAAGTGGGTCTTGCTGTTCAGAGCTCTCCCAGAGGGTTTGCCAAGGCTCCCTGGGCCTTGGCTTTGTGGATGGGCCCTGGGAGAAGGAAAGATCAGGTTGGTATAAGAGGTGGGGATGCCTGGTCTGTGGTAAGAAGGCCCCAAGGGAGGCTCCTGTGAGGCTCCTCAGCATCTTGACAGGCTGTGGCCTTGCTGCTGAGAGCTGCCTCAGCCAGGTACATCACTGTCACCGAGCTCACCATGGCGGTCGTCGGGCAGTGTTTGCTGCCTGAGGTTGCATCAAGCTGGGAATGCCCTAAAGTGGGGGCGTGAGGAAGAGAAGGGGTGATACCTAGAGGCTGGGGTATCTCTGTCCCAAGGAGACAAACTATAACAAGACCCAGCGAGGAGAGAGGCCCACTCTGGGTGGTGTGGGGCAGGGGCAGGGTCTCCTGGCCTGAGGGTAGAGGCCTCAGGCCGATGAGCTTCCCTCAAAGACTCTGGCTGCTGGTGACTTTGGCTGCAGAAACACAGACCTTGACTTTTCCCTTCTGAGTGAAACAGGGCACAGGCATTATGCAGAGATGCAGCATCTTTGCTGCAGAGGGAGGGAGGAGGGAAGGAAGGGAGGGAGCAAGCATTTGTCTGGGTCCTGCCCTAGAAATGCTTCAAGTAATAAAATCAGGATGACTTAAGAAATCCATTACCCCTCTTGGCCTCCCACGGCCACCAACATGCCCTGGTGGAGACGGGGGGGGGAGAGGCCTGGGGACCAGCCAGGTAGCGTGGCCTCAGTCTCCTGGCCTGTGAACCAGGGGATGGGGTAAGGTCCCCATCAGCTCTGACCTCAGGCGGGTCTGGAGTAGAGAAAATCTTCTGGAGAGGGGCAGAGGAGGGATTGAGAGGAGATGCAAGAAGGATAGGCGAGAAGAGGAGGAGCTAGAGGAGAGGAGAGGAAACTGAAGGAGGCTGAGGAGAGGGGAGGTGAAGAAAGACATGAGAAAGAGAGCAGAACACAGGTGTTCGAGTCTCTGCCTTGCCACGGAAAAGTCTGTGACCTGGGTCCGGTCAGGCACGCTGAGCCTCGGCTTCCACACCTAAAGAGGAGATGGCAGTGCCCACTGCACTGTTGTGAAGGGGTAAAGGGCAGTTTACAAACCATAGTGCCACACAAAATGATATGTTGAATTCACAAGAAAAAAGCAAGAAAGGAGGTAGGGAAGGTGGAGCCAGGGCAACAGGAGAGAGCCTTTTCGGGGCTTCCCTTCCCTGGGGTGTGGACACAGGACAGCGTGTGGGAATGGCAAGTAAAGAACCCAAGGGTGGACCAGAGAGGGAACTAATCCTCCCTTGGCGAGGCTGTTTGCACCCCTTCCAGGAGACAGAAACCAGGGGCTCCCTGCATCTCTAGCTGAAGGATCTTTGCCTGTGCAAGAACATTCCTCATGGGGGCTGGGCAGGTCGAACGCTACTCGGGCTGCCTTCCCAGAGGCCCAGGGCAAGGACAGGGCAGTCTTGGGCTTTGGGGTCTCACGGAACGTCCCAATTTCTGTCAGACTTAAACTCTTGAAGGGCTGAGGAGGCTGGTGTGAGGGGTGCACGGTTATAAAAGAAAGCCCTTGACAGAATCCTGCACAGGAAGGCTAGAAAGACAAAAAGAGAAAAATATGGCTGAAGAACATTCTGGAAAGCCCCAAACCAAGACAGTGCTCTCAGTCCATGTGGGCCCAGCCCCACAGTCCCTCCTTCCACTGCTCGTGCCTGGATCTTGGCATGTGTGAGGCCAAGGCGGGGAAGCACGGGGCCGGGGTCAGGGCAGCCAGCTCCCCTGGCAGGCTAGATTTATGATTTGGCTGAGCTGGGGAGAGAGGGAGCCTGCGACAATCCAGGGTATGAAAGGCAGCCCAGTGTTTCCTAGAGCAGCCGTGGTGCCAAAGGCAGGGACGTCCATCTGGCCTTTTTATGTAGTACATTTGTCACCCAGATCCCGGGGCCCAGACGGCCTCCCTTCTGCCACCCGTAGCCGCCAAGGCCAGTTCCCACCTTCGGCAGCCTCTGTTGTGGGACCTGCAACCCCAGTAGATGCTGAGTGTGTGTGTTGGAGAAGAGCTGCCCCCTCCCTTGGGACCCTCTTAGGCTTCGCCCTCCAGCTGGCGCCCATCCAAGTTGGTGTCTACTCAGTGTTCCATGGGGATGAAAAGCCCTGGAGTCAGAGAGGGGAAAGGCCCTCAGACTAGTGCTGTGATCTCAGGCTGTGTTCTGAGGTGTTCGGAGCACCTCCAAGCCATCTTAAGAGCTGCTGAATGAGGCTGACAGCCAGGCTCCAGCCCTTGACCCATCAACGTAGCTCTGCTTCTGTCTGATCTGGATATATACAGATATTTTAGGTAAGATGTCACTTGAATAATGAGAAATGGAGGCTCAGAGTGGTGAGAATGGGTTCTGCTGCTGAAAAGTAAACAGTTTGAAGACCACAAATCTGGTCTCATTTCAAAGAGGAAGATACAGTGGGCCAGAGAAGACCAGCAGCCCAGCCAATTGTTGGCAGAATAGGGACGAGAACCCAAACCTCCTGGCCCCCCAGCCATGATCTCCCCATGATACTGGGCTGTCTCATGAGGTGCTGGCCTGAGCATTTATGGCCATCCCTTCTTTTCAACCCCAGGGCCTCCCTCTCAAGCTTGGGTGCTGTGTCCTCTCAGCTTTACCTATGCTGGGGGGTGCTTCAGGATGTAAACCATGTGTGGCCCAGGCCAGCCGCTTTCAGGTATGAATCAAGACCTCTGTGGCTGACCCATGATTACAGCTTCTTCTGCCCAGAGCCTGTCTCTAGTGTGGCAGGGTGTGGCCACCCTGTCATCCCAGGGGCTGTTGGTGGTTATCGAGGGTTTTCTGGTAGAGTGTAGGCCATTCCCTTTTCTTACCTTTTGGTCTCTGGAGAAACTTGTCCTGTTCTACTCAGGCCTCCATTTGTTCATTTGGGATTCTGATGGTTGTTGCTGACCCAGCCACCCTCTGCCATGGTCCCTGGGTTCTGTTCCAGAAAACCCCAGACTAACATTTTTCCCAGGCAAGCAGCTCTCTCCACCCCCACCACCCGATGTCCTGCTTCTCACAGGGTCCCTCCAGCCCTGGCCATGGTCCTGGTTTCCAGCTTGGCTTGCCCTGGGTTACGTTCTGCCTCTTTGGCTGGACTCACTTTTCCAACCTGACATGTTGCCCCTCTGCCTCTTCTCTCTGGGTTTACACCCCGGCTTCCCTCCTGCTAAACACCCCTCTCAGCTCCTTCCAGCTAGGCCCTTCCCCTTTAAGCAGCTCACCTGGAGGCCTCCTTCCCACTGCAAGAGCCACTACCTCCGTTTCCCAGGATTCAGTAGAAGAAGAAATAAAGGATCCAGCATCTCTGAGGGCCAGGCATCGTGGGTGGCACAGTACCCATTTCATCCAATTTGATTTCTCACAACAGCCCTATGAAGTAGATATTAATATTCCCACTTGTCACACAGGGAAACCGAGTCTCAGAGATTTAGCAGCTTGCTCAAGGTCACACAATTGATACATTTACACTCCTGGTCCTGCCTAACCCCTGAGCCAAGGCAGTCAACCACAATAGTAAGCTGCCTAGGCGGTCACCTCTCATGGTCAAGCCAATAACCCTTAGGACTAGGGTGGCACAGCCTGTGGTGATCTGTCTCCAAAGAGCTCCTCCCAGTACCAAATCCCTCACTGTTTACCTTGTTCTCCATTTCTCCCTACAGACCCATCAGCACACACCCATCATGGCAGGGAAACGTAGGAAGGAGAAGCAGGGGCCTCCCCACTTTCACAGGCCAAGAAAGAGTAATCACTTTTGTACTCGTTGAGAACCACTATAATTGTTTGCAAAGAAGGAGGTAAATATGAAAGCCATAGATGGGGTCCTGGCCTCCTCTGTGGTAGCCAAGATATGAAACAGAGAGGTGTTCAGACCTACAGGTGGCTAATCTTACAGGAGAGGGAGAGACGAGAGGCTGTGGAATATCCTCTACTCCCCACTATACTCTCTGCAGTCCTGGTTTCCCTCCAAATGAATTGTGCAGGCAGCCTGGAGTTACCACTCGCTCTTGTTATCTGTGGGGTGTCTTGGTGGGCAGCACAGAGGAGGGAAGGTTGAGGAAGTCGGGCTGTAGTGGTGCCGGGCTGATGGCACACTCCAGAAGGGCTTGCTGTCCTCCCAGCCCAGGACCCGCAGGAAGCCTGGTGAAGAGGATATGGCTCTGAGATGGGGCCAGGTGGGGAGAGGCTTCTGAGGCTTATGGAGAATGGGTGTGGGGACAGGTGGGCTTGAGGTGGGGGGGCCAATGACCAAAATGGGAGCATGAAAGGACCTGGGCTGGGAAAAGGAGGGGCGATGCCGCTGACTATTTCGTGAAATGCTTCTTCCAAAGTTGTTCCCCAAGAGTATTCAGCAGGGGGAGCTGACTGCTGACAGCAGCAGCTGTGGGGGAGGCAGGAGCGGGAGGGGTGGCATTATCACCCTCCCAGAGCGGGTGGCAAGGGGGCGGGGAGGAAGGGATGGTGTCTCCTGCCTGTTCTGGATTCTGTGTCTCTCACCGCCCATCCCCCTGTCTCCAAACCCAGGAGGAGAGAGGGATTGCATGAAATTAGAGAGGGACCGATAGATACTCTGGGAAGATGCACACACTGCTTCTCACCCTCCTCTCTTGCTCACATGCACACATACAGTCTCTCACACACTCTTACACACACTCTTTCTCTTCCTCGCTGTCTCACTCTCTAAGCCAGGGCATTACACCACTGCTCTCTGGTCCAGCCAAAGTTGGAGTATTCCTGGGACAAATAATCCACCCCACGAGGATAAATCATCCTAAACCATCCTCAGGCAGCTTTGAGGAAACACGGGAGAGGGAGCCAGCCCTTGTGGGGTGGCCAGGGCTTGGCCAGCTGGGAGGACAGTCTGGCACTGGTGATTGGTGTGTCACAGCCGTGCTGCGAGCTGCTTCCAGTGCTTTTGTCTGGTGCTGGGAGTGAGGCTCAGCAGTGTGAGGGACAATTGGAGATGCTCGGGGGCAGGCTGCCGCGTTGTGTCCTGCTTTTCTGCGGCCAGACCAAGCCGTCTGGAGCTGCTGGTCAGGTTTTCTTGCTGACCTCACCTGACCACAGTGGCCTGGGTGGACTCTACAGGGAAATGTTGTTTTCTCCCTGGGAGCAGTAGCAGCAGTCCTGGCTCCCCTGGACTGAGAACTCCTCATCAGCCCCAGGAAGCCCGGACCCCCTTTCAGGGATCTGGAACCGGTGTGCCTGTGGCCCCAGGTCTGCTCCCAGGCGTGGGCTGAAGTCCTGACTTCTGTCGCTGGGGGCAAGGAGTGGGAGAGCCCAGCTGCTGCCTGGGCTTTGGCAGACAGCAGGCTGATGGTGCTGGCTTCCCCGAGACTGCTTCTCCTGCCTGCTGTCTGATTTCCCTGCATGGTGCCCGCAGCTGAGCTGCTACGGGTGAGTACTTGGACACATGTCCCTTTCTGCGTTTGCTGGGATGTACCTAAGCGAGTCACAGTGGACCAGCTCTGAAGCTGTATTTTCAGAGAGACTAGACATTAGTTTGCCTCACCTCATGCCAACTGGATGGGGTGGGAGATCTAGGGAGCAGGGCCAATAGGGGGTGAGGAGGTGGGGCATCAGGGAGCTGGGGCTGCAGGTATTTTTCTCAGGAGTCAGGAGACCCTGGAAGGAGAAGTTTCTCCTACTGCTTCCCTCTCCTGGTTGGGTAGAGATGTGTCTAAAAGCATGTGGAGGGATGGTGTCTCCGAAATGCCCCACACCCACAGGTGCTCCAGGCTTTCACTTGTACTCTTGCTGCATAACCCCTGCTAGGTGAAGGGCACAGAATGCAGAGTGAGATCTGCCCTTTCCTTTCCCTGGCCATGTGGCTTATCCCTCCTCCCACGCTGTCATCATCGTCCTGGAGCCATTGAAAAGTCTCTGTGATCCTTCTGCTTTTGCCCTGGAGCCCCTGACCCGTGGGCTGCTGGGCTTCACAGAGTCACTTTGCTATCAGCACTGCCAGGAAAGGGCACGGGAACTCTTTTTTTCTTTGCAAACAGTGGTGGGTCCCCACTTAGAACGTGCACAAAATGAAACACAATGAGGGTGGAGAACCACAGCCCTTGGACCCAGGGACCCTCTGTTATAGCCTGGACCCCTGCCTACCCATCAAAACCATTCCCCTTGGTGGTTACAGTTTTGTTTTCAGCTTGGGCTGCCTCCGGGAATAAGGAGATCTAGGAGGTCGCCACATGCTTCCTGTATCCGTAACGGGTTCTCAGCCATCTGTTTTGCCGTCACAGGGATGCCCATCTTCCTAGAATTCCTAACATGCCTGCGATCATGTTTTCTCTCCTTTGTGATAGTATGGTCTTTGCTTATATCTCCCTAAGTCTCATACCATGAGTATGTTTCGACAAGATAACCTCTGAGGTCCCACTGGGAACATTTCCAACTTTCCAGAGGGTTGTGTGTGGCACAACTCTGGTGCACCCCCACCCCCACCCAATATACCCCTATCCTTTGGAGCTTGCCTGAAATCTAAGGCAGGGCTGAAGGACCATGATTCTGACTCATCTGAGATTTTCCTTCTTACAACTCAGTAATCATGGCGTGGAGGGTGCAGCAGTGTTTAGGTCAAGGTTTCTCAACAGCAGCACATTGGAAATTGGAGATGGATAATTCTTGATGTGGCGGAAGGGGACTGTCCTATGCCTTGTAGGATGTTTGGCAGCTTCCCTGGCTTCCACCTGTGTGATGCCAGTAGCACCTTCATTTGTGACAGCCCAAAATGCCTCCAGACATTACCAAAGTTCCCCCAAGGGCAAAATTACTCCTGGCTGAGAACTACTGGTTCAGGTTAACACTGCTGCTGCTACATCTTCTCCTTGGGCCCTCATGTGGCCTTTGGTCCCCTGAGACTCGGTCTCATCCTAGCCAAGTGAAGTGTAACCATGTCTGGACTAAGAGTGCAAAGGCTTGTGCTCTGTGTGTGATCTTGCTCACGTTCTCACCCAATCCTGACTGGAGAATCACTTCTCCCAGCCTCCACCAATCTCTAGCTCTTTCTAGTGGAACTGCTGTGGTGAGGCTCGGCTGCTGGTTTGGGTCCTCCATCTGTGCAGTGTGAAGTCTGGGAAGGAAAATCCCACTGTTGGGTACCACCATTCCTTCTTGACACTTGCCCAAAAGCTAAAAGTGGCATCAAGGCCAGGATGGGTTTAGCATCCGGAGCATGTGTGAGCATACACACGCGTGTGCATATATGTACACATACACTTGCTGGCAGCTTTCTGGGTCCTGTACTGAATGTGAATGATGGGGAGGTGAGCCCTGCCTTCGGGAGCTGTTGAGTGAGACAGACATCATGTTCTGCACCAATAATGAAATAAATCAATCTAGAGGATTCTGTGTCTTGCTTGGATTAAGTCTCATCTTAAAGGCAAAATACTTCTGAGGAAGAGTAAGCAAGGGAGAAGAGCCTCATGAGTTTCTTGTTATCAGAACCCCTGTGGGGTCACAGGGGTCCTGTTCTTCATCGGTCCAGGAGGGCTCCATGAAGGAGACCTTCCAGAACCTATGATGTGAACAGGAGGCAGTGTGGTTGTGTGTGTGTGTGTGTGCACATGTATGTCATACATTGTGAAGCCCTCGGGTCCTTCTCTTACCTGACAGTGAGTTTGGGGGGGCAGGTAGAGAAGACAGCTCATGAGTGCCCTTGTCTCCTCCCATGCAGGCAAAGTTACACCTGGTTGAGAACTACTGGTTCAGGTGAAACCTGCTGCTGCTGCTGCTGCTGCTACACCCTCTCCTTGGGCTCTCATGTGGCCTTTGGCCCCATGAGTCTGGGTCTCAACATGGCCAAGCATTTGGCCAAGGGCAAAATCCTTCTGCTTAGGAAGTATTTCCTTCTGTGTAGGAAAAAAGGTATCGCCCTTCTTTCCATGTCTCCCATTGACTCTGCAGAAACTTGTCCTCAAAGGTGGAGGGCAGGATCCCCACCTCCCCCTCAGCAGAGGAGGGAATGATAGGAAGCCTCATGTTGCAGAGAAGTTATTGGCCAAAATCCAATTTGTGGAAGGGCGCTGAGAGGTGCTCCAGGTGCCACAAACCAACAAATCATCTCTTAATCAGCCTGCTGGGCTTTGAAATGCCTTGTGTGATCCATTTCAGCAGATTTTATCTCTAATGATGCTCGATTCTGGTAGGTAAGTTTACAATCTCTAAACAGCATCTAAAGAACAGGGACAGGGAGGTGGCTGGACAGTGCTGCCTGGGATCTTTAGTCACCCCAGACAAGCCACAGCATATTATTTTTAGGGCCCTGAGTCTTCATGGTCTCTGCCTAACTACGCAGAATCAGTTTGCCCCCAGCAACTGTTTGGGAGTCTTCACCCTTCTCCTCTTTTTCTGACCTTTACTCCCCCAGGGAACCAATTTTCTCTGAAAAGCTCAACGGACATTGGAGTAAGGGAGAGAAATCTCGCCAGACAGGCAGCTTTGGGGTAAATAAGCAATTCTGTGATTTGCACCTTTCCAACCTCTAGGGTGTAATGCTCTGAGGTTTGCAGTTTCATGGCCCCACGACAGAGCTGGGTCGCATCTACCCTGTGTCTATTCTGTTCTGTGCTGGTCTGTGAAACTTCCAGAAGTGACATGAGGATTACCCAAAGTGGAATAGAGACAGAGAGGTCCTTCAGAGCCCCAGAGGCCCTTGTGGGCTGCCATAGAAGGCACAGCACATGTCCATGAGACCAGGCACGGAATCAGGAAGCCTTACCAGAGCCCTGGTGGGCCAGTCTAGGGTCGACTATGAGGGGAAGGTTCAGAGCCAGGACACTGCCTCTGCAGCCTCAGTGCAGCTCTGCACTTGGGACCTTTCTCCCCACAACTAAGCCTGGCAACATCAGGCAGCAGACCCCAGCTCACAGCCCTCCTTGACCCACCAGCAGCCTCTGTGCGGCTGCTGGGAATCTGCAGGGGCTCTGAGCCTCCCATCTGAAACTGATGGGACAAGGGGCCATCTGTGGACAATAGGAGCTTCTCATAAGTTTAGGGATTCCAAGACCAGTCTCCCAGAGCAGGGGTGTGGACTCTCTCCGAACATATGCTGGTTAGATGCAAAAAGATTGTTTTCCTCTAGCGGAGCAGTGAGAAAGATGTAGAGGGGACATTTTGGAGAAGAGGGACTTCTGTCCATACTGTGCCAATTAGCAACAGAAGCCCCACTGGCCCTCCCCAGCAGGTGGGATTACGCGATGGGATTCCTCTTAAGTACACTGATGGCAGAGCCTGCTTCTCCAGAGCAGAAGGGCTGCATTCATGCCTGCATTCATTTCTTTATCCAACTTTTACCGAATGCTTACCAGATTAGAGCTAGGTGATGTGTCTCTGGCTTCGAGGAGCTCCCAGTCTCGAGGAGGACAAGGCTGATTGAGGTGTGGTAGCCCTCACGGGCATGAGAGCCCAGATGAGGCGAGATTAATTGGTTTTTCTGGCCATTCTCCCAGCAGAGCTTTCCAGGCCCCACCCCAAGGCCTTAGGAGATAACAGATGTGAGGTCAAGTCACAGCTGGAAGCAGCAGGCTTGCTCCCAACTGCCAAGTCCTAGAGAGGCTTGTTAATCTGTGCTCCCCAGGGCTGGCAGGAGGCTCCCCAGTGTCCCTGAATTGTCCACTCTGTGTTAATTGCTTTCTGTAATCTGTGTGCTCCCTCTCTTCCTCCTGCTGCTGTCTGCCTGTCCAACTGGTTGCTTCATTCTCAGTTTCCCATTCCGCCCCTCCAGTGGGATCCAGGTGGTTGGGGTTCTGTAGACTTGACTTTAGCACATGGAGGATACAGACGGTGTTTGATTTTAGCTGGGTATGGGTTTTGTCCTCTCCCTTCTGCCTCACCTCCACACTGGGGTTTCATGCTAGAGCTGGGTGCCACACCTTCTTTTCAGGAAACCTGGCTGTGAGTTCCTGGCTCTGCCATTAAAACCCTATCGCCTCAGTTTCCTCACCTACAAAAGGAGGGGTTTTCTAGAACAGTCATTCTCCCTGTGTGTTCCTTGCACCAGCAGCAGCAGCATCACTTGGGGACTTTTTGAAATGCAGATTCTCGAGTCTCACCCCAGAGGGAGAATCAGGATCTCTGTGGCTGGGGGCCAGCAGCCAGGGTTTCTGCATGGCTTCTGGGTGGTTCTGATGCAGCTCAGGTTTGAAGACCACTACTGTTGCACATCTCTGAGGCCCCCCTTCCAACTGCACTTCCTTCTATGGCTGGTCTCAGCATTTTCCAACTTGCGGTAAGTAACCAGTGACTTGCAAAGATCCAGTAACCACATTCTGGAGCACTGCCAGCTATTTTGCAGGTATCATAAAATTCTCCAAATTGAAAAAAAAAATAAATTTCAAAAACCCAACCCCAACAAAACTCACTACTTATGTCCTGATTTTTCCAGAAAGGGATTCAAGGTAGTTTACATCCCCATTAATTTCAGTGGCTCTCTTCTCCCAGTCCCTGTCAGGAGGAGGCTGCAGAGGTATGTGTGCAATCCAGTGACCAATACAGGGCGTCCGTCCATAGCACACACCATGGCCACCTGAGAACCTCTGCTGCCCCAGCAGCATAAACACTCCTGCCCTTTCCGAGCCTCTGGGGAGAGTGGTGCCTCAGTGATTTTCATGAGGGCTCTATCCCCAAGGAGCAGAATGCCCAAACATCTCTCTCCTGCTGCTGGCATTTAGCCCATTGCTGAGTTAATTCAAGCAGTGCTAATAACCAGTTTGAGGGAGAGGACCTCTTGCAGACCCCTAAATCCTACTCAGTGGGGTGCTGATAGCAGGATAAGAATCCTGCCTGCCCACCTGCAGCCATTCAAAAACAGCATGTAAAAGGCCCGCCACTGGCTGGATTCTGTGGAGATACCAACAGAAGTAGAACTTTTGTCCCTGTCCTTTGTGAACCCACTTATGGGGGGGACAAGACTGCATCTTCAATGTTTAGTAGATTCCCCCCTCCACCTGCATTTTTCCCTTCCCAGGACTTTACCCTCTCCAATCTCTCTCTCTCTCTCTCCCCTGCCTTCCCGGCATCACTTTACTGGAGGTCCTCAAACCCCAGCCCATCTGGCTCCATGGGGTTAAGTGCAGCATCCCTTTTTCCGCCGGTTCTGTGAGGGCCCAGCCCCAGCTGAGACCTTTCCTGGCCTTTCTCTGGTCTCCAAGGAGCCTGCAAGAAATGCAGCCTGAGAAAACAGCCTCCCTTCCCTTCCCCCACCTCTCTGTTCTTCTTCCCCACAATCCCGGGCCCCACACAAGCTCCCCAAGGCCTGCTAGCTCACGGCCGGGCCCTCCTAAACTCATGTTTTATGCAGGAACATCCCCATTCTCATGGAAAGTGCAGCAAAGTTTGGGAAAGAATTTCAAACCTCTTTTGAAGATGGTAGAGCAAATGCAGGGTTATAGGGTTAACTTCAGCTGAGAGTTTTTTCTTGGCTGAGTGGACACCCCCTTGGCAAATGAGTGCATGTTTGTATGTGTGTGTGTGTGTGTCTGTGTGTGTGTTCCTTTCTACCCACCATTTGCATTGCAGGGAAGTAGAGGGAAGACCAGCACACTTACACACCACACACACACACACACACACACACACACACAAATATGCTCTGGGCCTGCCTCATCTCCCAGTGCCCCCTCCTGCCTCTCTTGCCTTATGAGGAGCAACAGGAGTGACTTATCTTGGATTTAAACATTCTTTGGATGCACAGGGAAAAGAGATCATTTGTTTTTCAAATATTAGAAGGAAAATGAAAATTTGTATGCAACTTTGGTTTTGGTGATTTTTCAGAAGATCTCATGTCTCTTTGTTTCAAAATGTCAAAAATGGTTGTATATAATTGATTTAATAAACATGTAACTAGCTTTTTGGGTATATCAAATTGTATGTTGCAGTTTGCTCTGCTAATAATTTCAAGTTTCCCATTATCAAAGCACCTGTCCTTTCAGAAGTCTCGCATCCACTTTCTTCTGACACTTTTTAATAAGTAGGCAAAGGCTTGAACAGAAGAATCCATCTACAACACACTTAGAGTAAGACAAAGGACAGTATTATGCTTTCTGGACTTGGTGTTGGCAAGAAACAGAAAAGCACTTATTTTCAGAAAAGGAATTGTGAAAAGAAAGGAGAGGGAAACCTTTAAATCTCATTGAACACAATTTACTCCATAGAATTTTATCTAATCAGCCCCATTCTTTGAGCCATCACCTTGAGTCATTTTTGATTCTACTAACACTTCATTTTTATCATCTTCCCAGAGTCCTGAAAACTGAAGATTTGCCTAAATTGGGACAAGCTTCTCTCTCTTTTCACATGTTAATTTATTTCTTGATTTGGACTATGTTTTTCCAAATATGGCTCCATTTCTTTTCACATGTAGTAGAAGACGGAAGGGGCAGATTGGAACCATAGGCTGGCGTGGCCACCCTGTTGGGGGATGGGATTTGCTTGGGAGATCCCCTAGCTTTCTCCGAGCTCACACCTCCTCCCGCAAGATTCCAGCTATCTGCAGCAGTGAGCAGCTGGGCACTGGGGTTTGGGAGCTTTCTGGGGGTAGATCTATCAAATGCTGTGGCCATTCCCCTTTTACCTCTTCATAGATGTGCCTCCAAATCCTAGATCCAGTACTTTCACAGAAGCTGGAGTTGCTGGGGACAACATTTTTCTCATTTTTCTTTTTCTTTCTTTTTTTTTTTTAAGAGACACTGTATCACCCAGGCTGGAGTGCAGTGGTGCAATCATAGTTCACTGCAGTCTCCAACTCCTGGGCTCAAGGGATCCTCCTGTTTCAGCTAGGACAGAGTAGCTAGAACTACAGGCAAGTGCAACCTGCTGGGCTAATTTCTTAAAAAAAATTTTTTTAATTTAGAGACAGGGTCTTGCTATATTGCCCAGGCTGGTCTTGAACTCCTGGCTAGAAGCAATCCTCCTGCCTTGGCCTCTCAAAGTGCTGGGATTACAGGTGTGAGCCACTGTGCCTGGCCATTTTTCATTACAGTAATCCATTTTTAATTCCTCTGTACTTATAAGTGGAAATGTACTTGGATTCTCAGGAACAATTGATTTTTCTGTAGGTCATTTGGAAAGGAATGTCAAACAAGTTGCATCATTATATGCAGACGAAAAGATTGATGTAGCTTTTTTAACTTAAAATCTTATGGTGTAATTTTTAGGAATGGTTGGGGAACATAAAAATACCCTATCCTAGACACTTTATTCATTCTAAAAAGTTTTAGGATCCAGAAACGTATTTGAAATCGTGTATTTCAAAGAAGTCTTTGGGAGAAACAGGGGGAAATTATTTTTTTCCCCTGTGATTTTTCTGGGCCTTTACATTTTCAGTTGTGTCCCTGGGGAATTGCCTGTGTCAGACAAATTTAGAATAAAATCTAATTTCCTCTTTCCTTCTCTGAAGCTTTCTTTTTAATTACTTTTTTTTAAGTAGAACTTTTTTTCAATTTAAATTTTCCTTCAGATTCAGGGGATACATGTGCATGCTTGTTACATGGGTATATTGTGTACTGGTGGGGATTGGGCTTCTAGCGTACCCATTACCCAAATAGCAAACATTGTACCCAATGGGTAACCTTTGTCGTTATTCTTAATGAAAACTATTTGTGATGTGCCCAGGATTCTGCTGTGGGTTTTTGTTGGAGCAGAGGAGCCCCAGAGGGAGAGAGAGCAAAGAGACAAAGACATGGGCCCAAACAGAAGCCACAGACGGACGTGAAGAGGCATGGGCATATTGGCAGCCCCCGACTGACAAGCGACAGCAAAGGGGGGTTTTAGTGGCAAACCCAGATGCTCTCCTTCTGAGGCCACCCCTGCTGCCCAGAATGGGAGTGATAGGGTTAGTGGGAGGACCTCCAAACACTTTGCCAGGCTTCTTCATTAGCTGTGGGATTGGGGAGGTGAGGCAGACAGACCTGAGGGGAGAGTTCCCGCTGGACCTTCAGAGCCCGCCTCCAGCTTCCAATCCCTGAGGGATGGCCCTATGGCCCTATGTGAATGAGCCTACAGGGCCACGGCGGGGGGCGGGAGACAGTGAAGGAGAAGAGAAGAAGGAAGGTTACTCGGAGAATTATGGGCAAGCCCGCCATAGCAAAACGTTGTAGGAAGGCAAAGGCGGCCTGATAGCTGTTTATTTCTTTACTCCTCTGCACGTAGGACCAATGATGAAGCGTATGATGAATTTCCTAAGAGCCAAACTCTCGGAATGACCTGCCCTTGCTTCTTTCTCCTTCCTCCTCTTTTCCCTACCCCTTACCCTGTCCCTTACCACTCCCTTTCCCTCTGCTTCCACAGCAGGGGTAAGATAATCACAACACTAACATTAGTGAGCAGTTACTGAATGCCAGGCTCAGGTGAACTGGCCCTGGTCAAGCAGGTCCTGCCCGACTCTTAAATTCAATTTGGTAAACATCAGTAGCCTCCAATCTACCTTTTTTTTTTTTTTTTTTTTTTTTTTTTTTTTTTTTGAGACGAGTCTCGCTCTGTCGCCCAGGCTGGAGTGCAGTGGCGTGATCTTGGTTCACTGCAAGCTCCGCCTCCCGGGTTCACGCCATTCTCCTGCCTCAGCCTCCCGAGTAGCTGGGACTACAGGCGCCAGCTCTTTACATCATCACCCAAGTCAAGTAATAGGACTCTGTCAGCCATTCTAGAAGCTTCTCTGTGCTCCCCCAAAAGTAGCTTGGCTTTCTCGTGTGTCTTTATAGGTTTTTTTTACCACCCCGCCCCGTCCCCGCCCCGCGGATGATTTATTGTGCACAAGGTGAGGCTCCAGCTTCCTGAGCTCAGAACAACCCATAATGCATTGAACCTGCAGGAGAAAAAAATTAAGTTAGACTGCAAAAAGATTGTTCAGGATTTTAGAATACTAGAAATAAGTGACATGAGGACAGAGAAAAAAAATGAAACAAAACCCCCCCAAAAAAATCCTTGAGATGACTTAGATGTACTTCTGGTTGGAGGCAGGGAAATAAAGGAGACGAGCCTTGAAGATCACCCCAATGCCTGGAGCTGCCCCTCAAAATTGACTGGCCACATGCCCCTTGCCTCTTCTGACCAGCAGGAGGTTGAGGAGTGCTGCAGGTGGGGTTGGGGGAATGGACACCAGTGATCACTTCATCCCGCAGCCGCCCTGCCTGGCCAGCTGGGGTCGGCCTGGTGTCTCTAACCCTTCCTTCTGTGATCAGAGGCACGCTCTTCCTCCTGAAGTCTTTAATCCTGCCTCAGCCGGTCGGAGAGAGTGACTCTCGAAAGAGAGAATGACCAGCTGGTGGACAGGCCTGGGAACTGAGCCCACCCCATTCCCGGGTGACCAGGGCAGCCGAACAAATACACTCTGGCCCTAGGCCCGAGGGACATCAGGCAAGGTGCCTGGAGGAAATGGGGCAGTAGAATAAGAGGAGAGTGAATGGTCTCCCTGCTTTTTCTCCATTCAGTGTGTGGTTTCCATGGGACTCTAAGTGTGTTTACAGGCAGCAGACCTGGGGGGTGGGGGGTGGTGCATGAAGGGATCTGGGCTGCATGGCTGCAGGGACTAGAAAGGGAAGACCAGGGTTGGTGGGGAAACAGGAGGAGGGCTGGGGCACTTGAAAAAACCAAATAAAAAGTTGGCTGTTGAATGCTTTTTGCCAACCGTAGTCAATTCTTAATTATCCCCGTAATGGGCGGGAGCGGTGGCAGAAATCATGCAAAGTAGCAAACAATCCCAAACCATTTAAGCTACATGATTTTTTAAAAGAGAGAGAAGATTTCCCTTCCTAATAATGTCTGGCTCAGGCTGATATTAAATGAGGGAAGTATTAACAGTGAGCTCCCCAGGGATCAAGGCTAGAGCCAATCTTATTTAATGTGTTTATGAATTATTTAGCATCCACATTTCCTGATTTTGTGAACCAGTGCTGGGAGGGGGCTGTCAGTCCTCTCAGGAGCCAGAGGAAACCCTCTTCCGGAGACTATGCCCTCACTAGAGGAAATCCTCCACATGGGAAATGAGGAAGGGTTTGGAGGTGTCAGGCCAACCAGCTGCTGCTCATGGGACATGAGAAGTCAAGAGACTCGACCCTCCACCCTTGTCCTACCTGTGGCTAAAAGGAGTGTGGGTCTCTGCTCTAAAGCATTGCATGGCTCCCAACCTCTCTCTAAATTAAGTGCAGCCAAAGCCCTCCACTGTACGGTCCCAGCCTCTGCTCCTGTCACTCCAGCCCTGACTTGAGGCTCACAGCCTGCAGGGGCTGATGACCTGCCATGGTAACATGGCCAAACGCAAAGCACTTGGAATTATACCCAGACTTCCGACTCAGAGACTCCATCCATCCGTGTCACACCAGATCCTGGTTGCCTCCCAAACCCACATCACCTGTTTCTGGAATGAGACCCCCTTCTGCTTCTATCTACTGTCAGGATTCTGTCTATCTCAAGTGCCACCTCCTCTGAGAAGCGGAGAAGCCTTCCCTGCTCCAAAAGTGTTCTTTCTCTGCTCAAAAAACAGTGCCTGTGTGCCTCTCTCATGGCTTGGTTCAAGCTCTGCCTGTGTGACAGCCTCAGTGTTCTTGTCTCATTCTGCCTCCAGCATGCTGCTTTGTCCTCGGTGTGCTGTTCAGGAGTTCGTTGAGAAGAGAATGGGGACCTCCATGGGAAAGAGAGTAGGAAGTGAGTGTAGGAAGTTAGATCTGACTCTCATAGGCCAGACATGCTCTCAGGGATGTAGTGACCTTATTTCCCAATGGGGCCCTACCTGTTGGTTTTCCCAGGAAGCTGTCAAATTCGCCTGGCCACACATGAACCAAGGCTGGGGTCACGTCTTTCCCTTGTGGAACATGGAGCAGCCCTGGGACGGAAGTCCTCCCAAAGTGGGGTGCCCAGTCCCCTACCTCAGCATCACCTGTGGCACAGGGGCCCAACACAAGCCCCGAGGGGCCTAGGACCCACATTATGACCAGCTCTTCAGGTGTCTCTTATGTTATGCACAGAATGGTCTGAGAACTAATCCTAAAGGGAGGGAGGGCAGTCCCCTGGGATTCGTGGAGGGCACTCAGAGGGGGTGCACAAGCACATGTCCATTTAACACACACCAGCCTGCAAGAGCCAAGTGTGTGTTCATGCCCACATTTATGGGTGCCACTCCAGTAACTATGTCCATTCTTTCTTTGCCATGTCCCCGAAGTGCTACCTGGTGACGTGCTTTAAAAAATAATTTAAGGATACATGCTACAACGTGGATAAACCCTGAAGACATTATGCTAAGTGAAGTAAGCCAGACACAAAAGGGCAAATACTGTAAGAATCTGCTTACATGAAGAACCTACAGTAGTCAAATCAGAGACAGATAGTAGAAATGGTGGCTCTCAGGAGCAGGCGGGGAGTGGGGATTGGGGAGTTACTGTTTAATGGGTAGAGTTTCAGCAGGGAAAAATGAGTAGGTGCTAGAGATGAATGGTGGCGATAGTACACAGCAGTGTGAATGCACTTAATTACCCTGAACTGGACACTGAAAGATTATTAAAATGGTAAATTTTGTGTTATGGATACTTCACCACAATAAAAATAATAATAATTTGGGCCATTGCCCAAATGGAAGAGCATCCAGGAAGAGCACGGCTGGCCAGAATGATTGGCCTTGGTCCTGGTCTTCAAGCTCTCCAGGGAAGCTGACCATCAGTCACCACCACCCACCCCAGCATCCCTGAAACAGGGAGCGCTTCCTTGGTCCTTTTTTTTTTTTTTTTTGACACGGCTTTTCACTCTTGTTGTACAGGCTGGAGTGCAATGGCACGATCTCGGCTCACCACAACCTCCACCTCCTGGGTTCAAGCAATTCTCCTGCCTCAGCCTCCCGAGTAGCTGGGATTACAGGCATGCACCACCACACCTGGATAATTTTGTATTTTTAGTAGAGACAGGGTTTCTCCATGTTGATCAGGCTGGTCGCGAACTCCCAACCTCAGTTGATCTGCCTGCCTCAGCCTCCCAAAGTGCTGGGATTACAGGCGTGAGCCACCATGCCCGGCCAATTCCTTGGTCCTTTAGATCCACACCAGAATACATCATCCTGGGACTGGGATGGGGTTTTGTGTCATGAGTCAGAGATTGGCTTAAGAATGAAACAGAAGAGAAATGATACTTTTTAAGTGGGGGATGTCAGTAGCAGAGTCCAGTACAAAATGTGGGTAACATCAGCAGCTTCCAAGTGATGAAATGTCAGGCGAGCTATTGCGTATGGCCCAAATAAGTGTAGCATCACTTTACCCTGGATATGCAAGGACACACATTTAGGGGAAAATAAAGTCATATCCACAAATGGGGAGTTGCCAGTGCTCTGACATAACCCAGTAAATCTAAGGCGCTGTTAGAAATGTTCCCTTAAAGGTTTTGAGCCTGTATGCTGGTTTGGCCAAAACAAACAGCCAGATAGCCAGGCATTATTGCAAGGGGGCTGGAGACAACACGGTCCCGGCCTTGGGAAAACCAGATGGATGGCCTGTTGTTCCTTCTTTAAGGGATTGTCTTTCTGAAGTGAGATGAAATATCTACCTGGATCCCAGGACAGAAAGGAAAAAGTGATGGGGGGACATCCCAATTGTGAATCCCCCTCTCCCTTAAGGCTGCCATAGGGTAACATGTGGATTTCATCTCCAAGTCCCTGAAATCACAACAAGAGAGAAGGGGAGCCCCTGAAGGCAGCCAAAAGAAACTGTAGCACAAATGAAAGTAAGTGCTATTTACACAGCAGGAAGTAAACTTATGTGGAACTGGGAACCCCCAGAGGTGGCACAAGCTAAATCCGGGAAGAGAGTTGGGAGGATGTGAAAGTGTTCGTGGATGGCGGGCTGCTTGGCCAGCTCTGCAGTCCACATCAGGCAGAAAACCATTTCTTCCTGGAGACACCAAGGCGATCTCAGAGACAGAGGGGCTCTCTGCTGCTCCGATCCTGAATGTTCTCCTCGGCGGGTCTTTCCACTGTCCACGTTCACCTTGTCTTGTCCTGAGAGCGAAGGTGTCTCTGGTCATCCTCTCTCAGTTATAACCCTTCAGACACCTGAGGACTTTGCTTCTTCCCCCGCCTCCCATCCCATTTATCCCATTGTTCTTTTCCAGCCTGCAGAGCCCCAGTGCTTTGTCCCTTCTTTTCAAGACATTCTTTGTGTCTTGCGTCTCCCTCTCTGAACCGCCTTCGGAGCCACTGTGCGATGGCTCACAGGGCAGGCTGAAGATGGCCAAGCAAGACCTGGGCAGGAGGACGAGCATGAAGGGAGCCAGGTGACATTTGAGGTTGCACAGAAGGGGTGGAAACAGAGCAGCCCAGAGCTGCAGGATGTGGTAACAGGTGTAAAAGGGGCCTGGAATAGTGGCAGCACTAGCCTCCTCTCCTCTTGTTTTACCCTTTGCTCAGTTGAGCTGAACATGCATTTATTGAGCACCTATTTACTCCCCATCACGCAAGGCCCTGAGGATGAATGCCTCTTCTGACACGAAGCTGGCTGTCCATGCCTCTCCACCCCTGGAGGCTGCCCAGCGGAGGGGTCTGCTCCCAGCCTTCTATCACACTGAAATGTTTAGAACGCTGGTCCTGGGAGATGGACCTAACCCACCACCGAGAGTCTCTTTCTGCCCAGACCCTGTCATTCTCTGGCAGTTACCTATTTAGCTGTAAGGTTTTCAGGAACATAACTCTAATCACCAGTCTATGGGAGTCTATTAAAAGAAAAAACCTAGCTCTGTCATCATGGGCTTGTACAGCCCAGGGTTGATTTTCTTCCTTTCTGAAGTGTTTGGGATGCTGCACGGGTCCCTGTGGCCCTACGCCCCGCCTCCCCAGCCTGCCTGTGAACATTGAGCTGCTCGCTTCCCCAGCTCAGTGAGTGGTTCTTTTCAGGGGCAACCGACTGCACAGAGATTCCTGAGCCATGATCTCATCGGCTCATGAGAGGCCGAGCACGTCCACCCACCGACTCGCATGGGACAGAGAAGGGCACCCTGGGGCCCAGGTGGGGCCAGGCCTGGTTCAAGGGTTTGCCCTTTGGGTTAGTGCCAGTGCTGGTGGAGTTGCCCTCTGCCTATAATTCTGTCTCCTGCGTCAGTCTGCAAACTCAGCTGTGGGTCCCTGCCTGGGGGCAGGACTGGCTGGCTGGTTCCGCATCTGCCATCACTCCACTGGGGGCCATTCACAGAGCCCCTAGGACACAGTCTTGCAGAGGTGGTCTGGCCCTGGCTCAGATGCCTTGCTGCCCACACTCCTACCTCCAACATCCCTTTAGTCGGCAAATATTTATTGAGTGACAACTGCAGTGCTTCCCAAAGTGGGCCCATGGAGCCCTTGGATCGCAACCATCTGGAGGGATGGCTAAAATGCTGGCTTCTGGGCATTGTGCCAAGCCTAGTGCATCAGAATCTCTGGGGTGGGGCCTGGAGACCTGCATTTTAATTGGTTCTCCCCAGTGAGACTTTTGTACTCTAGTGTTTGAGACTTGCTGACTGTGGTGGTTAATTTTATATGTTAATTTGGGTGGGCCACTGTGCCCAGATATTTGGTCAGACATTATTCTGGATGTTTTTGTGAGGGTGTTTTTGGATGACATTAACATTTAAATCCTAGGAGCATGAGAGGCTGGCTAGGTAGAGCTGTAGTCCCTGTTGCCAGCCCTGACTCTTCTCTGGGTAGAGGGTTCTGATCCTGATGCTCTCCATAAGACAGGACTGAGTTCTAGGAGTGCCAGACTTAGCAAGTAAAAATATAGGTTGTCCAATTACATTTGAATTTCAGGTAAGCAACAAAGAGTATTTCGGTATGAGTATGTCTCATGCAATATTTGGGATGCACTTATGCTAAAGAATTATTTGTCATTTATTTGCAATTCGTTTATTATTCAGCGATCCTGCAACAGCTCTGGACACCTTCCTCCTCCAGCACGGAGTCAGGGATTACTTTCTGTTAACCATATGGCCCTTTACAAAGGGCTTTCTCAAATGTGATCTCATTCAATCCTTGTAAGAGTGGGACAGGAAGGCATAGTAGGCATCCTCCTCCTCCTCCTCATTTCATAGCAGGAGCTGAGCCTAAGAGACTGTCAGTTTCCCACCTGGGATCAGAGAGGCCCTGACTGCACAGTGTAACCATCTGGAGGGCTTTTTTTCTTTTTCAAGACAGAGTCTCACTCTGTTGCCCAGGCTGGAGTACAGTGGCCCGATCTTGGCTCACTGCAATCTCCACCTCCCCGGTTCAAGTGATTCTTGTGCTTCAGCCTCTCGAGTAGCTGGGATTACACGTGCGTGCCACCATGCCTGGCTAATTTTTGTATTTTTAGGAGAGACCGGGTTTCATCATGTTGGCAAGGCTGGTCTCGAACTCCTGACCTCAAGTGATCTGCCCGCCTTGGCCTTCCAAAGTGCTGGAATTACAGGTGTGAGCCACCGCGCCTGGCCCCGGAGGGCTTTTAAATCACTCAGATGTGTTTGTGTGATGTATATGATGTCTGCAACTTACTTTGAAATGCATCAAAAAATAAAATGGATAAGTGCATGGGTAGATAGATGTGTGATAAAGGAAATACAGCAGAATGTTGGTGACAGAATCTAGATGGCGGGTATACAGGTGTTCACTGTGCAGTCTTTTAACTGTTTTGTATGTTTGAAAATATTGATAATAAAATGTTGGGAGACAAAAAAACATGGATGCACAGGCCCAACCCCAGATCAATTAAATCAGAATCTCTGCAGGTGAGGCCCAACCAGCTGTATTTTTTCAAAGCCACCCAAGTGGTCTGATCTAACCCATCATTTCTCTCTGTGTACCAAGCATCACCTGTAGGGTACAGGTACCTTACATCAGTGGTTCCCCAACTGAGTGTGCAATAGAGTCTGGAGGGCTGGTTAAAACACAGATTACTGGGCCCTGCCCCCAGACTTTCTGATCTAGTAGGTCTGGGGTGAGGCCTGAGAATTTGCATTTTAAACAAGTTCCCAGGAGGTGCAGATGCTGCTGGTCCTAGGAGCACATTTTGAGAAGCACTTCTTGCATCTGCACAGCCCAACACAGGGTGAGGAAGTGATGAGAGTGTATAAACCACATGCTGCATCTGTCAGCAGAGGAAGCCATTGGCTGCGTGAGGGTCAGAAGGAGCTTCATAGATGAGCTGGCATTTGGGAGAGGGCATTCTACAGGGACGGGCAAGCAGAAGCGAAGGGATCGAGGTGGGCAAGTGCATGACATGAAGAGTTTCTAGATTTGGGATGTGTTGAGGAGGTTGGATGGAGGGGGAATGGCCAGAGAGGGGGCAGGAGAGGGAGTCTGAGGCAGATGGAGAGTCCTTGCTATGCAGGGTGTTTGGATTTGGTTGTGTAGGCAGTGGGGAGCTGGTGGGGGTTTTAAGCAGCAGAGTAATGTGACCAAATCATTGCTGTAGACTGTGTTCTGGCAGCTTTGTGTAGGATGGATTGGAGAGGAGAGATGAAAGATAGGAAGCGTACTTAGGAGGCTATTGTGAGCGTCTGGAGAGAGAGATGGAAGGTCTGCATAATCACAACACTAATAATGATGATAAAATAGTGACTGACATTTATTGAGTGTTTTCTAGGTGCCAGACAGTGCTATGTGCTTCCGCAAACATTATCTTTTAATCTTCACAACTGCCCTGTGTGGTTTTACGGTTGAGAGAACTGACTCAGAGAGGCTAAAGGAGCCTGGGCTGGGATTTGAGCCCAGGGCTGCATGTTTTGTGGTGTGAGTGCTCAGTGTCGACCCAGGCTGTGCCGAGGCAGGGGGGTGGTGGGGAGGAGAAGTGGGAGAGCAGGTCTCTGCCTTGGTCTCCGCCTCCTCAGGCAGACATCCGTGTTCCCTGGCTCAGGGGCTCATCGTCCTTCCTTCCTCTGCCAAGGCTGAGGCGCAGCTGGACAGGGGAGCATCCATCACACTCCTTTCCCGCCAGCCAGCAGCGGCAGCTCTCCTGGCAGGCAGGGGATCAGCTGTGCCTCTCCTTACTCCACTGCTCCTCACCCCTGGACCCAGGGCCCACCCTCCATCTCTCCTTGTCTGGTGCTGCCCACGTCTGCCTGCAGACCACACCTGTGAGCACTTGACTAAGTCTTCTGGTAAGAAAATGACACGGTTTCCCACTCCCTTCCATTTCTCTGCTGTCCTTGTGGGCCTGAGCAGAGGACACTTCCAGGCTCCCTCCCCAGAATTCTTGCATTTCAGATGCTCCTCCAACAGGCCTCTATGAAGATAACTCTATTCCAGTTCCATTGTGGAAAAGGAGAGCTGGGGGTGGGGGCTGGGCCTGCAGGGTGAGTCATAGATAAAGTCCTGCAAATAGTAAGCCTGTTAGCTGTTATTCTTATTATAACTGAGCTCTATGAATATGGAACTTAAGGGGCTTGGCACCAATGGCCAGGTTTAAAGAGAGACATTCATTAAGCACTGGAAGGGTTTTGTCAGCCCTTGACCATCTTTCTGTCTCCAAGAAGGGCTTCGTTTATACCAGATCAGAAAGAGCTCACTGTGCTTCTCTTAAAGACCCCCCTCCCCTTCTCTTCCCACCCCCTGGCCCAGGGCTGGAACTCTCTATTCTGCCCACAACCAAGCCCCATGGCCTGCTCAGCTCCTGGACACCATCCACCTGAGAAGTCCTCAGGCACGTGTCCCTGCCTCACTCTCCCCAACCCATATACCCAAACCCAGAAGGACCAGTCAGCTGCCTTGTAGGTGCTCAGGGCTGGGGCAGCAGTGAGGCTGCATCATTGCACCTGCAAAGAAGCTTTGAAGGAATGATCTGGATCTCAGGCATGTGCGCAGGCGAGTGTGCACCCACGTACACATTCCTATGTCTGGGGCAGTAGTGGTGGTGGAGTCCCAGGCCTGGCCTTCACTCAGACCTGTCTTTCACCTGTGTGTGTGCAGGAGCGAGGGGGCTCACCTGGCAATGGGAGTAGGGCTGGGAGCAGTTCCCAGAAATGCTTCTGGCCAGGGCTGGACAGTGGGTTTGTGCTGGTCCTTGTTCTTTCTCCCAGCCTCCACTCTACATCAGCCAACCACCTGCCGGCTTCTCCCTCCCCGCCTGCAAGCATGTGTCACATGGCGGGAGCAGATGGGGGGTGGTGTGCCTGGGCTCTCTCTCCCCTCAGCCAGCCATTTGCTCTCCAGATGGATCTGGGCACTGACAGGGTGTACATTCGGGGAACGGCAGCCTGCTCCTAGACGGCCCGAGGCTGTGCCCTGCTGAGCTGGAACACAATTATGTTCTGGAAGTTCAGGCATCTGAGCTGGCAGGACCCAGAGTACCAGGTATTGGGCCTGGTGAAGAAGACTCACAGCCCTCCAGAAGGAAATCCTGAAAGGGTTTAAGGAATTTCTCCCTACCTTCTCCTCCCTCTCTGCCCTTCCCCACTCCCATACCTCTGCCCCTCTGTCCTGGGCTCCACACTTGGTGGGTTGCAGATTCCCAGAGTGGGACAGGGAGGCTCCACATTGCCTGCCCTCCTTGGGAATCTACAACCCCCCAAGTTTGCAGCATCGTTCAGCTCCAACACAGACCCCAGACACTTTCCCTTCACTGTTTCACTTACTGCACAAACACCATCATAACTGCGATAACATAAACCAAAAGGAACAAAACTCTGTCCATTTCACGACCTTCACAGATGAACTGGCCTCAGTGTTCTTTATTCCCTTCTGGTCTCTGTTGACGTTCCACCCCTCCTCACTCATTTTCTTTTTTCCTCTCTAAAAGAGGAAAGGGAGCAGACTGCGGCACCCTCCACTGCCCGCCAGGCTGGACCCCACTCATCTTGGGGTGGGGGTTTGAGGTTCTGCTTTTGGCTGGTCACATGGCAGAGGCTGAGTTGGACTAGCTTATGTCCTCTGGGTTAGCAGCTCATTGGCTGCCTCTCCTCAGGGCACTAGAGGCCCAGGGCCACTTGGCACCTAGACTAGAAGCTAGGGGTGTAAAGGGAGAGAAGGACATAAACATAGCCTGAACACAGGCTGGAGTCAGGGGCTCAGACTGGGATGATAGTCCATCATTTCTCTTTCCTGCCCCAGTCTCAATACTGCCCACTCCCCAAAGAGAGTATTATGAGTGATTTTTCTGGAGACCTTGGGATCTAACTATGGTTACCTCTTAGATTTCCAAAACAAGGTGTATAGACACTCTGAATGACCTGTCATTAATCTGTAGGGGTTCTCCCACAGTTTCCAGGCTCCCAGCTCCCAGTGGCTGGGGACCTTATCCAGTGTGAGCCATCACGGCTTGACTTGGGGAATAAGAGTGTTTCTGGGAGCCTGGATAGGCTGCGGGGTGGGAAGGCAGACCTGGGCTAACTTCCCACTCTGAGCATTTGGATCTGTAGCTGCTCTCAGGGCCTCTGGCTTCTCATCAGTTAAATGGGAGCCATGACAAGCCTTCTGCAGACTTCACAGGGAATCTGATGGCATCGTGGTTGTGAAGAGTAGCAAGGACCCATCCACATGAAGGGGATTTGCATGATTCCTGACACTACCTTTCTGCTGGTCACCTATGCTGCACCCAGCGCAGCATCCCAACAGCTCTTACCGACTCAGGTGGGGGTCTCTCTCCCCAGTGCTGGCCCAGTTACATCTGTGGGATCATCTGGAGCCAGTGGTTAAAGGGCTGAGTAAAGTCAAATAATAGCACAGATAATGCAAAACAGGGTGTGATTCAAGAACAATTTTTAATTTTAATTTTATTTGACTCATATTTCAAGGGTGACTGATCCAGGCTGAGTTTTGCACACACATAACTGGATGAGGGGAGAGATCTGGAGTGTGCCACATGCCAGGGAAAAGGGCTGGCATGCTTTATACATGGGCAGCAGAACCATTTGTGTTACCATGTGGCTTGGAGTTGCACTGATTTAGATACATCTTAAGTCACTGCACACTCTCCATAACATTAGTTCCTGACTCCAAAAAGTCTGTTTCTGCTACTTTCCTGGAAAAGCAGGGGAGACCAGTGTTAGAGAGAGCTTTCACCAACTGTCGGCCTATTCCTTGTCACCACAGACAGTGGAGTAAGAGGGTTTAAGTTGCAGCAAGAGGAAAAGTAAGTCAGGTAGTGGCAGAGCTTCCTACCTGGAGCAGTGAGGGACTCCTCAAAACTCTCCACACTGGAGAAGTGACCCAGCCATGGTGGATCGATCAGCGGATCCATGTGGACAACAAGCGTTTGTTGAGTGCTTGTTCCGCTCTCAGTGCACAAGTATCTCACCTTCACAAGTCTGTGAAGAAGTTGTTATGATTGCTGTTGTTGTTGCTATCATTATTCTCTCTGTTTCAAAGAGAAGGGAGGCAGCGGGGCCCAAGGATGCAGAACACGGTGCCTGTTGCTCCCACTGGAATCATGTCTATTGACGAGTTCAGGAGTGGCTGACATCAGGGCTTGCACCATGGCTTCCCATTCCAAGTCCATGCTCTTCTCACCGTGCCGCACCTGCCTTCCAGAAAGCCTTGGGGAAGGCTCCTTGGGCAGAGGCCCACCAGCACCCATGCAGCAATAAGTGTGTGAACACCTTCCCCACTGGGCATTCAGGAGGAGAGACTCACTTTCATTCATTCAATAGACACGGGCTGAGGATCCAGAGGTAAATAAGACCTTATTCTTGCTGGCTCTTGGCAGACCTGTTAATATCTTTGCTTCATGCCCCATGATGGATTTGGAAAACATTTCCGATCAATTACCTGAAGCAGAATTATCACCTGCCACATCTCCCTTCTCAAGGCTGGCTGCTTTATGAGTGTCTACACTTTCAACCATGAGTGGGCACATTAGTGCCTTTGGCTAAGAGCAAAGATTCCCATAGTCCCTTTGGTTAAGAGCAAAGATTCCTTGCACTTTGTTCCACCATTCAGTCATTCTCTCATTCAACAAATAATTCAGCGTCTCTTATGTGACTGGTGCTGGGTTAGCAGCTAGGGATATAGCACTGAGCAAAACAGACATGGTTCCTGCCACCAGTTTGCAGACATTAACCAGATAATTCTCCCATCCTGCTCTGATGTATTCCCAAGGACTAAGGTGGTTTGTTCAGGAGTGACTTCCTCAGGCCTGGCACTTCCAGGGCACTATGCTGCCCCAGGGTCAGCCCTCCTGTCTCCTGGGAATTATAGGCCACTGGGTAGTGCTCCAGGACCAGGTCTTTATTGATCATTCCCTTTGGAAGGAGGCAAAAGACTCTCCCCTCTCCAAGCCTTCTGGCTCTTGATCCAGCCCTTCCTGTGAAATGCCCCTGATGGACAAACTTAGAAGGGTCCCTAAAGGGAAGGCTATTCTGCTCAACCCCCAGAAAGAGGGTATATTTTGCAAAGAGGCCCTGTTTCTCTGGGCAGTTTGATGATTTGGGAAAAGCATGGGCACTGGAGTTAGGCTGATGTAGATTTCCGTCCCAGAATTGTCCTTCCTAGCTGTGCGACCTTGGGCAAGTCATGAACATCTCTGTGCCTTAGATCCTCAGCAGTAAAGTAGGGGCAATAATACCTACCTTGCAGGAAGGCTGTGATGATTAAACGAGATGTTCATGAAATATTTGCCATTTAATAGATGTGTCTCACCCTTTCTTCTGACTTTTAACTTCTAAAGGACATGATTACCTCTTGAGCTGACACCAAAAAGAGGCTTGCAAATACTAAAAGGTAAGGAGGTGGGAAGCTCTCTTATTCTCTAGCTGCTGGGCTATAGCAGTGGTTCCCAAAGTGCGGTCCCTAGACCGTAAGCATCACCTGGGAACTTGCTAGAATTGCAAAATCTTGGGCTCCACCCTAGATTGACTGAATGAGAAACTCTGGAGAAGGGGCCCAACAATCGGTTGTAACAAGCCCTCCAGGCAATTCTGATGCACATTAGTGTGAGAACCACGAGGCTGGAGACTGCAATCCAGTTGTCAGAGGGCCAAATTCTTTCATAGATGTGTTTTGTTTGGCCTCTGTCATCAGCTGGAGCTGAGGAGCAGCTGTCCCTGAGAAGTGATGGTGCCCTCCTGAAGGGGTTCACAGTCCTGGCTCTGCCATTCCGTTTTGTGTGACACCAGCTGGCCTCACTTGGCTGCCCACCTGCTGTGGGCACCCATATTTGCAGCCCGGGCTCTAGGTCAGGGGCAAGTGTGGTTTCTGAGCCCTAGAGAAGTAGCAGTTCTGCTTCAGCTGGTCCTGAACATCAGCCGAGACACGGAGCCACCCAACTCTGCAGGAAATAGGAACAGGGTGGACAGCTTTCTAATTCCTGAAACCAGCAGCCAGGTCCTGCTGGTTGAGCTTCAGTATTTGGCTTGAAGTGTTGTGAATTCCCAGCACATAACACACACCCACATTCAACTGTAAGTCCAAAAATACCTTCCACAGCCAAATAGAGATGATTCTTACATTCCCCACTACCTCAGATTATCTGCCTCGCTGCTCTCTGCCACCCCCGCTGTTGGCACAAACTAATAAGCAGTGACTTTCCCTGCGTCAGGGAACTTGGGAAAGCAGAAGGGGCCAGTGACTTCAACACCCGCAGCAGTGAGTGGGACACAGAAATATCAATGCAGGTGGGTGCCAGGAAGGCTGGAGTGACCTAGGGGCTGTGATGTCCATGAGGTGGAGCAGAATGGGAGTGGAGCTGGGAGCTCTCATTGGAGACACTGGAATAGAGAATTACGATCAGAGGCCCTGGCAGTAGCAGGCATACTGACCAGGAGAGAGAAAGAAAATGCATCCAGGACACAGCACGGGATAGGACGCAGGGAGGAAGCTCTGGGCAGTGGGAGAGGAACTGGGCTGGACTCAGCTTTGGATACAGGGAATCAGGAGGAGACCTGGGTGGTATCCCTTCTCTGTGCCCCCACAGCCAGGAGAGAGCACCTTCACCTTCCTTCCTGGTGAATCTGTCTCCAAAGCATCCCTGGAAGGAGGTGGGAAGCAGGCTGACTAAAAGCATGCGCTTTGGCATCAAAGAGATCTGAGAGCAGATCCGGCTCTGCCACTTCTGGTGTGACTTTGGACAGGCCACCCAACCTCTCTGAGCCTCAGTTTCCTCATCTGAAAAGAGGCAGTAAAGCTTATTTTATAGCCATATGGTGAGGATGAAATGAGATCACATTTGAAAAATAATTAGCACACTGTCTGTCATAGAAAAAAGAACAGGAGAAAGCTTAGATATAATTAAAATTATTCGAGCACAGAACCCATGTATTTTCACCAGAAGTCCTGGTATCTGGGATTTCACAAGTTGGGGATCATTGGTGAGAAAAATTGAGTCAGACGTAAGCATTGGTAAGTGAACAGAAGATGTTAGAATGCTCAAAAGAGGGGATCCCCAAAGAGAGAAAATGACCTGCCCCAAGACTTATGGCCCATAGCCTTTATTAGGACCCTTGAATGTTGGCTCATGTGGCAGAAAAGATGTAAGAATGTCCTGACAGTGATGGGTACCAAACCCAGCTGAGGTCACCAAGAGATGTGGCTGGAGTAAAGCTACCCTGGACTGAAGGAGGAAGTGTCTTGCCTGGTGCCTGGAGGATGGACAGGATGACCTCAGATGCCCACAGAGACATTATTAACCATAGGAAGATCCAAACTGACCTGATTTCCACTGCCCTTTCATTTCTACTGGAAAGAAATGTATTTCCAGTAGTGTTGGGGCGGGCGTTGGAGTAGGATACATATAGTGCAAACAGCTGCTTCTCCCACCCTTCCAATCTAAGAGGCACAGCACCTTGGGGCTGGATCCCCATCCTATCCCGCTACTAGGTCACCCCCAAGGCGACCGTCCCTCTCTGACTCAGGTTCATTGCCTCTAGGGAGGCAAACCCTGAAAAAAGAGCCTGGGGTTGGTGATTTGCATCCATGAATTTCTGTCTCTTCACCTGTGTAAATGGTCCAGAGGAGAATAAAGCAGACCATAATTATCGCAATTATAATGAGAGAGGAGTGGCATAGATGCAGAAGTATAATCCAAATTAAACTGTGAAGGAGGTAGCTACATCACCTCCCAAGGCCCTTTTTACACTAATACTCTGTGAGTCTCTGAGCCTAAACCATCCTGGGGGCCCAATTCTGATAATGTGGTGACATGAAGACCAATTGATTTTTGGATTTACAGTTTTCTGGGAAAGTGTTGCTGGGCCTTGGAGCGGATCTGCACATTTTCTGGAGAGAAGGTGGTAGCCGGGGAGGTCAGGAGAGCGTGGAACACGTGCTAGCTCTGGTCAAGGCTGCAGTCCTTGGGCGGGCTGAGGGCTGGGCCCGGTGCATGGTCTCTTGTGCACGCAGAGTGAGTGAGAGGGCAGAGCCCTGGGCCAAAAGAGAAGTCTGCAGAGCTTAGTCTTGACACCAGCCTACTTCTTCCCCTACCTCCTTCTCAGTCCTCCTCTGGGAAGGCAGAAAGGGCCTAAGGGCCTATCTCAGGCCAGGTTTCCCTGGAAGAAGCAAAGCCTGAGCAGAGATTCTTGAGCAAGTGACTGAGCAGGTAGTGTCCTCCAGAAGAACCAGGGTAGAGCACAGGATGAGGCCAAGGCTACATGATCCCACGATCTCATGATCCCACGAGGAGCCCTGGAGCATGAATGGCACCACAGAATCCATTGCACCTGGAGATGTGGGGGCTGGGCTCCTATACTCCTCTGTCAGCTGGTGATTACCCAAGAGCTTTGGAATGGTGGTGAGGGTTGTAGTCTCCAGGAGTCTGCACTGGGTTAAGGGCAGGCCTCTGGAGAAGGTTGCAGGTGTGAACCATTAACAGCCAGTCTGGATGGGTGCACCCACCCACAAATGGGGCAGGCACCAACAGCACCTGCTACTCTTTCTCTCCTAGGAAATGCCACGTTAATTCAACTCGAGAAGATCCTTGCTTACTTCTGAAGATAGTTTAGAAGTCGTGTGGGGGTAGTTAGGAGGAGGAAATCTAAGGTCCTTCACCACCCTAAAATCTACAAGATTACATTCAAAAGTGAATAATTGCTGCGATAATTCTTCCAAGATTTGTCACATTTAAAGGCTTATTATAATAAACATTCTTAAGGCTGGGCACAGTGGCTCACGCCTGTAATCCCAGCACTTTGGGAGGCCGAGTCAGGCAGATCACCTGAGGTCGGGGGTTCAAGATCAGCCTGACCAACATGGAGAAACCCCCGTCTCTACTAAAAATACAAAATTAACCGGATGTGGTGGCGGGCGCCTGCAATCCCAGCTACTCAGGAGGCTGAGGCAGGAGAATCGCTTGAACCCAGGAGGCAGAGGTTGTGTTGAGCCAAGATAGCACCATTGCATTCCAGCCTGGGCCACAAGAGTGAAACTCCATCTCTAATAATAATAATAATAATAATAATAATAATAATAATAGTAATAGGCCGGGTGTGGTGGCTCACGCCTGTAATTCCAGCACTTTGGGAGGCCGAGGCGGGCAGATCACGAGGTCAGGAGATCGAAACCATCCTGGCTAACATGGTGAAACCCCGTCTCTACTAAAAATGCAAACAAAAAATTAGCTGGGCGCGGTGGCGGGGGCCTGTAGTCCCAGCTACTTGGGAGGCTGAGGCAGGAGAATGGCGTGAACCCAGGAGGCGGAGCTTGCAGTGAGCTGAGATCACGCCACTGCACTCCAGCCTGGGTGATAGAGCGAGACTCCGTCTCAAAAAATAATAATAATAATAATAATAATAATAATAAACATTCTTACAATGAATTTCCATGCTGAGTTGGCACTCCCATCACACAAAACTGTTGCTGAGAGTGGTTGTTTCACTTAAGGTGACCCAGCTAGTCAATGTAGTCCATGTCTGATAGTACAATTTCAGGCAGTACTACAGACTTCTGGGACTATTCTTTTTAGGAGGGGCTCTTCTCTGAGCAACTCTTTAAGTCACAAACCTCTTTGCACCCTCCAAAGCATCAACTTCAAATGAAAACATTTATCAACTGTCTTCAGTGTTCAAGACACTGGTAGGTCCTGGAGGCTGAAAAAGGAAGTGGTATCTGCCTCCCAGGGTTTGCAGTCAAACCAAGAGCCATATTTGGAGCAAATGGGGAGGTTTGATTAAGTGCCAAATAAGAGTGTGGGGGGCATCATGGGAAGTGGGGAGGAGGAGGGAACTTCTAAAGGGGAGAGGTGTTCCAGCATGGCCTTCTGAGAAGGGTCTGGAATCAGAGAGATTCAAGTTAGCTGCTGGAGGGTCCCTTCCTTCCAGCTGGTTGTCGCTGGGCCACCTGTGCCAAGAAGTGGCACATCCAGCCATTCATGTATCCACACAAACCTGTGTCGGCTGAGCTCCCACTGTCTGGCAGACTCTGAGAGGACTCCCTCAGAGCTCCCATCTCATGTAGCCATGGCCCACTCTACTATCTGCTTTCCAGTTCTTAATCCTGGGTCCTGGGCCATCCAGATTGGGAGGCGCTCTGAGCAGCATGTCTGCTCTTCACTTTACCCCACTCTAATTAAATAAGTGGTTACTTACTTATCTCCCTAGAGAGAAGAGGTTTTAGGGTAGGGAGTGTATCACTTAGGAATGCTTTTGGATGCATGTAACAGAAAACACCATCTACAATAACTTTAAACAGAGAGATTCATTTAATCACTTCACAAGAGGTTTCGGAAGTGGCAGCAGCTGCTGGTCTTTGCTCACTGGCTCAACAGCATCAAGGTATTCTGTTGCCCTCTTGGCTTGTCTCTTGTCTTATGGTTAAAACAGGGCTGCTATAGCTCAAGACATCACATTCAAATGCAAGGGAGGAAGGTGGAGAAAGGAAAGGGATTGGTGCCCACTGAGTCTATCTCTTGTAAGGAAGACAAATGTCTTCCCAGAGCCTGTAGCAGACTTCTGCTTATTTCTCCTTGGTCAGACCTGGGCACCTGTAACTTCAAAAGAGGCTGAAGAAGCAAGTGTCTCACCTGAGGCTGGGAACATTGCCACTCTGTGCAATGTGGGAGTTTATTATCGAAGACAATGGGGGAATGAATTTCAGGGAGGCAATCATGTTAGCCACAAAGAGAGCTGGGGACTTCCTTGTATAATCCGAGGCACTGAGCTCCTGCCCCCAGCTCCTGCCCAAGAAACTTCTGGACAGTCCCTACCACTGAAACGTCAAGCTGCTTCTTCCTAGTCTGTCCTTAGATGAACCTTGAGAACATTATGCTAATTGAAGTAAGCCAGTCACAAAGCTACCCTACTGTCCTCTTCCCTCCAGCACATGGAATCAAACACCAGCCTCCTCACCCTCCCTCCCTGACTCAGCCAGGAGGCTGTTCTCCTGGTTTCTGCTCAGTTTCACCCACTGTGGAGCCCCTCTGGGAAAGTTAAAGGGAGGGAGAATGAAAGAGGAGGGAGAGTGTTAATTAAACACCAGATGTTTAACTCTGTTAATTAATGGCTCTGTCACCCTGAGTGGCAGCAGCCTTCTCTTCTCTGTCTCCTTCACCCTCACTATTCTCTTTTTCTCTGGAGGGCCTTGAGTTTGAAGCTAAAGAACTCAACATTTGTTCAATGGGGCCTTGAGACCAGCAAAGGGTAAAGGGAGAAAGCTGGCTAGGGCAACCCAGGAAGAGCGGGTTCCCTTGTCCAGGAGGGAGGCATGGACATTTTGGCAGTAGGAATGGAAAGAAGGAACAGTGGGAGAGAGAGACCAAAGCCCAGAGGTCACAGAGAGACATGTTTTGTTTGGTGCACATAGGGATTTCAAAAAATGCAAGTGGTTGCAAGCATTTAAACATGGGAAAATTTTCACATAAATCTAGATGTGCAGATCTTCTTTAAAAATAGGCAGGTCTGGGCCTGTGTCCTCACACAGCAACAGTTAGCTGGTGGAAAGTAGAGCTGCGTAGCTGGTAGCTGTCCTACCCAGAAGAAACGTGTGTCCTCCCATCCTCCTCTGCCCCCACCCCACATACTTGGCTCATATGTCACATGTCACCTGCCATCCCATCTGGGGTTGGGATCCACTGAGGTACAGGTGCCAGGACTCGACAATGGGTTGCCTATAGGAGAAGACAGAGAGGAGAGCCTGAGAATGTTGAAACGTGAGTCAGGATATTTGGGGAAATTGTAGGACCAATGACAGAGATGAGGAACATGGGAGGAGCAGGTTAAGGGAGAAAAATGGCAAATTTATTTTGGGCAGGCTGCAGTAGTGATGCCTGGATGACATGGAGACAGAGGCGGCCTGGTGGTCTGGAGTCCGGAAGAGAAGGGCTGGCAATCTGCGGAGCTAGTGGGGCAGGGGTGGAAGTGGAAGCCCTGGGGAGAGAGGGAGGGAGGGAGGCTGAGACCACCCAGTATTGGCTACAGTGAGAGAAGAGGGAATTGAGGATAGAAACTTTGAGAACCACACATTTGGGAGAAAGAACCAGAAAGAAAAGTTAGGGCCAACTGAGAGGGTAGAAAGAACCTGGACTTTGTAACAACAGAGAAGTAGAAACAGGGTTCAATATTTTTATGGCACCTTCCTCTATATGATCTGTTTTAATGCCCAAGTGATATTTCCAGAAAGCCAAGGGAGTCAAATGTTCTGCTCCTCCCGATGCCCCGTGTTCTCTGTCTCCCTTCTTATCTGCTACAGCTGGCTCCCCAACGACACACAAAATCAGCCACTTATATCACAGCCTTTTAACCTCTTTCAGGCCATTTGGATTCTTATCTCTATTAACTTTAGAATAAAATCAGCCACTTATATCACAGCTTTTTCTTTTCTTTTTCTTTTTCTTTTTCTTTTTTTTTTTTGAGTCAGAGACTCGCTCTGTTTTCCAGGCTGGAGTGCAATGGCACAATCTTGGCTCACTACAACCTCCGCCTCCTGGGTTCAAGTGATTCTCCTGCCTCAGCCTCCCAAGTAGCTGGGAATACAGGTGCGGACCACCACACCTGGTAACTTGTTTGTTAGTAGAGATGGGGTTTCACCATGTTAGTCAGGCTGGTCTCGAACTCCTGATCTCAAGTGATCTGCCCACCTCGGCCTCCCAAAGTGCTGGGATTACAGGCATGAGCCACTGCACTCGGCCAGTTTGGATTCTTATCTCTAATAACTTTAGAGGGAAAGGCTTGGTCTGTAATTGAAAGTTTCATTAGCATCCCAGAAATGACCTGCTAGGTAAGCAATAGCCCCTGGTGCTGTCTGCTCATCTCGTTGAGTATGTAGGAGGGATGCAGCTTCTGTGACCAACACAGACACACATACGACTCTTTGCCACCCTGAAAAGTCTCTGCTCTCTGTGAGTGGCCAAAAGAATGGGGCTTTGGGGTCAGAGTGCCCTTGGGCCAGATCGGACCTGTAGCCACCCATTGTGACTTTTCCCTCCTCTCTAGCCTCCCTAGTTTATACACGTGTCAAATGAGAGTAAGGGTGGTGTGTGCATTAAATAGGATAATTTTCATGGGGGGTCAGGGGGTTGGGGAAGCTGGGGCAGAGTCTGAGCCCATCACCCCAGTCTGTGGTTCTTTCTGTCTCCCTCTGACACCACCAGCACAGAAAGCAAGGCAGCAGATGTTACTGGTCTCACTTCATTTCCATAGATTTACAAGCATCCCTTTATGTGTTACTGAAAAATTGGGTGTAAATCCTATTTTAGGAACACAGTGGAACTCATTACTTAAAGAACACTTTGGAAAATCCTTTTGGGAAGTGAATAATGATCACCTTGTGTGCCGGTGTTGATGAATTTCTTTTTGTTGTAGTGCAGTTCACCTGGAAGTTCTTCCCGCAATCTCCCCTTTCCATTTTGTGGCCGTCCTCTTTCTCACGGGACAGACCCTGTTCTCCTTTCCTGTGCCTGTCATTTCCACATCTCTGCTCCTCCCTCTCCACCACCCGCCGGGCCTGCATGTCGGGCTTCCCGATGTTCCTCCAGCAGTAGCTCCTTCTTCCCTGAGACCATGTGGCCATGACTGGCCGGGATCCATTTGCTGGCTGCTACTCCTTCTTCAGAAATTCAGTCACAGATGAGTCTCTGGATGCCAGAAATGTGTTTGCCAAGTGGGAATGACTGAGCGGGAGTCCCTAGGGTGAGTGTGGCAGGCAGAATAATGGCTCACCAAAGATGTCCATGTCCTAATCCCTAGAACCTGTGAATATGGTGCCTTACGATGCAAAAGGGAATTTGCAGATGTGATTCAGTCAAGGACCTTGAGGTAGGGAGATTATCCTGGATGATCTAGATGGGCCCAATGTAATCACAGGGATCCTTAAAAGTAGAGAACCTTGCCCAGCTGTGGTCCACGGGAGAGGCAACAGCGGAAGAAGGGTTAGAGATTGCAATGTGGCTAGCTTTAACTATGGAATGTGGGCAGCCTCTAGAAACTGAGAAAGGTGAAGAAGTGGATTCTCCCCCAGAGCCTCCATTGAGGAATGCAGTCCTGCTAATGCCTTGATTTTAGCCCACTGAGACCCATATTGGACTTCTAACCTATAGAAGCTTAAGGTAATACATGTGTGTTTGAGGCCTGGTGTGGTGGCTCACGCTTGTAGTCTCTTTGTAGAGAGAGAGGCAGGAGGACACTTTGGGAGGCTGAGGCAGGAAGCTCTCTTGAAGCCAGAAGTTCAAGACCAGCCTGGGCAACATAGTGAGATCACATCTACAAAAAGTTTTAAAAATTAGCCAGGTATGGTGGTGCAACCTGTTGTCACAACTACTTGGGGGGCTGAGGCAGGAGGATCTTTTGAGCCTAGGAGGTCAAGACTGCAATGAGCTGTGATCATGTTACTGCACTAGAGCCTGGGCAGCAGAGCAAGACCCCGCCTAAAAAAAAAAAAAAGTTTGTTTCAAGCCATTACTGTGGTGATTTGTTAAAGCAGCACCAAGAAACAAACACAGCAGCAACCATGTGGTCCCTGGGGCAGTCTGGCCTATATCTGACCTCATCTCTTTTGCCTGGTTCATCATGTATCCATGACTTACCCAAAATTCTCCCCCTTCAGTGAGTGGTTCCAGCTGGTGCCTGGCCTGTGTCTCTTGGATGCCCTGTGGCTTCAGTCCGTCTCCTGTTGCCCACCACCTCGTCCCTGGGCCGCCTGATACCCCAGCCCAACAGCTAAGGTGTGGATGGACAGTAGGGGGCTGGCTTCTCTCACTGGTCAGGGGTAAGTGTGCCCAGGGGAGTGTGGGGGGCTGCAGCAGGTACCAGACTGAGGGGAGAGCAGGGAGAAGACCCCCTCATCTGGGGCATCATCAGCATACCTCCTAGGACCTCAGTCCACTGTATTTGAGCAGCTCTTCCTTTTTAAAAATTGTGGTAACATATATATAACATGAAATTGGCCATTTAACCCTTTTTAAGTCCACGGTTCAGTAGTATCAGGTACACTCACATTGTTATGCAGCCATCACCACCCTCCATCTCCAGAACACTTCATCTTGCAAAACTGAAACTGTACACCCATTAAACAATAACTCTGGCTTCCTCCCGCCCCAGGCAAGCACCATTCTACTTTCTGTCTCCATGGATTTGACTACTCTAGGTACCTCATATAAATGGAATCATGCAGTGTTTATCTTTTCGTGGCTGGCTTACTTCACTTAGCATAATGTCCGCAAGGGCCATCCATGTTGTAGCATGTGTCAGAATTTCCTCCTTTTATAAGGCTGAATAATATTCCATTGTATATATCTTTCACATTTTGTGTATCCATTTATCTGTTGATGGACACTTGGGTTACTTCTGCCTTTTGGCTATTGTAAATAATGCTACTATGAACATGTGTACAAATATTTCTTCGATATCCTACTTCTGGTTCTTGTGGGTATATACCCAGAAGTGGAATTGCTGGATCATATGGTAATTCTATATTTAATTTTTTGAAAAACCTCCAGACTGTTTTACATAGCGGCTGTACCATTTTACATTCCCACCAACTCATTTTAACTATTTTCAAGTATGCGGTTCAGTGGCATTAAGTTCATTCACACCGTCCTGTAAGCATCACCACCATCCATCTCTGTAGGAGCTCTTTGAATTACAGAGAACTAACTCTCTGGATGTGAAGAAACTTACTGGGGGAAGTGAGTAGAAATGGGCCCTCCCCACAAAGATTTATGCTGAGCAACTGAATTGGTGCTGGAAATCCCAAGAAAATCCAGGCCTTTAGTTGGATTTGCTGCCTGTTTTTGAGTTGTGGGCATGTTTTCAAATGCAGTTTTCATTTTATGCAGCAACTGAATATCTGATAGTGAAATGTTTCCACGGAGAGAGCCTGCCCAGGGGGAGGAGGAAAAGGAGGCTACTCTAATGAATAGATAAGCTTGATTTGCGTCTGGCGACATCCTTAGCATTTAATTTCAGCAATTAAAGTAGGCAAGTCCCCTTTGTTTTCTTTTTCCTTGCAAAAACAATAAAACATTACAGAATGTTTGGTAAATAAGAAACAAAATCCTACTCATGATATTACCTTAGTGAAACCACCACCACCATTTGTAATGCTAATCTGTGCAAGGCAAGAACCAAACATGCTATTCACCTTATTTCATTTAAGCCACACTACTACTCTATGAGGCAGGGCTCTGGTTCTCCCCGATGGCTGCATGCTCTCTGTGCATGCATTTGGTCCATCTTCCTCCACATGTCTGTCTTCTACACAATTGCCCTCACGATGTTCACACTTTGTTTTCCCAAGTGGTGTAAACATTCTTGTTATATTCTTCTTGTTTTCATTCCTTACCGTGTGTTGACTTACTCTGTTTGTAGGAGCAAGACCAGTCTCTATGATCACAAATACAGAAGATTATAGACCATGTTTATGAGATTTTCGCCATCTGCAAACATTCCCTGGAGTGGCCTGGGCTCCACCCACATGGCTATGTCAAATAATGTCATTTTCTAAATGGCTGTGTCCTGTGTGGTGTGCTGGCATTGAGTAAGGGGCAGACTCCTGAGCCCGACTGCCTGGGTTTGAATCCAGCTTTTACCAGTCTGACCTCATGCAAGTTACTTTTAACTGGTCTGTGCCTCAGTTTTCCCATCCACGAAATGGCGACGATTACAATACCCGCCTCACGGGGTTATTGTTTGGATTAAACGGCATAATATAAAGAGCATAGACCACTTCTGGGTACACAATAACATGGTTGTTATTGTTGTTGTCACTGTTACTTAATCCTACTATTACTTAGTCTCTGCCGCGAGCTCCCTGCCCAATCTTGCTGTCTCCTCCCATCCTCAGTTTCTTCATCTATAAAGTACAGTGCTGAACCATGTAATCTGTGTCAGAGCCCTTCTTGTTAAACTTTTGGTCATCACCTTGTTCCTTTTATCTTCCCCATTGCAGCTGGAGGGATGTGGGTGGGACTGCAGGGAGGACTGCCGGAACACTCATGACACACATGCGTGACTTGGAGGTTTCTAGGAATATATGGAAGAGAGAAGAACTCAGCCCAGATTGCAGAAAGCAGAGGCAGGGGATGAAGTTGCCCCTGGGAGAGGGCAAGGGGGTGGGGGTAGGAGAGGCTCCCCATACCCTCCCCCCATAGATTTTAGAGCTAAAAAGTGCTAGGAAGGCTTTCCTCCCTCTGCCTTGCCTCTCTGGTCCAAATCTTCCCTCTGGGCCCCAGTCCCCCAGATGGTCTAAAAGGGAAGAAAAGAGGAAAATCCGTATCAAATCTGCTCTATTCAGAGCAATGGGAAGGCATCTGCATCTCAATCTTATCTTTGTGCTGAGTTGGGCTAAGCTTGGCCCCACAAGTGGTGAGTGATGTGTGGGTGGGAAGATGCCTTCACCACCCCCACGGAGAAGCCCACTTGTGGGCCACCATACTCGGTGGCCCTGGGCAGGGGCAGGAGAGGGCTGCCCCCACAATGCTTTCCCTTCCTGCCAAACTGCAGACAGTACACATTCTTCCCTGCTCTTGGTTTCCCCTCTATTTCCTCTTCTTTTATTTTCCTTCTCTTTTTCTCCCCCTTTCCCAGGCAGGAAGCCAAGTGGAGACTTTGAATGGAGGCAAGGATGGAGGGGACCTGGGGAAGAGGACTGGCCTGAATCACCTTCCCCAAAGGTCCTCATGGACTGAGCTGGAGGTGGGGACTAAAGGAAGCATCGCCTTCCTTCCCACCCACCCTGGCCCCTGGCTGTCAGGCCTGGGCTGGGGGAAGCTGCCAGGTGGCTGTCATCACTCTGGGCTTGGGGCTCCAGAGTCTGCCCTCTCCATCTGGAACCTCTAGAATTTGTTTCTCTGGAGCCATTCAGGACCTGGGAAAAACTGCCTCCCACAGCCCAAATTCACAGGAGGCTGGTGTGCAGCAGGAAGTCAGCTTAATAATTTATAGCCAGAAAGCACTCTCCCTAGTAAGGAAGCCAACTCAGAAAACCAAATTAAACTGGGAGGGCTGCTTGGAGAGCACTTGGAGCCAGGGCTGTGGAATGCAACGATAAGGCTGGGGCCAGTTTGTCCTCCAGGGAGGATGGTGAGTGTAGCAGCCCAGGGTGTGGGCTTATGCAGCAGACAGTCGCGGATTCAAATCCCAGCTTCACTGGCAGTGGCAGGGGGACCTTGGGCAAGTGCCTCAGCTTCTAGAATGATGCTTATGTGGGCACCTCTTGGCCTTCTTGCAAAGCTGCTGTGAGATCTTGCAGGGAAAGAGCTTACTTAGCACAGTGCCTAGCATGCTGTCAATATGCTCCAGGCATTTGTACTCAAGCCCCCATCTTTTAGGGTCGTAGGTTGTCTTTTTCTTCCTGATGACACCCTTTCATGGTTTTTTACACTAAAAAGAAAAGAAGTGTGAGGTTACCCTGGAGAGGACCTCCTTGTCGGCCGCAGTATGAGTGGCCGTGCTGCTCCTGCCTGGGTGCAGCTCTGTGGGCCACACGGCTTCCAGCCTGATCCCTCATTCTCCCTGCTTCTGTCTGGAGCCAAGCCCCACAGTTGGACTGGGGAATTCTCCACAAGGCTGCAAATTGGGCTGAGATCCAGCTGCATTCTGGGTGCAAGACCAGCTTCCCAATGTCTAGAGTTGCCCTGCTGACAAATGGCCTGCTCTAATCCACCTGTCCCCTTGCTCACTGCCACCAAACTTCCCAAAGCATGCACAGATCTGACCACATCTTTCTACTGTCCCAAACTATCCACAAATCCTCCTCTTCAGCAGAGGGAAAACTCCTGAATCTTTAGGTTTGTGCTCAAGTCTCACTGTGATTTGGCCTCGGTCCTGCTTTCCAGACTCATCTCCCTCTCTGCCTCTCTCCACCAGCTTCTCCAGATTGTCCAAGGATAGGCCAGAGCCAAGTCTTTCCCCTGCTGTGCCCTCTGTCTGGAATGCTCTTCGCCCCTGATGGCTGGGGAAGCTCCACCCTTGTTCCCTTCAAGAGAGTTCCGCCTTCTACGTGAGGCCTCTTAGACACCCGCCTGACTGCAGCCCGTCACCCGCTTTCCCAGGACGTTTTTTCCCTTTTAGGGCACTCACATCAGCTGCTTCCCGCTGCTCTACCCATGCATCTGTCTTGCTGGACGTTGCAGGAGAGCCGGCCCGATGCATCCTCGTGCTGAATGGAATGGTACCAGCAACTCAGCTGCTACCCACCCCGGGGTGGTCTGGGCGATCCCCTGTCTGAAAACGGGGGAGGGTTCGGTTGTGCAGGGGGCACCTGTTGGGAGACTGGTTTGCGCTCTGTGGGGGAATTCAGCTCTGATACACACTCTCTTAGCCTCTGTCTCCGTCATCCTTCGCCCCTGAGCAGAGGGCACCGGTCGCTGTGTAGCTGCAGGCCTCTTGATTGCTCCGGCCTTGGCTCCTGCCCCCACTTCTCTGCGCTCCTTCACTGTCACTCGCCAATTTCACTCACTCCCCCTGTTACAGCAAACCCTCTTCCTAATCTCTGTGCTGGGAAAATGAGCCCAGGAGAAGTCCCATACAAGGTGGGGAGGCCTCAGGGGGCGTGTGCATGGGCGTGCATTCTCTCACACACATGCGCGTGCATTCACACGCCTCCAGGCACCATAAGAGTGACCCCAAACCCAGAACCCACAGGGAACTGGGACAGCAGCGTGAGAGAAGGCAAGAGAAGCTCTGGCCAAAGATTTGGGAAAATGCTTTCTTCACTGCTGAAGATTTCCCAAAATAGCAGGAGTTGGCTGGTGCTGCATCTCCCCTCCCCCACTCCTAGAGCACCCTGCCCCAGCTCCAATGCCAAGCAGGCCCGAGGCAGGGCAAGGCACTGGCCATCTGTGCCCCCTTCCCCATCCAGACCCGGGGCCATGGGTCGCTGTCTGTGCTCACTGGAGACATGTCTCCTCTCCTCTTTTAGACTGTAAGCTCCTTGAAGGCAAGGACCATGGTTTTGTCTTGTGAACCTCCCTCCTCCCCGCTTTCTCATCTATACAGGGCCCAGCACATAGTAGGTGTTCAGTAAATGCTCAGTGAAGTATTATGTAAATGAATGAACAGATACTTAGGTAACTAGTGGAATATGTTTTACATATACTAGTAAACTAATATTAATGGATTTCATAAAGAGCCTACTCGGTACCAGACTTAGTTCTGGGTGTATCAAAGCAGTCTCTCTAAGCAAGAAGCTATTAACCTTATTTCACAGGTGATGAAACCAAGGTTTGCAACCAGGTAGAGCAGCCTCCCAAGCTCAGGGCTTTCTATGATACTATACAACCCTCGGGATAATTGGATTGGCTATGCACTGCTGGTGGGGAAATTCTGGAATTATTTTAACATCAAATCAGACAGACGTGTTAGAAATAGAAATTTCTGTTTGTCTTGGGAGTATTTGGTTGTACGTATGAGAAACCAAACTGTATGGGATAGGAATTATATTTAGTTAATATAATTGAGATGTGAAAAGCAAGGGCTTAAACTAGTTGAGACTGTATTATTCGCTAATAATAATAGCACTTATACAATGCCTACTTTGTGGCAGATGCTGTTCTAGGCCTGTTAGATAAAAATAACTTATTTCATCTCCACAACAGCTGTGAGCTGGGTGTTATTATTCTCCCCATTTTGCAGAGAAGGAAACGAGAGACACAGCAAGCATAGGAAAGGAGTCTGGAGGTAGACAGAACAGAGCTGGCTCCATCTTCAACATTCCAGGTTCCACCTAGCTTAGCATATGGCTAAAGGTCACGTCCTTTGTTTTTTTAGAGACACGGTCTAAAAAAAAAAAAGAAGAAGATGATGACTACTCAGGTAGGCTCAACACCTGCAATCCCAGCATTTTGGGAGGTTGAGGTGATAGGATAGCTTGAGTCCAGGAGTTTGAGACCAGCCAGGGCAACACAGTGGACTCTGTTTCTACAAAAAAAAAAAAACAAAAAACAAAATTGCCCAGCCTGGTGGTATGTGCCTGTAGTCCCAGCTACTCTGGAGGCTGAGGAGGGAGGATCGCTTGAGCCTGGGAGGTTGAGGCTGCAGTGGCTGTGATCATTCCACTGCACTCCAGCCTAGGCGGCAAAGTGAGACCCTGTCTCAAAAAAAAAAAAAAAAAAAGATGACCACCCCACAGGGCCCATATTTTTCTGTTCCAGTTTCCCCTGCAAAGACTGACTTGATCTGCTTTGCAATCCTTAGCATATGGCTAAAGGTCACTTACCAGCTGCAGATGGCTACTGTGGCACCATTCCTCCTATCTGCCAACCACTCTGGAAAAAGGGAAGCCCTCTTAGAGCACGTCCCTGTAAGCCCCACTGACAACCTCCTCATTCATCTCATGGGCCACCTCTTCCTGAAAGACTAGGAAAAGTTTTGAGCAGGGCAGGTTGCCTCCTGCCCTCATGAAGCAGAGGCTCCTTTAGAAAGGAGGAAGGCGAGGACAGACTGAGGAGGCAATGCCTGTTGGCAACTCCTAGTCTGACACAACTCCAACGGGATTAAGTAAAAACGGGAAATTTTATTACAAGGGTCTGGGAGTGGGGGTGGCTCATGGAAGTAGAATGTATTTAAACCTCAGGAAAGGGCTGGAACAGGGAACTGGAAAGCTGTCAGCATGCCTCTGTCTCCTGTCACTGGTCTTTGTCTTCAGATTGTCCTCAGCTCACATGGCAGGTAGCAGAGAACTGCCCCACGGTGGGCACAGAGGCTCATGCCTGTAATCCCAGCATTTTGGGAGGCTGAGGGATTACTTGAGGCCAGCAGCTTGAGGTTACAGTGAGCTATGATCATGCTGCTGCATTCCACCCTGGTTGACAGCAGAGTGATATCCCGTCTCATAAAAACAAACAAACAAAAAACAGAAGAATATGACCACCACACACATTTACATATTCCAGTTTCCTCTATAAAGACTGACTTGACCTTGGGGGTTCACACACCCACATTGCTGTGGGAGAGACCTGAATTGTCTGTTTTGATCACATGACCATCCTGGTATAAGCAGCTATGGCTGGGATGGGGACCCCATGGTACATATGAGGCTGCTGGGGCCTACCCCTTTGACCATAAATGGAGGGGAGATGATTTCCATAGATAGGGAATTCTTGGGAGTTGGGAAGTCACCTCCCAATTCTAGAACTTGCCTCGAAAAGTCAGACCCCATAACATTTCCAGTGATATGGGAACCAATCACTCTTCTTTTTTCAGTATGATACCTGCAGTGGTGCTGAAATTTGCAAAGCTGCAGGCATAGACTCCTTGCTCTTGCCTCACCTGGAGCGAAGGTAATTGAGTAGAGGAGATCCCAGATCTAGGCCCTGTTCCATCCTTTCCCCACCCGTCATGTCCTGTCCTTCCCTTCTCTCCTGAAACAGCAGACAGACGTGCTGTGCTGGGGCCGAGGTGGACACAGTAATATTAATCTAGCAATTACTGATTCAAGAGGGAGTTGGAGGACATATTTACATAAAAATCTAATGAGAATGGAACTTCTGCTGCAGAACTTAGGTACCTTAAGGCCTGGGGTTCAGGGTAGGAGAAGAGGCCCAGGATATGCTCCTAATTCGGGCCCCTGGAGCTCAGGATCTGGCCACATACAGGGCTAGGCCTGGGGCTCTGAAGCTGGTGGTCAGACCTGGGGCGGGGAGGCAGAGAGGCCTGGGAAGGGAGCACAGGTTAGCGGGAGGGTGGGAAAGAGTGAGGGGAGAGGAGGGCAATTGTCCTGGCACCTTGGCTGTTCTTAGGGGCTGACAAGAGAAAAGCCCCAGCTAAGGGCTAAAAAGCTGTTATTTGCATATGCATTGAGTATCCCTAATGAGGTGTTCTATCAGTCAGGGTCCCCCCAGGAAACAGATGACATACTCACTTAGGGCAATGTGAGGGCAGTTTAATAAAGGAACTGTTTACAAAGGTGTAGGAAGGGGGTTTGGGAACCATATGGGATAACTCCCTGTGCAGTACGCAGGGGCTGGTAAGCAAGGAGGCGGCACCACCCCTAGTTCTGAAGGGAGGACAGAGGGAGCAATTTCCTTCCCAAGCCTGGAAGCAGACGAGCTCTGGTCTGTTGAGGGATGCAGCTGTGCTCACTCTGCTGCCTTCTCCTCCCTCTGTTGGCCAAACCCAAGCAGGGCCTCCTTGGATGCAGTTCCCCCACATCCATCCACCTCCCTGCTGGCGCAGAGCAGGGAGGAGGAGAGCCAGGGCAAATGTGGAGGTGCAGGCAGAGGGCATCCAGCATAAGTGTCAGAGGGCAAAAGGAAGTGCTCCAGTCCCTGTTCCTCTTTCCCCAGAGCACCAGAATGACTCATGCTAGTCGATCACTCAGTGTCTGCCAGGTACTGCCCTAGGCCTTTTAAAGGTAATAACTCCTTTCCTCCTCACAACTGCTGAAGAAGTTGTTGTTGTTATTATCATCCCCAGTTTGGAGAAACTAAGGCAGAGAAAGGTTAAGTGTTTTTCCCAGAGTCACACAGCTAGCAAGGAGGAGGACTAGGACTGGGCCTCGGGTTGTCTGGCTCCAGAGATTTGGCCTTGCCCTTTGAATCCCTCTTCCCCAGCCCTGTGGCCTTGTTTGAGGGGCCAGGGGTCAATGTCAGGAAAAGGGGTTGGTGGGCTCCAAGGATGGACAGCACGGCGAAACCCCATGCCACAGGACGGACCCAGGCTAGCACTGAGGATAAATTCCATGTGAGTGACGGTGTGAAAAATCATTCAAGGGAGTAGGTTTGGATCAAATCTCCCTCCCAGAGGGTCTCTGCTAAGAGGAATGGTTAGGCCCTTCTGGGGAGGAGCAAAGTATGAACGAGTTTGAGCCTGAGGATAAGGGGATCAAAAAGGTGCTGTGGGTCCTAATTCCCTGTGGGGTGCAGACCAGGGAGGGAGTGGGGGGAGAAGGGGTCAGTTGGGTGCTCTGGCTTCGTGCTGTTATTTCCTTGGAGGCTTGCAGCCATTCAGTGATGGGTATTATTCCATTTCACACACACGTGAAGAAACTTAGGCAGGAAAAAAGTAATCCTACTGTAATTTTCCAGACCTGGAGTAAGGTAGGGGCAGTAGGAAGGGAAGAGAGAGGAAGGGTTGGGGCAAAACTCTTAGAGCAGGAAGGAGCCCCAGCCCTCTAGTCCTCCAGCTTCTACCCTGGGAGCTGCTCATCAGAATCACCTGGGAATTCCATACCTGCCAGCCCAGGACTCTGCCCCCTCAGGGGGATGATTCTGATTCACCCCAGCTCCTGTCAGGGATCCCTAATCTAGTTCAACCTTTCATTTCATTGCTGAAGAAAATGACACCAAGGAGGTCACTCTGGGTTAGAGACCTTTGCGAGACGTAGGGTCAGCGGGGCTTGGTGACATGTTAGACAGACTAGCGAAGGAGAGAGGAGGTGGAAGGCGACAAGTTAGACAAATGTTAGGGCTTTTCCAGGAGTTTTAGTGAACCCAAACTAGTTGTTTAAAAGTTTCTTAAATCTTAAAACTTTATTGAGTAGCCAATATGTTTACCTGGTCACAAATGAAAATAATATAAAAAGGTATTTACTGAGAAGCCTTGATTCCCATTTTGCTACTTATAGATAACCTACAAAGATTAGTTTTGTTTTATTTTTCTAGTGTATATCAATGCTAATATAAGCAAATATAAATACATGTGTTCTTATTTTTACTGTCTTATTTTCACAAAAGTTACCATGCTAATAAGCTGTTCTGCATCTTGCTTTTTTCACTTTTTTGATACGGATATTTTTCCATATCAAAACCTACAGAAAGCCTGGGCAGCAGAACAAGACCCCTCCACTTACAACAGAGCATGCCCCTCTAGCCAGGCATGATGGTGCATGCCTGTGGTCCCAACCACTAGAGAGGCTGAGCTGGAAGGATCGCTTGAGTCCAGGAGGTCAAGACTGCAGTGAGCCATGATCGTGCCACTGCATTCCAACCTGGGAGACAGAGCAAGACCCTGTCTCTCTAAAAATAAAATAAAATAAATAGAGAAAATCTTCACACTTTTTAACAGCTGCATAATATTCCATTGTGAAGATACACCCTAGGTTATTTGGGCAATCTCCTGTTTCTGAATATTTGGTTGTTTTCTGCCTTTCTGTTCTTTCAAAGGATGGCACAATGAACAATCTCATTCGTAAGTCACTTTGCACATGTGCAGGTGCCTCTGTGGTCTGTTTTTGCCTCTCAACTATCTGTGAAGAGGCAGGTTTGATTTTTCAATTTACAATCTGTCACAGATGGATACTTACGTAAAATTCAATAAAAGTAAATTACTAGAGAAATGAATTGAAATAAAACATGCAACATACAAACCTGAATATTTTGTTATTAGATTCAATACACATAAAATTACTCTGTCAAATTATTGTAAAGATTTTTAAACACTGACTCTCAAATCTCTGCATTTCTGTGACTGTGGAGTTGTTCCAGTGTGTGAATTGACACTGGTTTGTGGAACACACTTCAAGGAGAAAGAGTGTAGACTCAAAGAATTAGGTTGCTAGGTCAACGGGTAAATACATGGGTGGTTTTGCCAGATATTGCCAGGATCACCCCACAGGGATTGTGCCATCTTGCACACCCCAACCCCTACAGTAGTATATGGTAGTGGCCCTCTCCCCACTGCTTCACCGGAAGACTGCAGCAAGTAACTTGGATTTTTGCTAAACCCATAGATGAGAAGTGGTATCTCAGTCTATGTTTTAACTTGTGTTGCTCTTGTTATGAGTGAGGATAAGTGTCATTCATATTTTAAGCCCTTGTTTGTATGTATATTCTTTGCCTATTTTTCTACTGGATTGTTAGTCTTTTCCTTCTTGATTCCTAGAAGTTCTATAATCACCCGATGAATTCATCTTGCTCACTGTCCAGAAAAGCCAATGTATTGAGAACAGCGGGTTTTTGCAATAGAGAAAGAACTTAATAGATGCAAAGCCAGCTAAGCAGAAGGACAGGAGTTTATCATTATTCAAAGCAGCCTCCCCCAAAATTTAAAGGATAATTTGGGGAGCAGTGGGGCTAGGGAGTGGAGAGTACTGATTGGTTAGGTCGTGGATGAAATCACAGGGAGTTGAAGCCTGTCTTCTTGTGCTGAGTTCAGTTCCTGGGTCGGGGGGCCACAAGGTCAGATGAACCAGTTTATCAGTCTGGGTGGCATCAGCAGATCCAACAGAATGCAGGGTCTGAAAAATACCTAGAACACCAATCTGAGGTTTTACAATAATGTTATCTATAGGAGCAATTAGGAATCTTGTGACATCTGGCTGAATGACTCCTGAGCCATACTGTCTTATAATGTGGCTAATTTGTTAGTATTATAAAGGAGATCTGATCTCCAAGCAAGGAGGTGGTTTGCTTTGGGAAGGGGCTGTAATCTTCTCTGCTTCAAAGTTAAACTGTAAACTAAATTCCTTCCACAGTTAGCTTGGCCTAGGCCTAGGAATGAGCAAGGGCAACTTGCAGGCTGGAAGCAAGATGGAGTCTGTTAGGTCAGATTTCCTGCACTGTCATACTTTTTGCAAAGGCAGTTTCAGTTCTTTATATATTAGGAATATTAGTCTCTTGTCTGTGATATGAATTGCAAATATTTTTTCTAGTTTGTCATTTTCCTTATGATTTTGATTGATGTTGTTTTTGGGGAGAGGAGGGGGAAGTGCAGGTGTTTGTTTTTTAATGTAGTCAAATTTATCTATCTTTTCTTTGATGGCTTCTGGATTTTGAGCCATGGTTTCCCATGCCAAGATATAAAGGATCCTGCCTGAATTTTCTTCTAGTATTTTTATGATTGTTATCCTTAACATTGAAATCTTTTGTCTATTTGAATTTTTTCCTAGTATATAAAGTATGAGTTATGGATCCAGATTTATCATTTTACAAATAGCTACCCATGGCCTCAGCTCCATTTATTAAAATCCCTAAGATACTACCTTTATCATTAAAACTAATTTTAAACCATTTGGGATCATAAATAGAAAAGGCACTATAATTTGTCAGTTTTGTACAGAATGCTATTACAAGGGAAATTAGCTTTCAGGGAGTGATCTATATCTTCGCATTTACTAGAGCAGAGCAAACTCTGAGTAACATAAATACAATAGAAATTTATTTTTCAAATCCTGTGGGGGCACTGTAACCACAAGGAAATTGAGGGAAGTGGGCCCAGTTGGAGGGAGCGCTTGGTGAGACTGAGTGTTTACGTTGCAGGTCTTCTCCCCTGTCTGCCTCCCGGAGCTAGGACTGCAGAGGGGCCTATCATGGTGCTTGCAGGCCCCCTGGCTGTCTCGCTGTTGCTGCCCAGCCTCACACTGCTGGTGTCCCACCTCTCCAGCTCCCAGGATGTCTCCAGTGAGCCCAGCAGTGAGCAGCAGCTGTGCGCCCTTAGCAAGCACCCCACCGTGGCCTTTGAAGGTAAGAGTTGCTTCCTACTTGGCCCTGTCTTGCAATGGCCGTGTCCTGAAGGACTTAGGTCAGACCTTGGCAGGATGTTTCTGGCTGTTGGATGTCCTTGGGATGTTCATTAACTGCTGGGTCCCGTCCCGGGGTCCTGAGACTCTTCCTCTGGTGCTGGATGTTTTAAGAAGGATGGGCAGCAATGGGCTGGAGGGGTCTAATTTTTGTCTCTCCGTAATTTATTCAGGCCCTTCATGCATGCCAACCTGGGGTAAGGGGAGTCTTTTGCTAGAAAAGGAAGTTGTGGATGCCCTGGCTGGGGGTGGCCAGGGGTCTCAGCATGACTCATGCATTAGGAGGTGCCTGGAGATCTCTGGAAAGCTTCCTTCTGCTCTAAGGGGCTGCAGGGATCCCTCTCTTTAGGGTCTTGGGAAACCCCGGTGCAAGGGCCCTGGTGACTCATAACTCCTTCTATTTGTCAAGGGAGGGTATGAGAAAGTCCTATGAAAGTGTTTCCCAAACTGGGATCTGTAAATCACTGGACATATTCCAAGGGGTCTGTAAATTCTTGATAAGAGTTTCTAAAATTAGTATATACATTCTAATACTTGCTAAAAAAAAACAAAACAAAACACAAATACCAGACATTCTCTCACGATCTGTTACACAGTTTGGGGGGGGTCATGGTTGTGTTACAGTCACATTAGTACTTCTTGAACCACCACCTACTTGGCAGCTCACACTGGGATCTGCAGATGTAGTCTCAGGGGTTCCTAGGTTCTTAAGTTTGAGGGACACTGGCAGGTTTCCTCCTCATAGTAACCCTGTTGGGGAGGCAGTGCCAGGAGATCGTCACTGCCTTTTACAGATGGGAAGGCCTAGGCATGGTGGGCCAGAGAGGCTTGTCAGAGCCAGTCCTCAGTTCTGGGCTCCTGATTCCACGTGCAGTGCTCTGTCCACTGCCCACTGCAGAGCGATCCGTTGCTCTATGCTCTGGTGGCCCATACAGGAGGACATGCGGAGCCCCATCCTGCAGGAGTGGGTGGGGTAAGATGGAACCCAGCTGGAAAAATCAACCAATGAGGCCTAGGATTTGAGAGGTGGGAGAGGCAGTATGAATGAGAGTCTGGGGGTGTTGTGGAAGGGTGGGATTCCCAGCTGTGGGTTGGCTCCTCTCAGGGAGGAAGGTTTCCAGCTGTCTTCTCGGCGCTGTCTTGTTTGAGCTGGGATCCAAGGCTTTGAAGGCTTAAGTGGATTAAAGTAAATTAACAATGTCCTAAGCCTGCAAAACTCGTGCACACCCTCAGACTTCTGATGGCTCCTGGAGTGCTGGTGGCTGTCACTGAAGAGGACAGAGGGGGACAGAAGGAGTGGATTCTTAGGGCTAGCCTCCTCACACTGGGGCCTCTGTGGCAGCTCCTAATGAAACATTTCCTCCCAGGGGCTTTGTTGGGGGCAATATTGGCTTGGCTGAGTCTGGGGGCAGGGACATGGAAGGAGAGCTGGGGAATCCCTGTCTCCCGACCAATCAGGTCTCCATCTGTGCAAATTGGGTTGGGGGAGGAAGTCAGAGAGGTGGGAGATGTCTTCTGTGTGTGCCTGGGTTCCTTGAGACCATTTTTGACCCTCAGGTATGCATTGAATGAATCTGACTTCTCGCCCCATCCTCCTACAGAATGAAGGAATGCCCCTCTCCCCTTCCCCATTCTGACAGCTTTGAGTTTTCCTATCCGTTTGCTGAATTTTTATTGGGCCCTGCTTTGTGCCAGGCACAGAAGGGGATGCTGTGGGGCCTCAGAGGTGAACAAGAGTTTCCTCTGCGTACCTAATGATCTCGTATTGTTGGTTAAAAGTCACTGCCTTTGGTCCCTCAGCCCAGCTGGTACTGGTTCTGGTCCTGGACCAGGACTGGTTCTCTTGTGTTCCCACATCCCTTAGCACAGCTGAGCACACAGTAGGGACTCAATTCATGCTGGGCAAAGGACTGTGCTCTGGGGATGCTGTGTTCAGGAGAAGTTGCCCTAATCAAGGACAGCACCAACCCCAGCCTCCAAGCCCCCTAGGATGTTACACTTCCTTTCTGACCAATCTGTAGGCTGCCAGCCTTGTAACTGTGAGTTTCCCTCTCCCCTGACACCTGACTGAGCTGTGAATAACCCCTAAATACCCTAGAGGAGCTGCCAGTCACAGAATCTGACTGCTGTTTTTCTGTTTTGTAAGGCTAAATTTTCCCCTGTGGGTTTCTCTTAAGGGGGGCCAAGCTGTGTTTCTCTTCAGCCTGCATATTCTCTCATTTGCCAGTGTTACCTTTCCAGGCAGCAGGAGAAGCCAGCCTGGACTTAACAAATGACGGTGGTTAATCCACAAGGTGGGTAATTGAATTGACTATAATTAAAATCACAGGCGTGTCATGGAGAATGTCTTTTTCTCTTAAAGTCACCGTCCAAAGCCTTTGCCGCACACAGAGCTCGGAACGTGCTTGGTGTTTTAAAGACAGCCTTCCCTCTGGTCCCCTTGGCCTGTTTAATACGAGCAGGCTGGTTCCCTTCCCAAGGCCCCCCTAGGATCCCCGTGCTATGCCCGGCTCCTTCTCTCCCCACTTCCCCCATCCCCCTTGCCCATGTGGGTGAGGGCTACTGGGAGAGGGACGGAAACTGGAAGAGGCCACCACCCTCCATGCCCCCACCCCCACCTCCCCATTTTTATCCCATCTTGTACCCTGTTTCCTCTTCTTTTCCCCTCCTCCCCAAGAAAGGGCCTAAGTGAAGACTGAGCTGGGAAGTCCCCAGATGGAGTATCTACTGCAGACCCGTCATGCCACCTCCTCCCTCATTTAGCTGCCTACATCTGGAATGCCCTTGTTGAAAGGGAAGGAGGAAATTAAGGTGCTTGCTGCTGTTAGGGAGCACCCAGTCTCATAGGGACAGGGAAGACCCTGCCCTACACACACAGAAAATATTTGACCACATTCAGAGTGGTCAAATACACCATAACATACAATGTGAATGGAATGGAAAAATAGAGAGAATGTGGAGCAAAATAAGATCAGGGTGGAGAGGTTGTAATCCAGGAACGCTTCCTGGAGGAGGAGGATCCTTGGTTTCATTTCTAAGGTAATGTAATATTTATCCAGGATTTCTGAGAGGTCAGCTAAAAACCTAACCCACCAGACTCCAGATCCACTTCTTATCCTATATTGCCCAAAAGCCATCGTGACTACATGACAATTCTTGCCAACCTATAGTCACCAACCTATAATCACCTGCTGGGGGCAAAGGCAGGCCCAAGGGGTTTGCTTCATTTTGCTGCAGAATTTCTTTCTTCTTCTTTTTTTAATCATGCCTATCACAGTTTTCTGAAAAACATCCAACTCACAAAACCTCCAGTTCTCCAGGGAGCGATTAAATGTTTGCCTGTCGTGCAGAAATGAAGGGCTGCTTTTACTCTGTAGTGGAGGGATAATGAGCAATGATTTATTTCCTTTGGATTACACACACACAGACTCTCTCTCTCTCTCTGCCTCTCTCTCTATCTCTCTCTCTCTCCTGGCCCTTCTGTGAGTCAGTTGCTAAGGCACTGTGGGGAGAAAGCACAGTGCCTCCCATTACCCTGAATCTTTACCAACAGCGGCATGAAAGTTCCTCTGCTCCATGGCTCTCTCCTTACTGCTGCCAATTCCCACCCATCCATGGGTCATGCATAGGCTGAGGGAGAGCTATCAGGAGGCTGTGAATCAAGAAGGGAGAAGTGTGTCTCCAGCAGGAGGGAAACCGGGCGAGTCAGCTGGCACTTTCTAAGCAGGCCCTCCCAGACCACTCCCCATCCGCCCAGAGGCCGTGAGGTCTCCTCTCTGCCCACCCAGTCCCTTTGAAAGGCCTTGATTGGGAACAACCTTCCTTGGAGGCAGGGTGGACACTGACCGCCCAATCTCTGCACCTCCCACCTCTGCAGAATCTTGTCTGAAAATCCAATTCCCCTCATACAAGAAGGAATTGAGGATTATTCATATATTCGTTCAAACACTGCTAGGTGCTGGACTGAGCCTGGAGATCTAGGAAGCAAAGTCTTTCTTGGCCCCCAGGGCAAACTACCAGGCTAGACACACAGTGTGGCAGTAAAGTAGAAGACTATGGGAGCCCTTTAGCCTGGCTTGAAGCAGTCAGAGAAGGCTTCTTGGAGGAGGTAGGGATGGGGGTGAACAGGAATTGTTCCATCAAGGGAGAACAGAAGCACAAAGGTTTGCAGGCTCTTGTGGGATGGATTTGGGGAAGTGTGAAGTGTTTTAGTGTGGCTGGGGTGGAGAGTTTAGGGAATGTAAAAGGTGAAGCATCATTCTTTCAGGGGATCAGTAAATAATCACTGTGCCAGGCACTGGACTTGGGAGGACAGTGGACCAGAACCCAAGGGCCTTCGCAGGAGTTGGACTTTTCCTGGGGGTAGTTGGGAGCTATGGATGGGTTCTGGGCTGGAGAGTGACATGACCACATTTGCATTTGAGAACAAGCGTTCAGGTTGCTTTGTGGGAAAAGGACTCGAGGGGCAGGCCTGGAAGCCAGGCTGGTTAGGAGGCTGTTGGCACTGCTCCAGACAAGAGCTGGTGGTGGCTTGGATGTAGGTGGGATACAGTGGGAAAAAAGTGGATGGATTTCAGAGGCAGTGTAGAGGTAGAACAGGCAGGATTTACCAGTGTGTACTTATGTGGCTAGTGAAGGTCTGGGGGAAGTCAAGGGCGAGTATAAGTATCCCTTCATGCCTCTGTGGGGAGGGTAGTGCCCTCCTCTGAGCTAAGGAGTGTGGCAGAAGAATGACTACAACACCCACTCCCAAGTCCCTAGGGGCACACAGAGGTGGGCAGGTGGCACCAGGTCTCCCGGGTGCCACCGCCCCACTTCCCCCTGACTTTCACCCTTCTGTTCTGTGGTCTGCTGCGATGCAGCTGGGAGCCTCTGGCCCAACAGTAACCACAGGGTTGCCTCTCCCTCCACCAGACCTGCAGCCGTGGGTCTCTAACTTCACCTACCCTGGAGCCCGGGATTTCTCCCAGCTGGCTTTGGACCCCTCCGGGAACCAGCTCATCGTGGGAGCCAGGTAACAAGGGGCAGAAGGGTCGGGGTGGGAAGTGCAGGGGCTTGGAGCTGGGTAGAGGGAATATTATTCAGGATGAACTCACCTGGGCAGCCCCGCGTGCTGGGCCCCATCCTCTCTGCTGGGCCCTCTCCTTGTGGATGTCTGTCCCCCCACAGGAGGAAGCGTGTTTCGGCTGGGTGGGGGTGGGGGTGACTCTTGACCTCGCAATCTCAGCCAGCTGCAGGCCCCTGTGGTTGGCAGTTAGTGAGAGCAGGGACGCCTGCTGGCCACCTCCTGCCCGGTCCCTGCCTGGTCCCTGCCCGGCTGTCAGAATGGTTTTCTGGGCCAATTCCCCGGGAGTTCCATGCAGAGAAGGTGCCCAGGGGCCCCCTGCCGGCCAGCCGGCGGCCTGCACCTGGGACGGCTGGGTAGGGGTAGAACCTTTCCCGAAGGACCTCACCTACCTTTGGCCTGACCTCTTAGTCCACTGTTCAGATCCAATATCAACAGACAGTACTCTCTGGGGGAACCTGTGGAGACTTTCTGGGTGGACTAGGAGGAGCTCATTCCTCATGAAACCACAGAACATTGGCTCTGGTAGGGAGGGGGCTTAGAGAGGGCCGACCCCAGTAGCTCTCATGGTGCAGTCTCTGGCCCAGCAGCACCCGAGAATGTGTTGGAAATGCAGATTCTTGGGTCCTTCTCAGACCTCTTGAGTCAGAAACTCTGGGAAGAGGCAACCTGTGTTTTAGCAACCCTTCCAGGTGGCCTGACCACACTCAAGTTTGAGAATCTCTGGTGTCATCCAACCGTCCTTATTTTAAACAGGCGGTAGCAGAGGCACTGAGAGGGGAAGGTGACCTTCCCAGCATCACATAGCATGATGACAACAGGGTGTGGGGACTACAGCCAGGTCTCCTTAACCCAGGCCTAGAGTTTCTCTGCAGGTCTGTCTGTGTTATCGCCTGGGACTGCACTACTTTTCAGCTCTGCAGCCCAGAGGTTCTGACTCAGTGGGTGTGGGGTTGGGGAGAGGATGGCCACTGGGTTGGGCACTTCCGGGCCATGCTGTAGCTGACCATCCTTGCCCTGGAGCTTTCTTTAGTGTCTCCACCCCTTCATTTGCTGTATGAAAATGAGGCAAGTCAAGAACACAGCTCTGGATTAGGTGTGGATGAGCTGGGTTCCTGTCCTGGGGGATCTTGACCTTGGAGCCTCAGTTTCCTCATCTGTAAAGTCTGGGTTACAGTCTCTGTGCCACCAGTCTCACAGGGCTGCTGTGAAGCTGGGCCTGAAAGCATTTTTCTTTTAATTTTTTAATTTTTAAATTAACTATTTTGTCTTATGGTAGGACATTCAAAAGGTACAAAGGAGTATATGGTGAAAAGCAGGGCCACCCCCTCAAACAAGCAGGACCCCTGACTGAAGGTTCACCTAGTGGTGAGGTTCCTGACTGTGCCCCCAGAGGGAGTCTGTCCATATGCAACTATACAGGAGGATGGACTTTATTTTCCCAGCAAAGAGAGTAATTGTTTTACTCTCTATTTTGAGATGACTGTCGATTTACACACAGTTGTAAGAAATAATAGAGATCCCATATACCCTTCACCCAGTTTCCCCCAAGGCTAACATCTTGCATAACTGTAGGACAACATTAAAATCAGGAAACTGGCCTTGATGTGATCCTTCAACCTAATTCTGATTTCACTAGTTTTACATGTGTACTTCAACAAACCCAAATGGTAGCATCCGAAGACTCTACTCTGAACCTTGTGAAAGCATTTCAAAAGCTGCCATTTATTCCGCACCGGCCATGTGCCAGGCACTATTTTATATGTCATATATGTAGTAAGTCAGTTACTGCATGTAGTAAAGGTAGTAAATCACACATGTATTTAATCTAATACATGTAGTAAATCATGCCTGCAGTAAATCATTGAATCTTCACAAGTGGGTGAACCCAGGAAGTGGGTTCTATGTACCCCCATTTTATGGACCAGGAAACTGAAGCTCAGAGAGGTTATGTTACCCTGTGACTGTGGTCACACTGTTCTTCCTCATCCGCTCTGCGGCTTCCCCAGAAGGTGGTTATGTTTTCTGTCTGGAGGCTTCCCACACAAAGATGGAGGGACACTTTTTCCTGCATCCTTGAGCCTGGCTATGCCCTCAGATGGACAGGGAAACTCAATTCTAGACCTGGTCCCTTAGGCTTCTTAGAGCCAATGTAGTGGGTCTTTGGCCACTTTCTTTTCCTGTCTCCAGCTCATTTTCCTTCCTCCTTTTCTTCTGCCTGACATTGTCTTCCCTTCTTCTTGACCCCTGGATCTCTGGAATTCAGGCTAGGGAAATTTTTTATTCATTTATAACCCTCCCTTGTTCCGAAAGGGATTTAGGGTGGGTCAGGCTACAGAGATTTCTCTCTGTTCTCATATTCCAGCTCCCAGGAGAGTTGACTGCGATGTTGTGATGAATGATTTTTGATGGGATAAAAATGAATAAAGTGATGCAATGTTTCCCCTAATTTGTTAAAGCTGTGAGCAGATGCCTGTGTTACCTAAGCAGGCAGCTGGGGCACAGCCATAAGCTGGAGCTTATCTGTTCCCAGGCCAGGAGGGTGGGATAGGGAGAGCTCTGCTAAGGACTTGGGGAGGGGGTTGGAGAAGGACAGCAGAGGCCTGGAGCCAAGGTCACCTGGGAGGCCCGCCCAGCCCCAGGACAGCAAAGAAGATGAGTGGGGCCTGGGCCTGGAGCCAGAGCTGGGAAGAGAAGCCTCCTGGCCTGCGGCATCTCCTTCCGGCTCTGGATTCCTTCAGCAGGGGCCCTCTTTCTCTTCCGGTCCCACTCCACAGCCTTTCCCCTCATTTCCCTCCTCAGCTGAGGTAGGCCAGAACTTTCTAAAATCTTTGTTCCTAAAAAGTTTAGGAACCAAAATAGGAATAGCCCAAAGAAGACAGAAGAACCAAAGAAAGAAAATTGGTGGGGGAAATCAAGACTTTGCATCTGTTCAGCATGAACAGAGCCTTTAAATGTGCATCACACCATTCCTCTGTCTCCACAGTCCTGTGAAATAAGAAAGATAGCCATTCACTTCCCCATTGTACAGATGCAGGCACTGAGACTCTCAGAAGGTGGCAGGTGGCTGAGCTGGAATTCTCCCTGTCTGTGCATGGTGGCCTTCTGACTCCAGCATCCATGCAAACAAATTTCAGCAGCAGCTGACACTTATGATACTCAATAAGTGTCTGATATCATTATTACTACTAGTAGTATCCTCTTTGTTACTGAAGGTGAAAACTGTTTGAGGTTGATAAGTCTGGAAGCCCTGTGCAGGCTGGACTGTGGGGAGAGGGATGGTGAGGTGGTGGATGGGGTCGTTTGGGTTAGAGGAGAGAGGGTGGTCCAGAAAGGTGGCCACAGAAAGGTCAGACCTGGAGTCACTGACTGCTGGAGAGACTGCAGGAGATGAACAAACAAATCGGACTCAGGACCCCGGGATGTGGAGCCAGGAGAGATGGCTGGCCTGTGTGAGAAGGGGTGAGTCAGGGTGGAGGGCCAGAGTAGGAGGAAGCTGGCTGTCTGCATCTCTGTAAGAGTGCTGTGAGGCTTTACATTTAACAGCCTCCATGGTTGGAAAAGGTGGGGTCAAGGGGTTCCTCCCAGGGCTAGCTGAGTTGGCTGGGAGCAGAGACAGCATGGAACTTGGAGGAAAGTCTGGGTTTCAATCCTAACTCCTTCACTTACTATCTTGGTGACTTGGGCCATTTACCCACCTTGCTTCTTCATCTGTAACTTGGAGCTTCCTGGATTTCCTCCCAGGGTTGTGTGAAGATTAAGTGAGCAAATGGAGGTAAAGCTCTCCTTAGGGGTTGACCCTAGGCAATCAGCACCCAGTCCTGGCGTCCCAGGAGGCCCAAGCCAGGAGGCTGCTCCCTGGGTCCTGCCTGCAGAACCAGCGTCACTTAGGATGTCTGTTTCCATTTTCACAGGAACTACCTCTTCAGACTCAGCCTTGCCAATGTCTCTCTTCTTCAGGTACGATTGCTTTCTTCCCTTCCCTTCCTATAATTTCCCCTATTCCAGAGCCCAAGGCAGGGCAACGCAAGTGGCGCCATTCAGAATTCAGCCCCTAAAGTTGAAAACAGGAGCCACTTGTTCTTTTCACTGGCCATGGACTCAGACCCCAGCTATCAGAGTCACTGCCCGCAATGTACGTGGAGGGAGGGTGTGGCTCACATATACGCAGAGGCACACAAGGCTCTTGCATCATGCAGCGAGGCTGCTAATGAGGAAGGGAGAAAAAGAATGCCAGGCTGGGGTGACCAACTGTCCCTGTTTGGGACTGAGAATGCAGAACTTCCAGTGCAAAAACTGGGACAATACTGGGCAAACTGGGTTGGTTGGTTATTGTAAGTCCCCAGACCTGGCTCCACAGGAGGGTCTCTGAGTTCAGGCCTCCACGGAAAGGGTGTTCCTAGTTCCTTTCCTAGCCCAGTCTGAATGATCCCATTCTAACTCAGCATTTTCTTTGAGCTGTGATTGATTTATTATCTGCTGCCAAGAAGGACTTCCCAAGCATAATTCCCTAAGTGCTCTGAGAGGCGTTTTAATGGGACTCCTTGGTCCAGAACATTTATCCCAGATTGAGAAACAGATGTCAAACCATCTTTGCAGAGGCTGAATATTGTAGAGAAAGGAAGGCCATCTCTTCTTCAATGAGGGGAGAGCCTCAATTCTCATGTCTAGGAGACATGTTCTAGTCTCCCAATGATTAAGCATTCATTGAGCACTTACTGTGTACCAGAACTCATGGCTAGGGGGCCACGAGACTATAAGAAATGCAGAGTCTCTGGCCTTCAGGAAAACATGATGAGTGACTAACCTAATCAGAAGTTAGAACTTAATCATTTGCTGGGCTGTTTGGTATAGAGTTTCACTGCCACAAGGGAGACCTTCTTGGGGAGCTGGTATGACATTCTGGCCACACCTGGGTCCACACACCCAGGGACATTGCAGTTCTTGGCTGGTTGCTAGAGGGGAGGTATAAGGAAGCAGAAAATCTGTGCCCATTGGAAGGGAAGGGTTGGGAGGAACTAGGGCAAGTTGAAAGAAAATGCCATTCATCCATTTGTCTGTCCATCTGTCCTTCTATCCATACCTTTACTAGCCAGCCTGCCCATCCATCCATCCATCCATCCATCCACCCATCCAATAAACATTTGTTGAATAACCACTAAAGGCCAGGTCTCATCCTAGGCATGGTACAAGGCATTTGAGTTCTAAAGTGAATCAGGCCCAGTACCTTGCCGCAAGGAATATGCACATAAGGGATCACATACGATTCCCTTGAGGGGCTGTGCAGCATATTCCTGGGATCTGGGCTGGAGCAAGGCAGGGGAAGTTCCCCAGAAGCAGCATCTTGTGGCCTGTGAGCTCAGTCACAGGCAGCCAGTCCAGAGCCTAGTTTCCATTGGCCGGAAAGTAAGCCAAGTTGCCAAACCCAGCAGGTCAGGGCCTGGGGGAAGCCAGTGCAGAGGAGGTTCAAAGTGGGCGGGAGGAAGTGGACCCAGGGGTCCCACCCTGAGCTCCAGGCAGCTGGGTTTTTATTTGGTTCCTGTGGTGTGCAGATGAAGGCCTTCTAGGAGTGTAATGTGGCTGAAGGGAGGAAGAGAAATAGATACACAGAAATAAAAGCAATGCTGTTAAGACTGCGCTTGATGACTGAGTTCTGGGGTTTGGTTCATCCAGGTCAGTGTTGACCTGGTGTCAGCCTGGGGCAGGTAGCTTATGGCAGCCCATAGCTCAGGCTTGGAGCAGGGTCTCAGCTCCAACGGCATTCCCTGAAGGGCCCTACAGACAAGCCCCCAAAGCACCAGGAACTGGTTGACCACCTTTCCCAGCATGTCTCTTAGGGGCCTGACCTCAGGATTTCAGACTGGATTCACTGTGACAGAACTAAGGGAATAAATACATTTTATGTCCACGTTCCCACTCTGGTGTGTACCATCTGTCCACAGAGGGGAGAGAACAAGCAAGAGGTTGGGGTGTGCCATCCAGTGTCCCCTGGAGCAGACCTTGGCCTCTGGTCTTCAGTGCCCGGTCCTCCTGTCTGTTGTCTGGCCTGGTGAGGAAGCCCTGACTTGTAACTCTCAAAGCCTAACTTCAGGGGTTGCCCTGCCAGTGCCCTCTCCGGGAGCTTTGGGTCCCTGGTTATAAGCTTTCAGTTCTCAGTGTCTGCTGTCACCAGTAACCAAGTGCTGAAAATGATCTGTACCACTTTGCTGACAAGGGCGGCTGGGCCAGGGTGCCCCCGCCCAGCTTCCTCTACTCTCCCTGTGGCCTGGGGCTACACTTGGGTTAAAACTCCCCATTATGGAGCCAACTGATTCTCCCACTTGGCCCCAGGGCATGATTTAAGCAAACTTAAAACTCAATGCTTTATTGATAGTTTAAATAATTAACATTACGTAAAGAAAAATCTAAATGTAAACAGTTTTTGCAAACGAGTATCCATTAAGGGACTTCCAAGTACCTAACCCCTATTAAACAATTTATGTAAACCACTCTTCCTTAAAGAAAATCGAATGCCCAGCTCCTTCCCAATCCTCCAAGCTCTGAAGTAGGGAAGAGGTGCAGCTAGGAGCAGATGGGGCAGTGTGTGTGTTGGAGGTGGAGGAGTGGGGGAAATCAAATCAGCTCACCTGTGTGGTTATTTATCAGTGTAACTTAATAAACTGGTACTGGGAAAGAAAAGGAGGCTAGTGATTGACAGCATCCCCGGGCTGCTGAGAGGACCAGCATGATGAGCTGTCTTGGAGTTGGCAATTAGGAGCTCGTGAGCGACCTTTGCCAGAACAGTTCCATGGGACGACCTGGCTGGAGGCCTAATTGCAACAGATTTATGATCTTGGTTTGCCAGATATCCTGCGAGGCAGAAACGAGGACTGTTCTGCACATATGCATCAGGACGCATAATGGGGCTTTGTTCGGGCCTGGGCAGACATGGAGGGCAATGCCTGAGCTCTCTTCCAGTTTATCTCCACGTCCTCCAAGCTCAAATCTGGCAGCCCTGGAGTGGTTTGAAGTTGAAACTCCACAGAGCAGTGGACTTAATGCTCCAAAGATGCGTTGACATTCAGCCATTGTCCCTGGCCCCCAAGTGTCCGTGGGAGTTGCTGAGTTTTCATGGAGATGATCCACGTCCCTGGGTGTCGCCTGCTTCCTCTCACAGCGTGAAAACCACACAGCTACTGTTACTAGAGATCATCCTGGAATTTCTGGGACAGCCCTTGTTTAAAGCACTCTGTGTTCCAGATTGATCAGACACGTCTCTCTCCACCCCTTCACAAAACTCCACTAAAAAGAGTGAGAAATTTTAAAGGGTGCACATTCACAACAACAGAGAGAATGAAAAAGATGTCAGTGAAGAAGAGATTATGCATTCTGGGGCAATGGAAAGCGGATAGAGGCTGGGCACAGTGGCTCACTCCTGTATTCCCAGCACTTTGGGAGCCCAAGGCAGGCGGATCACCTGAGGTCAGAAGTTCAAGACCAGCCTGGCCAACGTGGTGAAACCCCATCTCTACAAAAATACAAAAATTAGCTGGGCATGGTGGTGGGTACCTGTAATCCCAGCTACTCAGGAGGCTGAGGCTACTCGGGAATCACATGAACCCAAGAGGCGGAGGTTGCAGTGAGCAGGTATCACGCCACTGCACCCCAGCCTGGGCAACAAAGCGAGAATCTGTCAAAAAAAAAAAAAAAAAAAAAAAAGAAAGAAAGAAAAAGAAAAAAAAGTGGATAGAGCAGGTCGGCTTGCAGAAGGGATGCAGTGGACAGGCAGCTGACTCCTCAGAAGGGCCCCAGAATTGGGTGTCCCATATTGTATGATGTGAGGATGAGGTACAAGGATGAAAGGAAGGATTGATTGACATTCTCTAAATTAAAGGGTTGGGACCCAGGTCTCCTGTCCCATCCTGAACAGCAATCCTTTCTTCCATCTTCTCCCTCCCTCCAATAAAGGAATCAAGACCCTTTCTCCAAAGATTCAACTAGAAAGTCTCCATATTCAGAGACTCCTAAAGGGCACTGATGGGGTGTGATCAGACGAAAGTCTACTTCCTCCTCCCACCCCCTGCTCCCCCAGCCCCACTTCCAGGCAGGAGACTAAGGGAGTCTTTGCTGGAAAAACTCAATGACTACAGAGACCAGACTTTTAGAATATGACATAGAGGGCCTCCCAGTGAAAAAGGCTCCTCACCCAGCACCCTACAAGAAGCCCACCAGTCTCTATGAGACCTCCCATGGAGTTCCCAGTGAGCTGCTTAGTACTTTACTCTTAAAGCAAACAAACAAAGATGCTTTTTTTTATCACGTAATTTCATACACACACAAAAGCAAAGAGAATTGTACATGAACCCCGTGTACTCAATAGCACTTTAACAATTATCAGCTCAAGGTCAATCATCTTTCATTTACATACATCCCCCCACGTCCCTGTCCTGAAGCAAATCTCAGACATATCATAACATCCATAAATATTTCAGTATACATTTCTAAAAAATAGGGATTCTTTTTTTTTTTTTTTGAGGTGGGTCTGACTCTGTCACTAAGGCTAGTGGCACAATCATTACTCACTGCAGCCTCCAACTCTTGGCCTCAAGCTGTCCTGCTGCCTCAGCCTCCCAAAGTGCTCGGATTACAGGTATAAGCCACCATACCAGGCTGGGATTCTTTTTATTTAAGTGGCCCAAAGTTAATAACTTCATATCACTAAATGTCCAGTTAATGTTTACATTTCCCTACTTGTCTTATAAAATTTTAAAATAATTTTGGTTATTTGAATCAGGATTCAAATATGCTGCAATTTGTTGATATGTCTCTTTAAAACAATATTTCTCTCTGTGCAATTTTTTATTGTGCAATTTTTTATTGAAGAAACCTCGTCACTTGTCCTATAGAGTTTCCCACAGCCTGGATTTTGCTGATTGTAATGCAGGTGGCATGACTGAACATGTTGCTCTCTTCCCTGTATCACCTGTACATTGATTGTTAGAGCTAAAAACTTCATTCAATTTAGATTCTGGCAAGATTACTTCATAGGTGTTCTTGTGTCCTTTCTTTAGGAGGTACACAGTGTCTGATTTTCTCTCTTTTGATGTTAGTAATCAGTGATGATCTTTTTCTAGATCCTTTAATTCTTTAGGTATTACAATCAATTAGCTGGGCTACTTCTATAAAAACAAAATTTTTGGGCCGGGCACGGTGGCTCACGCCTGTAATCCCAGCACTTTGGGAGGCCGAGGCGGGTGGATCACCTGAGACCAGGAGTTCGAGACCAGCCTGGCCAGCATGGTGAAACTCTGTCTCTACTAAAAGTACAAAATTAGCCGGGTGTGGTGGCGCGCACCTGTAATCCCAGCTACTCGGGAGGCCGAGGCAGGAGAATCACTTGAACCTGGGTGGCAAAGGTTGCAGTGAGCAGAGATCATGCCACTGCACTCCAGCCTGGGCAACAGAGCAAAAGTCTGTCTCAAAGAAAAAAAAATTCAATTAATGATAAACAACCAATTAGTATCTTCTGAGAGATACAAAATATTTTGTTTATAAAACAATAAACTTAAAATATGGAAATTTAAAATGTGATTGGGAAAATAAACATTGAATTGAAGGATTAGAAAATAATGTTGAAGAAAAACCTACCAGAACAACAAAAAAGAAATGAAACATAGGAGAGAAATATCAGAAAACTAGAGGATCAATGCACAAAGGCCAACAGTGGATTGGAATATTAAGAGTTCCAAAAAGAGAACAGAGGAAAAGATGAGGAAGAAATTAAGGATGAACTAACGTAAGAAAATTTGCCAAAACAGAGAATGAGTCTTCAATGCTAAAAGGTTGACTGAGTTCCCAAAAAAGACCCGTCCTAAGGCACATCAGTGTGAAATTCAGGACACTGTTATTAAGGAGAAGATCCTAAAAGTTTCCAGAGCCTAAAGAAAAAAAGAAAAAGAAAATGTCATCAGAGTCCTCAATAGCAATGCTGGAACCTAGAAGACAATGGAGGAATAAATGCCTTTAAAATTCCAAGTGAAAATTATTTTCAACCTAGAATTTGGTATCAAAACTACCAATCAAGTATGAAGAGAGAATAAATCAGACATGCAAGAATTTGAAAAATTGATCTACCATGTTCCTTTTCCTAGGAAGATACTGGAGATGTGTTCCACCAAAATAAGCGAATAAATCAAGAAAGAGGGAAACATGCGATTCGGAAAGCAGGAGAGGAAAGAAGGTAAGCCCCAGGCTAACAGTCAAGCAGGAGGCCTCGAGAGCAGCCAGAACACTAGGCAGGAAGATGGAGGTTGGGGGATGAGGAAGAGGATGGGAACTCACAGATTATCTGAATCATTTGTGCATGCAGTAAGAAAATCATATTGAGCCCAGGCATGGTGGCTTACACCTAGAATCCCAGCACTTTGGGAGGCCGAGGGGAGCAGATGACTTGAGACCAAGAGTATAAGACAAGTCTGGGCAACACAGCAAGACCCTGTGTGTACAGATAATTTTAAAAACTAGCCAAGTGTGGTGGTGTGCACTTGTGTTCCCAGCTACTTGGAAGGCTGAGGCAAGAGGATCACCTGAGCTCAGTGTTAGGTTTTGAAGGGAAGGTGAAGGTTAAAGAAAGACACACACACAGCAAGAGGGTGGCTCAACAGCAAATGCAGGCTCTATGTCCAGCATAAACCTATACAAGTGGGAAACTAGCCTAATGCCAGAGCCCACCACTGCTTACAGGCTAGGGGTACTTATAGGTATGGGTGGGAGGGGTCTGGGCAGTATGGCTTGCTGCCCAGCGGGATATTGATAAGATGTTCCCATGATGAGGCAGTTCTGGCCCTTATTCCCGTGGGATGTCATCATAGTGTTCCTTGGACCTTTGCCCAGCGAGATATGATAGGGATATTTCTTTAGTTGGGCCTTTGTCTACCTTGTGGTCAGGTGATTAAGAAGGATGTTTCTCACAGCCCGAATGCCTGGGAAATGTTTCACTTTGACCAAGGGTTGCAAAATAGTGGGGAAGCTTAAAATGGTGCAGTTTGGACTAACACCCAGGAGGTTGAGGCCGCAGTGAGCCATGATTGTGTCACTGTACTCCAGCCTGGGGGACAGAGCAAGACCTTCTCTCCAAAAAAAAAAAAAAAAAAAAAAAAAAATCATATTGAGAGGGATGTGTAAGACCTGTTGGACATTTGGGGAAAATTGGTGATAGTTCCATGCAAAACAAGCAAATGGAGACAATCAAGACAATTATTCAGTCCAAGAAAACCAAAACATTGTTCAAAAAAGGGAAACCTTATCAGAATACGAATATTTCATTGATTCTCACTCACATGCACATGTTTTCACATTTTAATGAGTCTGAAGTTGGGACGTGTCTTTCAGTTAAAGACATCTGACAGTCACATTCAGCCAGGTGCAGTCTTGATGTTGTCATGCCTGTGCAGGTATGAACTTAGTCATTTTTTCTGGTGTTCTGACCAGACAACAGCAACCCCTCGACGTTTCAGTCCACAAACCATTTTAGGATCACATGAGGGAAGAATGTGAGTCCTGGTGTGTCAGAAAACCTGTAGGCATCTTTTGGTATCGTGCTCATTCTATAAGCATCCAGACTTGCAGGATGATGTCAATGGCATGGAAGAAAATTGTGGAGATCAGAGTCCTTTAAGAATTATTGCAACACTGACACCTAGGTAGTTCAAAGAATGATTCTCTAAACAGACAAACAGCAAAAATGAGCACTGACAACTCTAAAAAGTGATTCAGAAGAGATGAACACTGAATTCAAAGGTTTAAGGATACTCAATTTTGCGTATTTTTTTGTATGCCAAGATTGATATATGATAAAACATATGTCTGAATAAGAGCACTTTCAATATGTATACGTTAAAATTTTAACTAATAAGAGCATTTGATTGGCAGCAATTTTGTTTCTCAGTGGTTCATATTACAAGTTGATGGTGCCATATATTCAGTGAAATCTGGGGTACTGGCTGTAAATACCAATGTTGATTTTAATTAAAACTGTCATTATAATGGGAGGATGGGGAGATGGGAAATGTTACGTGTGCTTTGGTGCGGGGAAGAACGGTGGTGGGTAAGTGGGAAAAATCTTCACCTCTGTAACAGGAATTCAAAAGATGAAGACTGAGATTGATACATATTTTTTAGAAATCGATTTTAAAAAACAGAGAAACAACTAAAAGAGGTGAAGGTGGTTGTCCTTGGGAAAAGGGGTGGGCTATGGGAGGAGTGGGTCGTCGGAGTTTTAATTAATACATTTTAATACTATTTAACTTTTTAAACTCTGTGCATCACTAATTTGATAAAAATAATTTTTGAAATAAATTAAAAATAAATAAATGGTCTCAAAAAAGCCATTCTGTGCTGTTCTCTCTATAAACCTATATACTTTTTTGGGGGCATATGGCCTAACTTTTGGTTAGAGAAATCTATTCACTGTGAGAGGCTGCAGGATGTAGCAGAAAGAGCTTAGTTCTGGTGTCAATTGTCTGGAGTCATCTTGGGTTTCTCGTTTACTAGCTGTGTGACCTTGGGCAACTTGCTCCACCTCTCTGGACTTTAGTGTTCTTCCCTGTAAAACAAGCAAAAGGCTATGTGTTTCACTGTTTTCTGTGAGGATCAAAGAGAAAAAGTGTGTCAAGTCCCTGGCACAGTGCCTGTCCCACTGTTGAATTCAGCGTAACTTTAACTCCTCTTATGGTACAGCCCCCTCTTCAATGGAATCAAGGCTGACCCCTTTGGTGTGCTCCTCTGCTCAGAGACTCGAGGACCCTTTGCTCATGCGGTCCTCGCAGAGCCGCCCACCGTCCGGGGCTTTTGGCCTGCACAACTGCAATGTTTGTGGCTCGTTGCTCTTTTCTGTCCCCAGAAGCCCTGAGATTTCTTATTTATGGCCCTCTCTTCTCTCATATCAGGCTCAGCCTGGGAGTTGATGGGTCCTGAGTATGACAGTGCTCGGTTGTTTCTGTCCAGATGAACACCGTGGCTCTGTGGCCAGATTCAGGGTCCTTTGCTCTTCTCCAAGGTCTGGGAGACACAGAAGCCTGGGCTCCAAACTTGTCACTCATCTCCTGAATCCAGGGTGTGCAGGAGTCAGCCTCCCTCTGCCTCACAAAGCAGCCATCACCAGGGCAGGTTGGCTGTGGGCTGGAAAGCAGAGAGAGGTCTGCTGCTCGCTCTCCCGGCCCCCTGCCTCCCCTCCCACACTGCGGCCTCTGGGGCTCTGCAGGCAGTGACTTCATGGCTAGAAACAGCCTTGTTAGAAATTAAAAGCAGGTGGGCTCTTTTTTTTCCCCTCCCCATTTGGAAGACAGAGCTGCTTTCTCAGGGCTCCCTCTCCCAGGACAGATAGGCAGTTCATGTTTATACACGTGACCCAGAAATATATAATGAGCCACGCCAGGGCTGTTGACATTGCCTGGACGTGGAGGGCATCACGCCTCCCTTCAGCTGCTGTTCAGAGAGAGTAGAGGCAGAATAGATGAAGGGGAAGAAGAGATCCTGGGTTGGGGACAGCCCTCTCCTAATGCCATGGGCATGTGAGAACATGGCACTGTCCTGCAGGTCCCCACATGAAAGCTGTGTCCCCAGACACATTACCCCACGGCAGAGCATGAGTGATGCTACCAGGGAAGCTGGGAGGAAAGTGCAGACAGTGGGGGTGGGAGGGAGGAGAGCAATTAGGAAAGGGGAAGTCCTAGCCCTTAAGACTGTGGGAACACACATAACCTTTGGAATCAGAAATGTGGGTTCCAGTCCCTGCTCTACACGAGGTTCTGTGTGACTTGCTTAGGTCACACAGAACCTTGGTTTTCCCCATCTGTTAAGGAAAAAGCCCAGAGTTGTCAACAGAAAATTAAATCTCTTACATTCAGGGTTTGCCAAATCTTTTCTCCCTTCCTGCCTGCCGCTGAGTTGAGGGCCATCTGGCACAGAATAGGCGCATTCCCCACCCAGGGCCTGGGGTGGGATTGAAGGTCCTTCGGCCACTTCCAGCTCCCTGGCTGACTCCGAGGGCAGATCTGCGTGGGGATGATGAAAGATTCAGAAGCTGTTCCTCCAGGCCTCCTCTGACACAAGCAGGCAGTGGGGTGTTGGGCTGAGGGTGCCCACCTGTGAAAGACCTCTGGGTAAGGAGATTGGGAGCCCTCCCACGTCCATGTGGATGTAGTGAGAGGAGCCCTCACCCTGCAGACCAGCCCTCCTTCACAGCTTCATGTCCACTCCCGACACTGGCTGCTGCCTGCTCTGCCAGTGAGTGGCAGTAAATGACACAGCCATGTGATGTCTGTGTGCTCCTATGTTCCTCCCCCAGGCCACAGAGTGGGCCTCCAGTGAGGACACGCGCCGCTCCTGCCAAAGCAAAGGGAAGACTGAGGTACGTGGTCTCGGCGGTCCAGGGGCCCCACCTGGAGCTGGAAGGAGGCCTGTGGTTGTGGGGATGGAGCAGCACTGTGTGGACTGAGGTCCCCTGCTAGAGAGGCCTGGCCAGGATGAGCTGGGGCTCCTTGGGCAGGTGAGGATAACAGCCCTGTGGCGAGCTGGTCCTGAGCATCTGAGTGAGCAGTGATGCGGAGAAATGACCTTGGTGGGAGGGGACGTCCACAGACGTGACCCGGACGTCGGGACAGGTGGATCTGGGGTCAAGGGGAGTGTTTAGAATACTTGTTGGCATCCATGACGCAGTGGTGTGAGCGTGAGATATCCAGCATCGCACCTGGAGAGCTGTGCTGTCTGCTCCTTTCCTTCCTGCCTCAGGAGGAGTGTCAGAACTACGTGCGAGTCCTGATCGTCGCCGGCCGGAAGGTGTTCATGTGTGGAACCAATGCCTTTTCCCCCATGTGCACCAGCAGACAGGTGGGCACCTCAGGGTGGAGGAGACTGAAGGGGGCACCATGCCGGGGGTTCTCCTGCCTAGGCACACAGCCTTGAAGGGGGGTTACCAAATTTTGCAAACAGACACCCAAAACAGAAACAAAAGGACACCCAGTTAGATTTGGAGTTCAGATAAACAATAAGTGATATTTTAGCATAAATGTGTCCCATGAAGTGTCTGGGACAAACTTATACTAAAAATTTACTCCCTGTTCGTCTGAAATTCAAATTGAGCTGGGCCTTCTGTATTTTGTTGGTCAGCCTTACCTTGGAGGGTCCTGACTGGGGCTGGAGGCAGATGGAGCTACTGGGAGGACCTCTCCCTCACTGAGGGCTGCTCCCTCAGAGGGACCATGAGCTGAGCAGTGAGATGACGCTGGAGGAGGGGAGAGGCCCAGAGAGACTGGGGCACAGGAGGAAACAAAACTCAGATGGAAAGAACAGGCAGCCCCAGGGCCTCAGGGAAAAGTGTCCCCTTCTCCCCATTGTCCCCAGGTGGGGAACCTCAGCCGGACTATTGAGAAGATCAATGGTGTGGCCCGCTGCCCCTATGACCCACGCCACAACTCCACAGCTGTCATCTCCTCCCAGGGGGAGCTCTATGCAGCCACGGTCATCGACTTCTCAGGTCGGGACCCTGCCATCTACCGCAGCCTGGGCAGTGGGCCACCGCTTCGCACTGCCCAATATAACTCCAAGTGGCTTAATGGTAAGGAGGCCCCAGTGCCAGGGGTGGGGACTCCCCTGGTTTTGAGCCCACCAGCCCACCCTGAGCCCCCCATTCATCCTCCTTCCTGCCAACCTCTGCAAGTGCTCCCACTTGCCTCATCAAGGAAGAGGTCCAGAGTAGGGCAGAGTAGACCAGAGCATGCTAGAGATGGGCCCCAGACGAAATCACAGGTGATGTCCCGAGGCCACAGAACAGATGGAGGGTGGGCTATTAGGAGAGACGGAGATAATTAGGAATTGTTTAGGAAAACAAGTTATGGATAAGAAAAAATTACGGGGCCAGGTATAGTGGCTCATGCCTGTAATCCCAACACTTTGGGAGGCTGAGGCAGGAACATCTCTTGAGGCCAGGAGTTGGAGACCAGCGTGGGCAACATAGCAAGACCCTGTCTCTAAAAATAAAAATAAAAAATAAATCAGCCAGGCGTGGTGATGCATGCCTGTATTCCTACCTACTCAGGAGACTGAGGTGATAGGATGCCCTGAGCCTAGGAGTTTGAGACTGCAGTGAGCTATGATCGCATCCCTGAACTCCAGCCTGGGTGAAAGAGCAAGAGCCAGCCTCTTAAAAAAGAAAGAGAGGGAGGGTATGGAAAGGGCCATATGAGTTTCCTAGCCCTTGGGGTTGAACCCCTGCTTCCTCACTAACTATTAGGTTGGCGCAAAAGTAATTGCAGTTTTTGCCATTAAAAGTGATGGTGAAAATTGCGATTACTTTTGAACCAACCTAAATAGCTGTGTGTCCTTGAGCAAGTACTTAACCTCTCTGTGCCACAATGTTGTATCTGTAATATGGGGATAATCATAGGATTTACCTCATATGTTGAAGGACTGGATTAATCCACATAAAGTACTTAGGATGGTGTCTGGCACCCAGTGAGAGGTGGGCGGTAACACATGTTTAATATTACAGCTGCCCTTGGTATTGGAAGTGGGAAGAGAGTTAGTTAGGGCCCCCAGGTCACCAAGATTGCAGAGAGAAGGATGTCAGGATGCCCATCTGGGAAAACCGAAGTAGTTGAGTCCTCCCGACTCTGCCATCTTCTTCCCCGCTGGCCTGCCCTGCCCCTTGTTCCTCTTCTGCCCACCCAGAGCCAAACTTCGTGGCAGCCTATGATATTGGGCTGTTTGCATACTTCTTCCTGCGGGAGAACGCAGTGGAGCACGACTGTGGACGCACCGTGTACTCTCGCGTGGCCCGCGTGTGCAAGAATGACGTGGGGGGCCGATTCCTGCTGGAGGACACATGGACCACATTCATGAAGGCCCGGCTCAACTGCTCCCGCCCGGGCGAGGTCCCCTTCTACTATAACGAGCTGCAGAGTGCCTTCCACTTGCCGGAGCAGGACCTCATCTATGGAGTTTTCACAACCAACGTGTGAGTCCTGCCCTCTGCCAGCCCCTTGCCTGTGATGTCAGGAGCTGGCCTGGCCTCATGGCCTGGTGGGCTTCATCTATAAAATGGGGACTGCCGTGCCTCCTGCCGGGGGTCATCTGAGGATTTTGTGACTTACTGCTTCTGGAGCGGTAAGCTCGTGTTCTGGGTTGCTGGGAAGGGCAAGCCTAGGCCAGAGATGAATAAAGCAAATAAATCTGCCTTAGGCTGCATGAAGGAGGAACATGCTGGTGATGAAGGTGGAAAAGCCTGCCTTGGATGAGGGGATATAGCCATGTAGGGGAGGGGAGCAGGCAGCAATAGCCACAGGGAGGCTCAACAGGAATTCACTAAGGTCCCTTCCAACCTCAGGACTATGTGATTCTGCTCAATCTAACCAGCAGTCTTCTGGTAACCCTGCCATCACCTCCCATCTAGACTGTGCTGGAAAACCAGGCTGGGAATGGCAGCCCCTTTTGCTTCCTAGGTGTGAGGACGAGTAACCCTCACAGATCATGGGACCCTCCTCCCACCCCCTCCCTCTGTGTAAGAGGCTAACCCAAACAGGTGACTTTCCTATAGACCAAGCTTGTCCAGCCCAAAGCCTTTGGGCTGCATGTGGCCCTGGACAGCTTTGAATGAGGCCCAACACAAATGTGTAAACTTTCTGAAAACTTTACGATACTTTTTTTCTTTTTCTTTTTTTTTCTTTTTTCTTTTTGTTTGAGACGGAGTCTTGCTCTGTCGCCCAGGCTGGAGCGCAGTGGGGCAATCTCGGCTCACTGCAACCTCTGCCTCCTGGGTTCAAGCGATTCTCCTGACTCTCAGCCTCCAGAGTAGCTGGGACTACAGGCACGTGGCACCATGCCTGGCTAATTTTTTGTATTTTTAGTAGAGATGGGGTTTCACTGTGTTAGCCAGGATGGTCTCAATCTCCTGACCTCGTGATCTGCCTGCCTTGGCCTCCCAAAGTGCTGGGATTACAGGTGTGAGCCACCACGCCCAGCTGGCAATATTTTTTTTTTTCTCATCAGCTATCGTTAGTGTTTAGTGTATTTTATGTGTGGCCCAAGACTACTCTTCTTCCAATGTGGTCCAGGGAAGCCAAAAGATTGGACACCCTGATATAGACAGTGATGGGTGGGCACCGAGACCAAGGAAGGCACTGGCTGCACAGTGTGCTTTGTAGGAACACCAGAAGCCTATAAGGCATGGAGTGGTGTTTGCTCACTTTGGGCCCCAGATAGCAGGCACTGGATGAGGGCCAGGCTAGCTATAGGAAAGACAGTGTGAGGGGGTGGACCGAAACGAGAGTCAGGAGTAGGTGGAGAGGCATCGAAACTGACGCCATCAGTGTGGATTCTAAATAGTGTATTGATTGCATGCCTTCTCCATGCAGGTGCCTGTCCTGGTAGGGGTGCGGCGTCACAAAAGCAGACATGGTTCAGCCTTTAAAAGCTTAAACAGGGTGATGGATATTAAACAACAAATTTTAATCATGAGAAATGCTACAAAGGGAAAGGGCAGTGTGCAGAAAAGCCTCTAACAGTATAGAGGAGTGGTGATCAGGGAAAGCTTCCTGTAGGAAGTGACATCTATAAGATGAATAGGAATAAACTAAGGGAGAGGAGCATTCCAGCCTGAGGGAATATGTGCAGAGGTTTGAGGTGGGAAGAAATGTTTCAGGAGCTGAGCAGAGATCAGTGTGGCAAGACATTTAAGGGTGAGGAGAAGAAAGACAGGAAGGAGGGTGAAGGGGTAGGGCAGGGAGGGTATGTCCCAAAGGACATTGCAGACTGCTTTAATCTTTATTGTAAGAGCAAGGAGAAATTATTGACAGGTTTGAAGCAGTCCAGCGACCAGCTCGGAGGTGCATTTTGAAACGCTCACCACTCTGGCTGCCATGTGGAGAATGGATTAGGATACTAGACAGGCTGCAGGCAGACCACCAGGAGGACAATGCAGCATTCAGGGGACTAGAGGGGGGCTGAAACCAGGCAGAGGTGGAGAGAAATGGACACATTTGGGAGAAGAACTAAATGCGAAGAATATAACTGGAGGCGTTTGGTATGGTGGTTTCCTCTCTGTGAGCTGTTCATGTAAGATTCATGGAAACATGCTTCTGTGACTGAAAGGGTCTCCTGGGTCATCTGAACTCAGGGTGTGGCAGGCTATGGCATAACTCAGTGGTTTGGTAATCAGCTTTTGTAAATAAATAAATCAGAATAGAATGGAATAAAATATCAGAGTGTTAACATATTTAGTAAGGGTAAGTTCATAAAACTTCTTTATGGATGTGTGCATATTATACTGAGTTGTAGGGTAAAATATATCTCTTACCACGGTCCATGGACTACAATGTTTGAAAGCCACTGTATTTCAGCGCCCCCGAATAAGGGAGGGAGGGAGGGAGGCAGTAGCACAGAAGGATTCACCAGTGCCTCTTGTCAGTGGGTCGTTCCCAGGGGGTTTACAGAATGTGAGGACCACATCTCCTCCCTTTGAGATCCCCCCATGTGCCAGACACATCATAGATGCTTACAGAGCCTTGGGAATTGGACATGACAGCTGGCTGTGGGGTTTATGAGGAGGGTGCCAGGTCTTACAGGGAGGGCCCTGTGCCACCACTTCTTGCCTTTCAGAAACAGCATCGCGGCTTCTGCTGTCTGCGCCTTCAACCTCAGTGCTATCTCCCAGGCTTTCAATGGCCCATTTCGCTACCAGGAGAACCCCAGGGCTGCCTGGCTCCCCATAGCCAACCCCATCCCCAATTTCCAGGTACAGAATCTCCTCCTCTTTCCCTGTCTTCACACACTGCCTTACCCCCAGATTACCAGCCACAAGCTGATTCCCAACTGCTTAGCACAGACAGACACCAGACCCGTCCCTGCCAGTCCATGCCCATCTCTGGGGTCCACAATGGTTCCCTGAGGGTATTAGCCTCTACAACTGTGAGGGAGAGTGGGTGAGGGGCAGTGCGAGGAAGCATGCTCCGAGCCATCTCTAAATGTGAGCCCACACCTCCAGGGAGGCAGGGAAGTGGGACCTCAGCTCTCCACAGTGTAGAGGACCAGGAAAGCACTACACAAGCTGTCTGGCTGGAATTTGGGAATGTTAAGCAGAGCTTTCTCGCAGTGTGTTCAACATGGGTACTAATTCCTGGAAGTGGTCAGTGCTAGGAGTGGTCAGGGTGTGGTCAGGGCCCAGCCGTGGGTAGTGTGAGTATCCCCCATCCCCATGGAGAAAGGGAAAGAACCAGGGGGCAGAGGAGGCTGCTGATGGTTGACTTTCGTGTTCGCCCAGCTTCCCACCCAGGGGGTGGGATGGAGCTGGGAAAGACCTCAAGCTTTGCAGTCCTACCATCTAGCCTATCTCTGTGTGACCTTGGACAAAAAAGTCATCCAACCTCCTTCAGTCTCCTTTTCCTTATCTGGAACTAGGGATAATACTGTAAGAGATAATACCTCACAGATATGTGAGAAGGTTCATATGCCTGGAATGTAGGAGATGCTCAGAAGGCTTCCAGCTTTGGTTTAGAAATCATAAGAACTTTGAGCTGGCAAGGACACAGGAGAGGGACAGCAGGCTTGGCCCAAGGTAGGAGAGGGGAGCCTGCAGCAACAGCATAAAAATCACCGGACACTCGTCCACACTCAAAGTATCCGTTTTTAGATAGTCCAGTCCCCTTTGCTCTCCTCCCTCCTCTTCCCCAACCCTGGCAGGATCCTCCTTCCCCATCTCCCCAGTCTCCTGTTCTTAGTTCCCAAAGAAGAGGCATCCCACCCTGGAAAGGGTGCAGGACGCCCAGCAGGGATGCTAGGGGTGGGGGGTGCTGGAGAATCAGCGTCCGCTGCTGTGGCCACCTGGGTTGCCAGGAGGAGGGAGCCGGCGGGGGATGGCGGCAGCCCTGGTGGCCGGGGCGCGCGTGACCTGGCTCCCCGCGGCAGTGTGGCACCCTGCCTGAGACCGGTCCCAACGAGAACCTGACGGAGCGCAGCCTGCAGGACGCGCAGCGCCTCTTCCTGATGAGCGAGGCCGTGCAGCCGGTGACACCCGAGCCCTGTGTCACCCAGGACAGCGTGCGCTTCTCACACCTCGTGGTGGACCTGGTGCAGGCTAAAGACACGCTCTACCATGTACTCTACATTGGCACCGGTGAGCCGGCCCGGTCCAACCTGGACTGCAGGTCGGGGGTGGGTTGAGGGACGGCGCGGGGCTGCAAGCTTCCGGGGCCTTCAAGGCCACCTTGGTCTGGCTCCCCCTCTCCTCCAGAGTCGGGCACCATCCTGAAGGCGCTGTCCACGGCGAGCCGCAGCCTCCACGGCTGCTACCTGGAGGAGCTGCACGTGCTGCCCCCCGGGCGCCGCGAGCCCCTGCGCAGCCTGCGCATCCTGCACAGCGCCCGCGCGCTCTTCGTGGGGCTGAGAGACGGCGTCCTGCGGGTCCCACTGGAGAGGTGCGCCGCCTACCGCAGCCAGGGGTAAGCCGGGACGGGGCGGCTCCCGAGGCCTCCACTGCGGAGGAGGCGCTTAAGAGGCGGGGCTTTGGACCCGGGAGACCTGGGGTCGGTCCCTGCAGTCTCCACTAGTGTGCCTTAGGACAAGTCACTCCACCTCGCTGAACCTTGGTTCTCTCCTCGTAAAACATCTTGCAGGGTTTTTGTGAGGGTTAATTGAGATAATCTCCATAAAGCACTTATCAGTACCTGGAGGAAGTGTGTGCTTAGCAAATTTTGGTGGGTGGCTGTTGTTATCCCTGTTGTCAAACACATAGCTAGGGCCAGTCAACCATCTCTAGCCCACTTGATTTATTCTCAGTCCTTTCTGTACAGAGAGTTCTTTATCTTTGAAGCCACAGCACTTATTGCCCAGATGTGGGGACAGATGGAGATGATGCTTTGAGTCAGCCCCACGTTTTTGCTCCTCTTGCTTCCTTCCTTAGAAGAGGTAGAGAGGGCTGCTGCAGGTAGGGCAGAGGTGAGGCGCCACGTGGAGGAGTTGCCCTGGCTTCCCACTGCTTCTGAACTTGGTTCTTCATGCCGTAGCTTCAAGCGGACTCACAGATTTGACAACTGTGGCATCAGTGTTTAAGGGGGAAACCAAAGCCTATTCCAAAGCCAAATGGAAATGTAGCCCAGACTCCTACCACCCGAGGCTCTCCCAGGCTGCATGGCCTCATTTTCATGATACTCAGAAGCTGGCACCACCACAGCCATGCGAGCTTCTGTGGCCTTTGCAACCGAGAGTCCTGGCTGTGCCATCTGTCCTCAAGATTGGGAAGACAAATGGTATCCATGATACAGGGCTGTTCTTCAGCTCCAGTGGGGTGTGCTCGGAGCTGGGCAGAGGCCTGTGGGGCCAAGAGGAGCTGGATGGTCTTGGTGAGGCAGCCAAGGAGGGGGAGTCTCAGGGCAGACACTCCAGCTCCCTTCAGCCCCAACACAAGTCTCCATCAGCGAGACACCACACACTTACTAAGACATACCATGTTCAGGACACTTTGTAAGACTGTTGGTGTGAGAGAAGGCAAGAGAAATAGGCCCCGAACACTGATTTCCCTCAGATCTCCAGATATCTGGGTGGGAAGAGAACCTTGGCCTATATCAGACATGTGGGGAGAGATGGTCGGGTGTGGGGGGAAGGACTCACATGGTGGAACCAGACACACCTGGGGCTCCATCTCAACTCCATCATCTACTAACCGTATGATCTTGAACAACTAAATCTTTTTGAGCTTCGGCTCTCTCATCTGGAAAACGGGGAGACATTTGATGGAGCAAATGATGTTTAACAGGCAGAGTTGTAAGGATTGGGACTAGTATTCATAAAGTGCCCAGTCTAGCAAATCACAAGAGGTAGCTGGTATCTTTATTACTTCTTATCTCCCCAAATGCATTTAGGAGCCCTCCAGCCTCCTAGGCCCTCTGGAGTCTCATTGAATATAGTCAGTACAGCTTGGCAATGAATCACAGGCTTTCACATATGGCTTGTTCTCCAAGAGGTTGTAAATCCTTAAAGGCAAACCCAGTGTCTCAGTATTTTTTATACTCCACCAGGGAGTCCCACCCAGCCCAAGGCACCAAGTGGCCTTCCACACATGACTGATCCTTCAGTTGACTGACTCTTTGGCGTGAGAGGAGTTTGGCGCAGGAGAAACATGGGGAATGGGACTGGAAACTGGATTGAGGCCAACTGAGAAGGCCAAAGGAGGACTTCGACTTGAATCCTGTGGCTGTGGGCACTGGAGTGGTCCTAGAGCAGTGGAGTGCAGTCACGGGCTGTGTGAAAAGATCAATCAGACAGTGGTGAACAGCACTGTCATGTATCAGGTGGATGGTCCAGGTGGCCTAGTATGGCTCTAAGCCAGATCTGAAGGAACGGGGCCTGCAGTGGACGGGAGGAAGGAAAGGGGCTGGGATGTTCAGCTCCAGTGGGGTGTGCTAGGGAGGCCTGCGCTCACATTCTGCAGAGAGGGGCTGGGGAGCTTGTGTAGTGTGCCCATTGCACTCTTGCCCTGGAGCAAGGCACAAAGAGGTCAGTTTGGAGTTTGGTGCTTTCATCCTATTTTGTTTCCTGACTTTGGGATAGGAGCCCTTGATGTGTACAGTGAAAACCCTGCTAAAAAACTATAGGTGAATCCAAAAAGTATGAAACGCAAGGTCACATTATCAGAAGATTAGAAAAATGGCTAGATTAAGTACACACAGTCACCAAGCTGTGTACCCCAGGAGTCTGGGAGCAAACTGCCACAATATATTAGAATTTGCACTGCTGTGGGGAGTGTTGTCACAAGGTTTTACTGTGTCCTAGGATAGGCATTTCATGCTTTTTCCCTCATGCCTTCCAAAACTGGCAGGAAGATGAGGGTGGGTAAGCAGAGGCCTCTTCAGGCTCCCTCCTCTGCCCAGGATCCAGGGGTTATCTCCAACTGCCTCTTTTCACTCAGGAGAATCTCAGCCCCACGGGGCACCTCCAAGACCTGGCCTGGCCAGAGAGAGATCAGTGCTCCCACGAGGAGGAGCTGGGGAATAAACTGCTGACTGGCTCTGCAAAGCGGGTGTTTTATGCATGAACCACCCCTTTCCTCCTTCCAGCATGCCTTTCACCCTGCCTTTGAGAGGGGTAACCTACCCCCAACTCATTCACAGATCTCCCCTGGCTGCCCCATGAGCACAGGGAAGGCCCACTCTCAGCCATTTTTTTGCTCACAAGCTTCAGAGATACCTTTTCCACCCTGGACAGCTCCCACTGTGAGACTACTACACCACAGTGCTGGAATCAGCCTGCCTGCAACTTCCACCATCCATCTCTGTCACACCTCCGAGCCCATGGAATGAACCTGTTCCTTTTTGTAATGGCTGCTTGAGACATTGCAGTAAAAAAAAAAAAAAAAAAAAAAAAAGACATGGTGATATATTATTGGTCTGATGGCTCCTTTATGAAAAGGACTCTAAACTGCCACCCATTTCCACAGTCAGAGACACACTTTAAGTCTCTTATCCTTGGAGCTTTCATTTTTCTTAAGAGTGTTCCCTGCTCTGTAAGCTTTGAAGTGGCCTTTGGCCAAAAGCAGCAAACGTGGTTCCACTTGAGCCAAGGAGGCAGTTATCCCTTTTATTCACAAGAAGAGAGCTCGGGCACTGGCCTCAAGAAGCCTCAGGGGTCCCCTCAGGCTGCCAGGGAAGGGGCAGGGCAGGCGTGTCCATGAAGAATCTGGTATCCTCTTTCTTCTCTGGGACTTAATTGAGGGCAGGGGAAGCTGAAGGGGTGAGAGGGCTTGGAGAAAGGAGACTGGAGCCAGCATCTACTCCACGTTTTTCTTCTTTGCTATTCTGCCATGGTTTGGAAAGACAAGACACTTCATCCCTTGGCTTGGGAATCTTGACAAAAGTGGCCCCTGGCACAGCAGTTCTCAACCATGGGTACACAGCAGAGTTACCTGGGGGGTATTTAGAAGATTCCAGTGCCTGGGCCTATTCCAGTCCAAAAAGCCAAAGTATAGGTTGGTGGGCTTTTTGTTTTGTTTGCTTACGCTTTTTAAAGGATGCCCAGGAGATCCTAATTTGCAGTGAAGCCTGGGAACTCCTGCTGTAAAACTGGTTAGGCTCTAGATGGAAGAAGGAGCAAGAGGCCAATTGCATTTCTCCAGAATCTTCTGCATTTGTCTTACATAAGCTGATTCAGGTTTTCTGCTCTTACCCATTTTCTCTGCTGGCAGACATTTGTTTTTGATTAATAGAATATTGTTTATTATTATTATTAGTCACTAGCTATGGCTAATTCTTTTTTCCAGTTAATTTGTGTCACTTATAATGCCACGTAAGCTGCCTGTAAGAGGTTGATGCCCCTTTTTGAGTGCTGAAGGAAATAAATTCAGGAGTGGGCTTTGCTGAGTTCTCATTGGTTGAATTTGCTAGCAGTCCTCTTGATCCCAATGTCAGCCAGTAAGCAGAGTCTCAAAACCACAGGTTGCTGGGACTACTTGTGTACATGTGTTGCATGTAGTCCCACGATGTCCAGTTTGATGGACTCTACTGATAAAACACCCTCAAATCAAACCATTGATCCCAGAGGAAAATATGACCACATTTATCTTGTACAATTTACCCAAATTGTCCTTGAGTGAATAAACTGGAAACAGATACCCCAGCAACAGTTAAGTATTCTGGATTCCTGGGTGGGCCACAGTGTGCTCACCGGGCTCCCATGATTGCCTCGCTTATATGAGGCTGCGGGTTGGCCAAGAGCAGCAGATAGTACTGTCTTCTTTGCCCTCCTTTGCTGACAAGGAGAAGCCCCACCCTCTTCTTTGTATAATTAACCTCATTTTTCTCTGGGGCCTGACATGATCTATTGAACCCACTGCAAGTTAAGAATTCACCTGACAGGTTACTCTCCCTGAAGCTTCAAGAGATAAGAAAAATTCTACCCCAGGGATGCCAAGAGCTGCAACTCTTAGCTCTTCGTTTGTTCTTGGTGTATCTCTTTAGCCCTAGGCATCTTTGGCCCCTTTGTCCAATGGGAAGATCCCCCTGCAAACTCACAGAATGTTGTGAACTCCCCGCCAGGCTCCATCTTCTTTGCAGTCCAGTACATCCTTCTCCAAAGCCTCTTCTGTTTTCCAACCTCCAATTTCTGAGCCCATGCTTAGTGCTCTCTCCAGACCCTCTTCAGCAGACTGGCTCAGAAGGGGGTGGAAGCTGGGGACAGGAACCAGAGGGATCGAGGTATCCCCCAGGATTGGCAGTGGGCTGAATGTTGGAGGGACCCTCCTTCTGGCACCAGGATTGGATACTCTCTGTACTTAGCAATGGATAGCAAAGCCTGATTCCATAATCCCCACAGACTTTTTCTCCCCTTTCAAGTCCTACTAGTGGAGATTAGATTTTTCTGTTAAAAAATTACATGAAGACATCAAAAGGAGAAAAAGAAGAAAGAAGCTCTGGACTATGAGAAGTGGAGGCATTTGGGGCATGCATCAGTGTGTGAACCAGTTATCATTTTGGGGCCACTGTAGAGAGACCAGCCCTCAGGGTTGAGGAACCGAGAACTGGGATGTGACCGCCTACAGCTTGAGCTCATTCTCAAGATGCTAAAGCACTAGACTCTGATTCCTGCCACTAAGCAGCACAAGCATGTGGGTGCTCCAGGTGACCATGGACAGTACCCAGGTGTCTGCCGATCCTGCGCTGTGTTTTGAGGGATGGGCTCATATTCAGTGTGTGAAATCAGACACAACCTCCCGTGGGAAGCAGAAGTGTGAGGGGAAAAGCGTGGTCAGAAAGCTTAGGTCTGGGCCCAGCTCCACCACCTATGATCTGTGTGATCTCAGGGAAACTACTTATCTCCTTGCCTTGGTACAATGAAAAGGTTGTATAGTGGATCCCAGAGGTTCTCAGCCTCGCTCCCATTAGAATCACCCAGGGAGCTTTTAAACACTACTTCGCCCCTAGAGAGTGTTGAGTGGGGTGGGCTCGGGTATTGGTATGTTTTGAAAGCTCCTCAGGTGATTCTAATGTGCAGCCAGGGTTGAGAACCATCTGTAAGGCTTTTTCCATCTCTAATGTTTTATGACTCTATGATCATAGCATGTGCCAGGGAGGCATTTCCTCTTTGGGTTCCTGTTAACCACATCTGCACCTGTGGCTGTGGGTGAGGAGTATGGGGCACCCATATTTGGGGAAAGCAGTGCCGTCTCTTTTAAACGTGCAGTCTCTGGAGGATGAGGGTTTGAGTCCTGGGTCAGGTCACTGGGTTTCCCCCAGATAACATGGGAATAATAACAGTACCCACTTCATTGGGGTGCTGGATTTAAATTAATTCATGCTTATAAAGTGCTTAAAATGATGCCTTACACACAGTAAAGGCCCAATGAACTTCATTATTATCATGGAGGACAAATGGATGGAAAGTGGTGCACAGAGGGGAGTGTTCACGTGTGTTCCTGAGATGCAGGTGAGGCTGGGAAGCCAGTGGGCTTGAATCTCAGGACGTCTGTCTGGCAGGGCATGCCTGGGGGCCCGGGACCCGTACTGTGGCTGGGACGGGAAGCAGCAACGTTGCAGCACACTCGAGGACAGCTCCAACATGAGCCTCTGGACCCAGAACATCACCGCCTGTCCTGTGAGAATCCCCTTGTGTCCTCCCATCTCAGACCCCTCCTTCAATTCAGGCTATGACTCCCCACCAATATTCCCCCAATCCCCTGAGATCTTATGACTTCCCTGCCCTTGGCTTGGGTAATAGGGGTACTGTCTCCCATGTGTGTCTTCAGGTGCGGAATGTGACACGGGATGGGGGCTTCGGCCCATGGTCACCATGGCAACCATGTGAGCACTTGGATGGGGACAACTCAGGCTCTTGCCTGTGTCGAGCTCGATCCTGTGATTCCCCTCGACCCCGCTGTGGGGGCCTTGACTGCCTGGGGCCAGCCATCCACATCGCCAACTGCTCCAGGTATGTGAGGACAGGGTTTACATGGTGTCTGCCTTGGACCAGGGTGGGGAGAACTAGGGAAACGGGGACCCCTCACTTGGGTGTTTGCACTAAGGGACAGAAACCACTTCAGGGCTGTGCTAGGGACTGGATAGGTGGCTAATATCTGAGGCAGGAAACCTGAGCCCTGAGGGAGTTTCCACGCTAGTGAGAGAGAAGTTTCTATCTCTTGGTGACTCTTGATGCAAAGTGGAATGCTGGGCAGGCATGGAGGTCACTCCTAGACAAAAGCGTGCCTCAGTAAGTCTCATCCCAAACATGAGGAACAGCATGGGATGATGGCAAGGCAAGCAAATCTAGTGCCAATTCCGGATTGCCACTGTCTGGAGGTGTGGCCGTGGCCTAGCCACCTAACCACTCTAAGCTTCTCTTAGTGAGGGTTATAGTACCCACCCAAGAGTTGTTGGGAGGGTTAAATGAGATAAGGTATATACAGAGCTTGCACAGTGCCTGGTACCTGGGGACTCCATTAGACACTTTTTCTTTTTTTGAGACAGCGTCTCACTCTGTTGCCCAGGCTGGAGTGAAGTGGTGTGATCATGGCTCACTGTAATCTCCTGCCTCAACCTCCTGATTAGCTGAGACTACAGGTGCCCACACCATACCCAGCTAATTTTTAAAAATTTTTTGTAGAAACAGGAGTCTCACTATATTGCCTAGGCTGGTCTCAAACTCCTGGCTTCAAGTGTTCCTCCCACCTCAGCGTCCCAAAGCTCTGGGATTACAGGCATAAGCCACCACACCCAGCCTTGGACACTCTTAAAAAAACTATTTCATACACATTTATTAATGTAGCCCTCACAGCAACCTCATGGGGGTAGGAATACAATCATTGTCCTTACTTTAAAGTTAAGAGTACTTTAAAGTTAAGTTACAGAAGGTTCTAGTAACTTGCCCAGGGTTTCACAGCCAGCAAATGGTAGAGCCCAGATTTGAAAATTGGCGTCAGAGTAGGCATGAGTGAGCAGTGTCTGAGGCTGGAGCAAAGCATGTGCAATATAGTACAGGGGACAGAGTGTTGGTTACAGTGCAAGGATTGGGACCAGCCAGGAAGGCTGAAAGGGAGGCTGCAGACTGGAAAGGGGACTAGGGCCTTCTTCTCTAAAGAGTCTGCCCTTTTGGCCCTTGTGAGATGGGGCCATGTCCTACCTCTACGTCCTTAGTCCTGAGCACAGCATGATATATAGAAGAAGGCTCTCAATACATGTCTGAAGGAGGAATAAATGAACGGATGGATGAGCGAGTCTGCCTGAGATGACCTGTTTAGGAGAAGATATTTCTATGTCACTGTCCAGCCCTTTCTGACAGCAGTAGAAAATACATCGGCCCAGAGACAGACTAGATCTAAGAAGCTAGGGCTCAGAGGGGCATCTGTCTCTGTCCCCTCCCACCCCGCCAGGAATGGGGCGTGGACCCCGTGGTCATCGTGGGCGCTGTGCAGCACGTCCTGTGGCATCGGCTTCCAGGTCCGCCAGCGAAGTTGCAGCAACCCTGCTCCCCGCCACGGGGGCCGCATCTGCGTGGGCAAGAGCCGGGAGGAACGGTGAGGGAGAACAGGCTTGCTCTGAGGTCCCAGACTAACCGGGCCCCCCAGAAAGTGGCCTGGATTCTCCTCGTGATCCCGGGGACTCTCGTCCTTTCCGGTCTTGCACTCCCAGGGACCTCTCGTCAGGGAAGGGGGTCCCCCTCCCTGGATTGACGCCTCTCCCCCGACCCCAGGTTCTGTAATGAGAACACGCCTTGCCCGGTGCCCATCTTCTGGGCTTCCTGGGGCTCCTGGAGCAAGTGCAGCAGCAACTGTGGAGGGGGCATGCAGTCGCGGCGTCGGGCCTGCGAGAACGGCAACTCCTGCCTGGGCTGCGGCGTGGTGAGGGTTGGGGCCGTGGGCCAGGGGCGCGGTGTAGGGTACTGGAGCCGAGGGGAGGGCGGGCCTGGAGGCCGTGGGGTTCTAAAGCTGCCTCTGCCGCCACCCGCAGGAGTTCAAGACGTGCAACCCCGAGGGCTGCCCCGAAGTGCGGCGCAACACCCCCTGGACGCCGTGGCTGCCCGTGAACGTGACGCAGGGCGGGGCACGGCAGGAGCAGCGGTTCCGCTTCACCTGCCGCGCGCCCCTTGCAGACCCGCACGGCCTGCAGTTCGGCAGGAGAAGGACCGAGACGAGGACCTGTCCCGCGGACGGCTCCGGCTCCTGCGACACCGACGGTACCCCGCGCCCGGCGCCCCCTCCTTCCTCTCTCCCAGCCCCGGAGCGGTGAGGGCGGGGGCGGGAGCCCCGGGGAGGCCCAGGCCGGGGTCGGGGTGGCCGGGCGCCCAGTCGCTGAGGCCTAGCCCCTCCGCAGCCCTGGTGGAGGTCCTCCTGCGCAGCGGGAGCACCTCCCCGCACACGGTGAGCGGGGGCTGGGCCGCCTGGGGCCCGTGGTCGTCCTGCTCCCGGGACTGCGAGCTGGGCTTCCGCGTCCGCAAGAGAACGTGCACTAACCCGGAGCCCCGCAACGGGGGCCTGCCCTGCGTGGGCGATGCTGCCGAGTACCAGGACTGCAACCCCCAGGCTTGCCCAGGTAACCCTGCACGGAAGGAATCCTTGGCCTAGCGAAACCCTGTCATCCTGGAGGCCCCCTTCCCCGCCCCAGGCCTACCCAGGAACCCCAATGCCCAGGTGACCCCTTCTCCCTGCCAACTCTGTGCTAGGGACCCCCAGAGCAAATTTCTGCCCCGGCCGTAGATGCAATGGCTACTCCGGTGGAGTACGGCCTCAACTTATCCTCCCTGTCCCTTTTTTTTTTTCACCTTTCTTAGTGAGTTAGACAGGTAAGAAGCTTGATTGGAGGTGGAGTCGGTCTCTCTCCCTCCGGGTGTCTCTGCTGCTTCCTGCGTTTCCCTCACCTGCCGCATGGAGTGGGGGCACTCCCTAACAGTGGACTGTTGGGTGGCGGGTGGATCGGGTGGATGTTGAGGTCACTGTGGCTCAGGGCAGAGTGGTCTGGGCTGGTATGGGATGGAAGACCGTCTTGGGCCCTGGCTGCCCCTACAGCCCCTCACACACCCCGTCCCCTTGCAGTTCGGGGTGCTTGGTCCTGCTGGACCTCATGGTCTCCATGCTCAGCTTCCTGTGGTGGGGGTCACTATCAACGCACCCGTTCCTGCACCAGCCCCGCACCCTCCCCAGGTGAGGACATCTGTCTCGGGCTGCACACGGAGGAGGCACTATGTGCCACACAGGCCTGCCCAGGTATGAGGCACATCCCGCCAGGGCTGGGAAGCGACATGGAGCCCTCTGATCCCCACCAGGGGGTCCCTGGGCAGTTAACCTCATCCTACCCACAATCCCCAGAAGGCTGGTCGCCCTGGTCTGAGTGGAGTAAGTGCACTGACGACGGAGCCCAGAGCCGAAGCCGGCACTGTGAGGAGCTCCTCCCAGGGTCCAGCGCCTGTGCTGGAAACAGCAGCCAGAGCCGCCCCTGCCCCTACAGCGAGATTCCCGGTAGGTACCCCTGCCAGCACCTGCGCAGCAACCCTTCCCAGCCTGCACTCCCAACTTCCTTCTCCTTCTGAAGCTTGTGTCCTGGTGGGGAGCAGGGGGCACAGGATGAAACATGGAAGTGGGGGGAAGGAGATGCCGAAAGAAAACTCCCATATTTGCCTCCATGCACACATTTGGGGTTTGGGCCCTCCTCATCCTGTGGATGGGCTAGCCCTTCTCAGAGGTGGGGTCTGAGGAGAGAGGGAGGGGAATGAAGGCCCCCACGCCTACCTAGTCCTACGTCTGAGCGTTGACCTAGAGGTCCTCCCAGGCTTACGCCTACCCTGCAGGGCCCCCCTCCTCTCGTCTCCGCCCCTGACACCCTGTCCACTGGTCTTCCTGCAGTCATCCTGCCAGCCTCCAGCATGGAGGAGGCCACCGACTGTGCAGGTAAAAGAAACCGGACCTACCTCATGCTGCGGTCCTCCCAGCCCTCCGGCACCCCACTCCAAAGTCTGGACTCTTTCCACATCCTGCTCCAGACAGCCAAGCTTTGTTGGGGTCCCCACTGCTTTGAGATGGTGTGTAGGGTGGTCTGGGCAGTTCCCTCCATGCCCCCCCCAGCTAGGAGGCCATCATCAGTCTGTACCCAAGGAAGAGTCATCTGACTCTAGACCCTCTGGTTGCCACCTCTGACTTGAGCCACAGGGTACCTTGTGAAAGAGGTCCCCAGTGACAGCCTCCCCAGCCTCCCTGTTTCCTTTGGCTGTGGCCTCAGAGCCCTTTCCAGGATGCCTCAGAGCCTCCTGTTGCTGTTTCTGCTCCCAGGGAGGCAGGCAGGAGTCTGTCCTCTTCACAGTGGCCCTCATCTTACTACCTGCCTCTCTTCCCCTAGGGTTCAATCTCATCCACTTGGTGGCCACGGGCATCTCCTGCTTCTTGGGCTCTGGGCTCCTGACCCTAGCAGTGTACCTGTCTTGCCAGCACTGCCAGCGTCAGTCCCAGGAGTCCACACTGGTCCATCCTGCCACCCCCAACCATTTGCACTACAAGGGCGGAGGCACCCCGAAGAATGAAAAGTACACACCCATGGAATTCAAGGTGGGAGCCTTCTTTTTTTTTTTTTTTTTTGAGACGGAGTCTCACTCTGTCGCCCAGGCTGGAGTGCAGTGGTGGGATCTCGGCTCATTGCAAGCTCTGCCTCCCGGGTTCACGCCATTCTCCTGCCTCAGCCTCCCAAGTAGCTGGGACTACAGGCGCCCGCCACTACGCCCGGCTAATTTTTTGTATTTTTAGTAGAGACGGGGTTTCACCGTTTTTAGCCGGGATGGTCTCGATCTCCTGACCTCGTGATCCGCCCGCCTCGGCCTCCCAAAGTGCTGGGATTACAGGCGTGAGCCACCGCGCCCGGCCGGGAGCCTTCTTGTAGAAGCAGAGGGCAGGGTAGGAGGGCAGGGTGAAGAGTGCAGGGGTTCTGGCCCTCAGCTGGGTGGAACTGGGCAGTGGTGGTGTGAACAGAGCACTGGATCCGCAGTCTGAGTGTTCTTGCACGGCTGGCTTCTGGACTCCTTGCTCTGGCCTGTTCCCTTCCCCTGTGTGTTCCCTCACCCCTTTCTCTGGTTCCTTCTTCCACCCACAGACCCTGAACAAGAATAACTTGATCCCTGATGACAGAGCCAACTTCTACCCATTGCAGCAGACCAATGTGTACACGACTACTTACTACCCAAGCCCCCTGAACAAACACAGCTTCCGGCCCGAGGCCTCACCTGGACAACGGTGCTTCCCCAACAGCTGATACCGCCGTCCTGGGGACTTGGGCTTCTTGCCTTCATAAGGCACAGAGCAGATGGAGATGGGACAGTGGAGCCAGTTTGGTTTTCTCCCTCTGCACTAGGCCAAGAACTTGCTGCCTTGCCTGTGGGGGGTCCCATCCGGCTTCAGAGAGCTCTGGCTGGCATTGACCATGGGGGAAAGGGCTGGTTTCAGGCTGACATATGGCCGCAGGTCCAGTTCAGCCCAGGTCTCTCATGGTTATCTTCCAACCCACTGTCACGCTGACACTATGCTGCCATGCCTGGGCTGTGGACCTACTGGGCATTTGAGGAATTGGAGAATGGAGATGGCAAGAGGGCAGGCTTTTAAGTTTGGGTTGGAGACAACTTCCTGTGGCCCCCACAAGCTGAGTCTGGCCTTCTCCAGCTGGCCCCAAAAAAGGCCTTTGCTACATCCTGATTATCTCTGAAAGTAATCAATCAAGTGGCTCCAGTAGCTCTGGATTTTCTGCCAGGGCTGGGCCATTGTGGTGCTGCCCCAGTATGACATGGGACCAAGGCCAGCGCAGGTTATCCACCTCTGCCTGGAAGTCTATACTCTACCCAGGGCATCCCTCTGGTCAGAGGCAGTGAGTACTGGGAACTGGAGGCTGACCTGTGCTTAGAAGTCCTTTAATCTGGGCTGGTACAGGCCTCAGCCTTGCCCTCAATGCACGAAAGGTGGCCCAGGAGAGAGGATCAATGCCATAGGAGGCAGAAGTCTGGCCTCTGTGCCTCTATGGAGACTATCTTCCAGTTGCTGCTCAACAGAGTTGTTGGCTGAGACCTGCTTGGGAGTCTCTGCTGGCCCTTCATCTGTTCAGGAACACACACACACACACACTCACACACGCACACACAATCACAATTTGCTACAGCAACAAAAAAGACATTGGGCTGTGGCATTATTAATTAAAGATGATATCCAGTCTCCAAATGTCTCTGTGCATCTGTGCGTGGGCTCCTCTTGCATAGTCTAGGCAATCTGAGCAATGCACCAGGGTGGCAGATGGTCTCTCAAGGCGGGGGAAATGCCCCAAGTAGCCTTATCTTTAATAGATGATATCTTTCCATTTGTAGAATGGAAATACACATACAGTGTACACATACATTGTCCTACACCCTTTTTGGAAAAGATGTTGGGGATAAGCAGATTCACAAGTGGGGACATAAGGTACACCAAAGGCGACAAAACAGGCGAGAGTTCTGCCTGCTCCTTTAGCATCTCTTCAGGCAACAGCTCCAGGGTGTGAGTCCAGCGGGAGAGTGTTGATGAGAATTATTTTATGAGATATTTATACTGCTGAGTTTAATAAAATCAAATTTGAGAAACAGGCAAATCTGTGAGGTGGGAGAAGCCTAATATAGTTTTTGCTGGATTAAATAAAGATAACCTCAAAGCCTCAGCCCACCAAATCAATGCTGCCATTTTGGATGAGATTGACGGACATGTTAAATTTAGAGAGCAATTTCCTGACTTAATTGGCTGGATCAATTCTCCTAGGATTCCCAGCAGAATCTAATTGTAGGTCAGGCTGTAAAACCTGCCATCCTAGTGGTAGAGGAGGCGGAAGCTCTTGGGGAGTGGAGGGAGGAGTGCTTGAAGCTTAAAGGTTCCTGGAAGCAAGGAGGAGGAAAGAACATGCCTGAAATCTTTCCTGCTTACCTGGGACAACTGGAATGGCAGTGTCATCAGCACAGTGGAGCCCCATCCGAGAGCTCAGGAAGTATGTGAGTACTTGGGATTCCTGACTGGTTCCTCTTAGCCCCATGTGTCTCGAGCTCATGGGGGCCTACAGGGCATTTTATTTATTTATTTATTTATTTATTTATTTTTATATATTTATTTTTGAGACAGATTCTTGCTCTGTCTCCCCGATTGGAGCACAGTGGTGCAATCTCAGCTTACTGTAACCTCTGCCTCCCAGGCTGAAGCGATCCTCCTACCTCAGCCTTCTGAGTAGCTGGGACTACAGGCGTGTGCCACCATGCTTGATATTTTTTTTTTTTTTTTGAGAGGTGAGGTTTCACCATGTTGCCCAGGTTGGTCTCGAACTCCTGGACTCAAGCAATCTGTCCCCCTCAGCCTACCAAAGTGTTGGGATTATAGGCGTGAGCCACTGCACCCAGCTAGCAGGGCATTTTAGATCCTGGGGTCTCAGAGCCCCCTTGGACCAGAGGGTCATTGAAGTTTAAGAGTGTTCCAGGGCCCAGGGTGCCTGCTTCAGAAGGGCCCCTCATGGTGTGTTCAAGTGGAGGGACCAGGTAGGTCTGTAGGAAGTGGTCATGGAGACTTCCCGGGCAATGCCCACCCGATGTTGACTGCAGTGGCATCAGCAGAATGTCAATCTTTGAGTGCCAGTTCAACACACACACACACACACACACACACACACACACTGAATTCTCTTTGCAAAAATGTGGCTTTGGAGGCATGACCATTCAGAATGCATGAAGGATCCACACTGCTCGCAGATGAGCTGGCAAAGTTGGTAAGGGCTATTAAGTAAACAACCCTGGCCCAGAGGTGAGGAACCCCAGGATGTGCTCCCTGACAAGGAGGGTCTGGGGATCTCTGACAGATGTCAGGGAGCTGAGGCGTGAAGGGCAAGGGATTCTTCCTTGTCCCAGCTGGCTCAGCAGGAGTAAGGAAGATGCAGGAGTGGGTGCTCCAGGCTTTTTTGCATCCCTTTGTGTATAAATGACTTTTTGAGTGTGTATGCATTTTCTTATTAAAGTCATATGTATTCATTGCAGAAAATTTAGAGGATACAGAAAACCAAAAAGATAATCACAGTTATACTAAAAACCAAGGCAGAGACTTAGGGATTTTAAATGGTGGTATAAAGACATTTATCCCTCTTTCTCTCAGAATCACCCCCAAAACAGAATAAAAAACAAAAGTTCTGTCACTATTTTCAGTAAATCTAGGATGTATGTATAACCCCAAGTCATGATCCATGAAGACAGAAAGCAGATGGAGGAACCAGGCATCCAGTAGAATGGATGTGGGCCAAACTTAAGCATCCAAGTGATTTCAGAAAGAACCGGATACCAGAGAAACCAGGAATGAGAAAGGTGGGGTTAAGGTGGGGACTGAAAAGAGAGGGATTGGTTGTACATCTGTGTGTAAGCTTCAGCTAGACTTTCAAATTGTCTTCACTCTCCACCGTTACAGTCGTCACCACTCCGCTGTCTCCACAGGGGGCAATAAGTATGTTCCCTTAAGACAATGAACCAGAGAAACCTTGGACTTGGGGACACCAGGCCCAGAGGTGGGTGTGTGGTAAGGAGTTGTCTGGACAGACTCTGGTTGTCAGTGGGATTCAGCCATTGCCTTTCCTAAGCTAACTCCAAGACTCTGACAGCCAGGCTTTTCCTCCCCCTCCTCTTTTTCCTCCCCCTCCTCTTTTTCCTCCTCCCCTTTTTCTTCCTCCTCCTCCCCAGGCAGAAGACTAGAAGATGATCTTTTGAAGAAATGAACTAACCCTACAAATTCTGAAATAAGCTAGCTGGTCATCATGCTATATAGTCCTAGAGCAAAGTACACTCGTTTACAAACAGTACCCTGTACACAGAGCTTGCAGTTAGTTTTTAGTGCATCCACACTGCTTGCAGATGAGGTGGCATAGTAAGCAAAGGCTGTTTGGTAACCAGCCCTGGCCCAGAGGTGAGGAATCTCAGAATGTGCTCCCTCACAAGGAGGGTGGTACGAATCGGCACATAAGGATCACAGACATCAGAGGAAAAGGTCCAACATGAAAGAGACACCAAAACAAAGAAACAGATAAAGTGGAACTCAGTGAAAACAGAGACAATACAGAGAGAGCACTTCAAAGACACCATATTCTTCAGAAATGAGTGAAGATGCTATATGAAATAAATACGTGATGTAATTTTTAAAGGACATATTTAAGTTCATAGAAATTAAAAAATATGACAGCAAAAAAATTAGCTAAAGGGCTTAAAGAGACAAGAAATTTCCCAGAAAGTTGAACAAAAGACAAAGAGATAGAAAATAAGAGGGGATGCTCTGGTTTCCCTTCAGAATGAATAAATCTTTTGCCTTTTACAAGAAAAAAGAAAAGAAGAGGGAAAAGATAAGAAAACAAGAGGATCAGCCCAGGAGGTCTAACAGCTCATGAGAAAACTCAGAAGAGAAATATCAAAGAAAGAGTACAGGAAAATTTACCAGGACCAAAGAAGGAGGTCTCCAGATAAAAGGCCACATTCAGTACCTAGAACCATAGATGAAAAAGATCTCCCGAGTCATATGACTTTTCAAAATACTAGGCTTCAAAACACTAGGCTTGAAAAGAACATTTCAACAACAGACCGAAAAAAAAAAAAAGGAATATGAAAGTCTCTTACTAACAAAATTTGAAGCTAGAATACAATGAAAATTGTACTTAAAATTTTTTGAGTAAAAATGATGTTCAGTTGTGAATTTTATATCCAGCCAAACTATGAGTCAGTCATATGAGAATAAAGACATTTAGACATGCAGAGTCTCAAAGAATATATCTCACATGTGCCTTGGTTTCATTAAAACAAGGAAGTAAACAAAGAAAATGTGCATCCAGAAGAAAGGGGACCTAACACAGGAAGGGGGTGAAGAGGGGCTGAAGCCAGGAAGCAGTCCTAGTGGGCAACCAATTCAGATTGGTATTGGAGGATGGTATGCACCCCGCAGGATCCAGGAGAAAATGGAACTGATAGGTTATGTGGCAGGTTTGTATGGAAAGTTGTATGAAGATTTATTTTATAAAACTACTGGGGGTGGGTTGTAGAAAGACTTAAAGTTGCATTCAAAGAAAACTAAGCAAAGAGAGGCTTTATTGGTTCTTGTTGCATAGTTTATTTAAGCTTTTTTTCTTTTTTGTAAAATAAAACACAGGTACAGAAAACCATAAAAAAGCAAGTATAGCTTAGTGAATGTAGGGCAAACACCCTTGTAACAATAATCCAGGTCAAGAAATAGAGCTTTAACAGCCAGCCCAGAATCCCTTTCTTTGTCCCATCCCTGTTACATCGTCTTCCCTCCAAAAATGAGATGATTATTAGCACCAGAAAAGGAAAAAAAAAGAGCACAAGGAAGGGAAATGTAATCCTTGTTTACCATTGGTTCAACCATGATCATATTGATAATAATCGCATAACTGAAACACTGTATATGGACTTAATCATAACTTTTTAATATATATTACAATTTTTAATCATGCGGGATACAACACCAGAGGGACGAGCCTTTGAGCTTTTTGGTCCCAACTGAATGTTGGGGTAAATATTGGGAGGGAAATAAATAACTTCTTGTTTTCCCCTGATTATAACCATGGTACATGTTCATTAAAGAAATTTTGGAAAATAAAAAGAAAAGCTTATTAAAAAGAAAAATACAGATGCCCTAAAATCCAACCAGGAGACAACCATCATTTTAATATGCCCTTTTTCCAGGCATTTTTCTATGGCTCTGTGCAGATTTGAGAGTGTTTCATAAAATTAAGATATTCTATGTGGATGGTTTTTATTCTGATTTTAAGACAAAACATTATATCATTATTTTCCTACATTGTTAAAAATTCTCTTGGGAGGCTGAGGCAGGCGGATCACCTGCGGTCAGGAGTTCAAGACCAGCCTGGCCCACATGATGAAACCCTGCCTCTACTAAAGATATCAAAAAAACATAGCTGGGCGTGATGGTAGTGCCTGTAATCCCAGCTACTTGGGAGGCTAAGCCAGGAGAATTGCTTGAACCCAGGAGGCGGAAGTTGCAGTGAGCTGACACGGTGCCACTGCACTCCAGCCTGGGTGACAGAGTGAGACTCCATCTCAAAAAAAAAAAAAAAAAAAAAAAAAATTCTCCCTAGAGCCTCAGGATCCCTTTCAGTGGCTGCCCTAGGATGGGGTCAGGGAGGGAGAGAGGGCTTTGTTTGCAGGGCTTCACAGGTAAAAATGTACCCCACCCCACCACTTCAATAAGAGAAAGTTCAATTTTTATATATTTTATTTGTTTATGCCACTAAGATTTACTTTGGAAAAGGTTTGCATAATGGTTGAAAAATCCTAACTTTCTGTTATATAAGTTCTATTTCTATTACATAGAATTATCCATTCCATGACATACATTTTATTCTCTATTATGTAAATGTACCATTCTATTACATAAATGTATCATAATTTATTTAAACCACTCTCATTTGTTTCAAAATTTCTTTTACCAACGAATACTATTATGAACCTCCTTCTATTATACATATTCCTATGTCCTTAGGATAAATTTCCAGAAGTGAAGGTTTGCAGGTAGCAAGTACTCATCAGTGTTAGCCCTTAGGGTTAGTAACCATCAAATGAGAATACACTGCTGGTGGGAGTGTAACATATCAATCCCCTGAAGAGAATTTTGGCCATAGAAGTAGCTGTGTGCCTTAGGCTGGGCCATCTGGGGAAATAAGACACCCTGAACCCATCATCCTCACACAGGAACCTGTGAATATGTCTTCCTTGGACAGCCAACTGGACGAGCCTTGCCTCTGAGACTTGCAGCATTCCAAAAGGGGATCTTCCAGAAGAGGAGAGACATCCCGCCATTTCTACCAAACGATGTGTCAGTCACCTGGGTCCAGCATTTCAGGAGCTCCCTAGGAAGGAGTCTTTTAACTGGAGGTCCACCAGGCCTGTGCTCACTGGGGCCCCAGGCTCCTCCCAGGGCCCAGCTGTTCTGAGCCAGCCTGGCCTGCCACTCAGACCACTCCATGGCCCCCAGCTGCACTGCTAGGTCACCCTGACGACTCACTGAGAACCCTGCAGGCCAGCCCCAAACACGCTGCTCTGGAAAAGCCTCTCTCCTCATCCTGAGCTGCCAACAGGGCACTCACTTAGTCCTTGGGGGCTGCACCTCTAATTCTGTAGCTGTGCTGACTGGGGGAGGCTCAGGCTTTAGAGTCTGAAATGTGAACTCTGGAGTTTGTGGGAAAATTTATCCCTACCCATAAGGTCCTTCCACCAATCACCCTCCAATCACCCTAAAAGGGAGATGTTTCCCTAGGTTTGCACCCCAGTTTCCAGGGCTGGTAGGATACAGGACCCCCACCGTACTTGGACATTCCTAATCAGCTCTGCCCAGCACTGAGCACTCTCAAAAACAGAGGGTCCACTTCCCCCACCACCCCTGATAAATCTCCCTTCCGAGATTCCTAGGGGTGTAGGCTCCAAAGAGCTCACAGTACAAAAGGATATCCAATAAAAAGTGAATCTCCCATTCTTGATTCCTAGGCCCCAAGATCTCATTCCATGAGGCACCTAGAGGTAGATCAGGGACACAGACACATATATGTATGTTTATCATGTGTGTACATAAAATGCACCAAAAGTCAGCTTTGGCCTCGATATTCAGTAGAAATCTTTGAATTGGCCTTCAACCTCAGCTTTTGGAAGTTTCAGTAGCTGAATGCCTACCTCAGTATTATTTATAATATCCCTGAGAGTTTGTGCTTAATCTACAGTCATCGTTAACAGGTTATCACCATATCTTTTTTTTTTTTTTGAGACTGGGTTTTGCTCTGTTGCCCAGGCTGGAGTGCAGTGGTGTGATCATGACTCATTGCAGCCTCAGCCTCCAGGGCTCAGGCAATCTTCCTACCTCAGCCACCCAAGTAGCTGAGACTACAGGCGCATGCCACCATGCCTGGCTAATTTTTAAAAATTTTTGTAGAGATGGAGTCCCACTATGTTGCCCAGGCTGGTGTCAAACTCTTGGGTTCACACCATCTTCCCACTTTGGCTCCCAGAGTGCTAGGATTACAGGTGTGAGCCACTGCACCCGGTCTATCATTATATCTAATCAGCATATCAACATTAGTAATATGCATGAGGCATACCATTTAGATTTATTAATAGATGATACTCACTATAAATATCAAATGAGTCTTGAAGTGAAAGTCTCTTTTATGCTTCATATGTTAAAATTCTCAGTCATTTGAACTACATATATTTATTATTATAAGATTAAAAAGCCATAATAATTAATGTTTCACATAATGATGGTGAAAGCTGCTAATTTTATGTTCAAAAACAAGCACCTTTAAATAGCAAATAAATTGAGAAAAAGACTGAGAATTAAAAAGAATATTGAGAGAGAATGTTAGTGAGATAACTTTAGGAAGAACATTATCATCTCTGTAAGCCAATGAATGTTAAACAATTTTCAATAATACCAGTCAGAATAATAGATATTTGATTAAGTCATAACTCTAGTATCTGTCTAGTTTGGTGCATATCTCACATGCATTATGGTAAATAAAATCACCTTTAACAATTATGTTTGATTTTTGATATTTAATTCCATTTAGGTTATGAGTCTTTCAGGAATAAATTCTATTTGGGAATTCACATCTTATGAAAATGAATTTTTAAAAAAAGAATGTTAGCTTTTCTATCTCAACATTCCATAAGCAGAAAAAAATTGCAAAACCATGTACAATATCCATGACAAATCACCTTTGATTCAGACATAACAAGGGATATAAAGAGAATGAAGAAAAGAAAAAAAGTACAGGAAAATGTAATATCCGAAAAATACCTGGCTTCTCTCCCATTCTCAGTGGAAAGTGACCGTCTATTTCTTATGACAAAACTGCAGTGAAGGCCAGGTGCTGTGGCTCATGCTTGTAATCCCAGCACTTTGGGAGGCTGAGGCAGGTGTATCACCTGAGATCAGGAGTTCGAGACTAGCCCAGCCAACATGGTGAAACCCCATCTCTACTAAAAATACAAAATATCAGCTGGGCATGGTGGTGGGTGCCTGTAATCCCAGCTACTTGGGTGGCTGAGGCAGGAGAATTGCTTGAACCTGGGAGGTGGAGGTTGCAGTGAGTTGAGATCTCGCCATTGCACTCCAGCCTGGGTGACAAGAGCAAAGCTCTGTCTCAAAAACAACAACAACAAGAACTGCAGTGACGTGATCACAGAGCCATTTTGCAGCTGATCATGCTGAGTGATTACTGTTCTTGCACCATAAGGTCAAACTTAGAATTTGACCATTAGCAAAACTATAATAATAATTACATTCTTTGGGATGAAATTTCAGGTTAATTCTTGCATCCCAGGAGTTTCATTCTGAGATGGTAATATTTGGTTTTGACCCCAACTTTAACCCAATATTGATTTTAGCATTTGCCCAAGTGTGTGTTCTGGGCAACATATGGGCTCACCTGTACACACTATTCTGCACCAGCTTTCCCACTTAACAATCTGTCACCTAGAGTGTTCCATGTCTGTCTTTTCCCCAACAATTGCCACCAGCATTTATTTAACCAAACCCCTAATGATGAACTTTTAGGATATTTTCAATCTTTTGTTACAATGTTGCAAATACTTTTTTTTCTTTCTTTTTTTTTTTTTTTATAAGACAAGGTCTCATTCTGTCACCCAGGCTGGAGTGCAGTGGTGCAATCATGGCTCACTGCAACCTCTGCCTCTGCCTTCCAGGCTCAAGCGATCCTCCCACCTCAGCCTCCTGAGTAGCTGGGACTACAGGTGCATGTCATCACGCCCAGCTAGTTTTTTGTATTTTTTGTGGAGATGAAGTTTCACTATGTTGCCCAGGTTGGTCTCAAACTCCTGGATTCAAGTGATCCACCCTCCTCGGCCTCCCAGAGTGCTGGGATTACAGGCGAATACAGGTGAATACTATCCTTATATATATATAGCTATAATGGCAGAATGAATTCTGAAAAAATAGAATTACTCAAAGAGTATACATGTTTTTAAATTTTGATAGATTTGCCCAACTTACTGTAACATTACCTTATATCTTTTCTTTTTATGTCTTTCTCTCATAGAAGTGATTCTCCACTTTTAGTGCAGAGTTCATTCTAGGGGAGCAAAAAAGTTGGCCAAAGTGACTTGACAGTCCCTGCATCTCCAGGCCCTTCTCATGGGAGAAGAGTCCCTTCTTCCTCCCATGGCCCTGGTTCCCCAGGAACCTGGTCAGATGTTCCTTTAGAGCCACACTACACCTGGTTTTGTTTTGTTGTTTGGGTTTTTTGTTGTTGTTTTGTTTTTTCAGACAGAGTCTCACTCTGTCCCACAGGCTGGAGTGCAGTGGTGCAATCTTGGCTCACTGCAACCACCGCCTCCCTGGTTCAAGGAATTCTCCTGGCTCAGCCTCCCAAGTAGCTGGGATCACCAAAGCCCGCCACGACACCCAGCTAACTTCTTGTGTTTTTAGTAGAGATGGGGTTTCACCACGTTGGCCAGGCTGGTCTCAAACTCCTGACCTCAGGTGATCCACCTGCCTCAGCCTCCCAGAGTGCTGGGATTACAAGCATGAGCCACCGTGCTCGGCTTACAACTTTTTTTTTGTTTGTTTTTTTGCCATCAAATCTTGCCTCTTTTGATGTCTTATGTTTCCTGGGTTCCTTTTCTTTAAAATACCAATTGGCTACGCAGATTCCAGCCTAAGTGTGACTGGTTGACTGTGCATAAAGGTTTTCAGGGTCTGACCTCAAAGAAGTCAGTGATGTTGGGGCTTTCAGGATCTATACCTGGGCATTTTGGGCAGAGGGAATCCCAAAGCCCTCGACACTGAAGCTGTCTGGGATCCTACGGCCCTCCCTTCTTCCACCCCTTTCCTTATCTCAGGAGTAGGGACAAGGCCCAGGGTTCCTGGAATTCCTCCCTGGTTCCCCCAACCCTCCGTTACCAGCACTTGTGATCCGGGCAAGGAGTGGGGCCCTTCTGGCTGTTTAGGGCATCTTTTTAGACTTACAGAGTTCCTGTGTTCTCTTCATCTTCATTTTAATGTCCATATGATCCCTAAATGGTGATAGAAAAGCTGTTACTGTCACTTGATGTGTGGGAGGGGCTTGAGACAAGTGGGCATGGGAAGACCAGACTTCCATCTCCACCCTAGAAAATGACAGGCAAATGGACATCTCAGTCACGGTTTTGTCATGTCTATTACTCCCAGGTTTCTGAAACAGCTCCTCCCACCCATCCTCCTCCCAACAGACAAGCAGTGTTGAGCTGGTCTTTGCACAGGGATGGCTACAGATTGGCTGCCTGCCACGGTGTGCAGTCTTGAAGGACCCTATCCAAAAGCCCAGAGGGAAATCAGCTAAGCCAGTCAGAGTGGCTGTCTGTGGGATCTGGACTGAAGAATGAGGATAAGATAGGCTAGTAGCAATAGAAGAATGTAGCAGAAACACCGAGACTGCGAGGGAGAAAGACTGGACTGGCTGAGATTGAGAGACAGGGAGGGAGAGAGAGAAAGGGTAGCTGGCCCCCTCTTGGCTCCAACCCATATCCAGTCGAATCACTTCTTATGATGGCTGAAGTGACTCTATGATTCTTGTAACTGTAGGAGCTCTCTATCTCATGGACATCCACGGGTGTGGCTCAGAACTCACTCTCCTGGACCAACTTCTCCCTCTACCCAAATACCCTACAAAGGAGATTCTTTGCCCAAAAGATGTTACCATTGGCTTGGCCTATGATCTTTACTTTTAAATTCTCTTTCAGAGAAAAGAGGAGTTTGACACATTTGTGTTTGCTTTCCTGGGCCACATCCAGAAATAAACGGTCTATGTGCTGAGGTAAATCCAGTTCCCGGACATCTTATCTCCCCACTCAGAGGAGTGAATCCAGCTCTCAGCCAGCACCACACATGTTCCTGCTTGTTCGTTTCTGTGAAGTACTGTGGGGTAGAAGACTATTATTGTTATTATTATTTTTTTACCACATACTTTCTGAAAGATTTCCAAAACATTAGTTACACCCTCACAATTTTTACGTTGACATCTAGAATTTCTCATTGTAAAGAGCTGCAAAAGATGTAATTTCTGGCATATTGTAAATAGTGACATTTTAAAAATATAACTGTTCTTTTAAAATGTAGTCAAGAGAATCTAAAAAGTACAGCGTTTTAAAAAAATAGAGAAAGAATTCTTGAACAAATGGAAAATTTGCTTTGTTCCTTTTACTCCTCGGAGTATCCTTCTACTTCCCCCACAGAATTTTATTTTAATGTAATACATTTTTAAGCCTGAAAGTTTTTCATTGTTCACCTATCATACTTCTCTGCAATGAAAATATGTATATGAATTATAATTTTAATTTTAAAAATGTCTTATAAGATCTAAGTTTAAAAATGTATTTGGGATTAAGATATCCATGATTATTATTGATATCAAACATTATAAAGATATTTGAATTTTGACAATTATTAAATACAAAGTAAAATTTTAGAGAACAGAAGTTTAGAATAAACGTCACTTATTACCACAATGAGAAAAATTAACAGGAGAGAAAGACAATGTGTGCACAAGAGAGAGTGTGCGACATCTCAGAAGGCCAGTAAGTTCAGAAATTGAAAAATCATTGTTGTTAAATGAATTATTTACAGACGAAATCTTTTAGATTGTGGACATTGAAATCTATGGCAGAAATTTTTAAAAATAGACAAGTTGGCAATGATGAGAAGACTTGTGCCCAAGTAAAAGATGAATATGGATTTTATAGTATTTGATAATCTTTTGGCAGAATGTAATAAAAATGGTAAAACTTTTAAAAGAAAAATACGAGAAAATCTTTATGAGCTTGGGTTAGGCAAGGATTGATGTGACATCAAAGGCACAACAATCCATAAAAGAAAATATTGATTTATTGGACTTCATCAAAAGTAAGAAAGACATTGTTAAAAGAATGAAGAGATAAGTCACAGGCTAGGAGAAAACACTTGCAAATCCAGAACATATAAAAAATGATCAAAGCCCAATGAGACTCAGGCATGGTGGCACACACCTGTAATCCCAGGTACTCAGCAGGCTGAGGTGGGAGGACTGCTTGAACTCAGGAGTTCAAGACAAGCCTGAACACAACCCTGTCTCAAAAACCAAACCAAGAAACAAAAATCCAGTGAGGAAAAAAAAATCCAGTAAAAAAATGGGGAAAAGGTTTGAAGAGGCCCTCCGCCAGAGCTGATTTAGGGGTGGTAAATAAACAAGTGGAAAGACGATCAACATCCTTAGTCGTTAGGAAAATGCAAATTAAAACAACGAGATACCACAGCATATTATTACAATGGGTAAAATTAAAAAGGCTGATCAGGCTGAGTGCGGTGGCTCACACCTGTAATCCCATTTTGGGAGGCTGAGGCAAGTGGATTACTGGTCAAGAGTTCGAGACCAGCCTGGGCAACATAGTGAAACCTTGTCTCTCCTGAAAATACAAAAATTAGCGGGGTGTGGTGGCACGCACCTGTAGTCCTAGCTACTGAGGAGGCTGAGGTGGTAGAATCACTTGAACCCTGGAGGCAGAGGTTGCAGTGAGCTGAGATTGTGCCACTGCACTCCAGCCTGAGTGACAAGAGGAAGAGTCTGTCTCAAAAAATAAAAATAAAAAATGAAAATAAAAAAAAGGCTAATCATACAAGGCATAGTAAGGATATGGGACAACTGGAATTCTTCTACACTGCTGGTGAGAATGAGAAATGAAACCACTTTGGAAAACAGTTTGGAAGTCAAGCATTTCAAAAGACAAAAATTATAACAAATTTAGCTTAAAGAACTTTATCTGTTTTATTTATTTATTTGTTTTATTTTAATTATTTATTTATTTTATTTATTTATCTATTTTATTGCCATTCTAGAATTGAGCAACACTTCATTCCATAAAATAGAGTAAGTATTCCAATGAGCTGAACAGAAGAGGCTGGCTTTATAGACAGAGAAGGGCTGAAGAAAGCAAAAACTAAGAGAAAAGAGTAGAGGTCATTTCAAAGTTACTTTCCATGTGACGGGGGACAGGGAGACAAAACAGGGGAAAGATAACTGGTTCCCGTCAGGTGACTTCAGGTGACTTTTTGTCATAAGGATGAAAACATGGAGAACTTCATTGTCATGCCCATTAAAGACTGAAACTGGCCTGTCTGGGGAATTGGCCGTTCTCTCTTCTGATTTCGTAGAAGGTCAGATAATAACTTATTTTCCGTTTGGTGATATGGAACTTTAGCATGAGTGACTCCATTTTTACTTTTAGAGTGGTCCATTGGGGCTTGGTGCAGGAGCTTAGTCCAAAACAACGGGTTGCTATAATCTGTATTTAACAGCATATGCTTACTATATGATCAGCCATTCCATTCCTAGGTTTTTCCCCAAGAGGAAGGAAAACATATGTCCACACAAAGACTTGTACACAAAGGCTCACAGCAGTTTTATTGATAAGAGCCAAAAACTGCACAGGATGCAAATATCCATCAGCACATAAATGGATACACACATTGTGATATAGCCACACAATGGAATCTAACTCAGCAATAAAAAGGAACAAACTATTGATACATGCAGCACCATGAATAAATCTCTAAATAATTATGCTGAGTGAAAGAAGCCAGACAAAAATAATTAGAACAACAGGACATACTGTATGATTCCATTTATATACAATTCTAGAAAATAAAAATGAATCTATAGTGACTGAGAGCAAATCGTGACTGCCTGGGGAGGGGGTATGGAGACAGGAGGGGTGGTAGGGAAGGAAGGATATTAAAGGGGGTAGATGTGCTCACTATCTTGATGGTAGTGATGGATGCATGGGTGTGCACCTGTCAAAACTTTTATTTTACACTTCAAATATGTGAGGCTAACTGTATGTCAACTGTACCTTCATTAAGTGGTTAGAAAAGTATGAATAAATGTCCAAGAAAATGTAAAATACAAACTTACCTCTTACAATGTTCCTTTTACTCGAAGGTGTACTGTTCATCTGTACAGTAAGGAATAGGGAACTTCCTACCTTCGCCTCTTTGCAATATTCTCAAGGATGCCCCTGGGACACAGACCAAGGCACCAGAGAAGGAAGTACTATCGAAGCTCCTCCTTACTACTGAGAATGGTGAAGAGGCAGAGAGGATGAACTCAAAAGCAGCATGCTTTATTCCAACCCGGAATATAGTTAGATAAGGTGTGCAGCCTTGACCCGAGTGTCACGTGGAAGAAACAAGGTCCTGCTGCCCTCATGGTTGCTCACTGATGCCCTCCTTGCCTTCTTTTCTCAGAACTTGTCTTCAGCGGTTTGGCGATCTTTCACAGTAGTTGGGAAACAGGAGAAGTAAGATTATTAAACAACAATTGCCATTCTTTCTGCTCCTCCACTCTATAATCCATCTGAATCCTGAAAATCCCAAGTCAAAGCACCCCATCTCTAATGCCACATTGTCTGGGACAGAAATACATACAGAAAAGGGACAGATACAAAGCGCTACCCTGGACTCATCATGACAACTGTCGTAAGAGGTACCGTGGACGCACATTCTTAATCGTCTTCTCTCACTTTTTTCTGGCAGTGAGGAGGTTTTAATTTTACTATTAGTTTTTTTATTTTTATTTTTTACATCCAGGACCTCCGCAGCAGTGCTGCTAGGTGTGAGAGATGCATCTGTTGCTTGTGAAGTGGGAACAGGGAGCAGGTGAAAGGGGAAGCGGGAAGCGGAACACAGCCGTGACCTCCTGTCAGCAGGCGCTGTCTTAGATCAGTTTTAGGAAAGGCAGTTCTTGCTTTCCTTCAGTCTCTCGTGCTTGTGAGCCTCTTGTGCCCCTTGCCCTGATCCAAGGGCCCCTGATGCTGAGGGATGACCGTGGACTTCCGAACTCCAGCCCCACTATTTACTGAGCAGCTGTGTGCTGCGTGACATGGGGGTGGTGACACCTACCTCGCAGGGGTTCTGAGAAGAGTAAATTGATTAAAGGACTTCGTGTAGCACAAAGGGCAGCCTGTACAAATCCATGGCCCTCGGAAAACCCCCTTCCCTCCACATTTGGATAAAGAGCTACCCAGCACCTACTGTTTCCTGGTTAGAGCCCGGGCCTCTGCAGCAGCCACATGGCCTGGGCTCAAACCCAGCTCCACCCCACACACCAGCTATTTGACCTGGGGCAGTTTTCTCCTCTGATGCAAAATGGAGCTAATAATAGAACCTACTCCGGGTTTGCTGTGAGGCTGAGGCATGGAAAGTGCTTGGAACAGTATCAGGCATAGAGCAAGCACCCAAAATTATCACCACTGTTACTGAGCTAAGAAGCACTGGGGGTTCAGGCCTGTTTCCGCAATCTGAGTCACGGATATGTCAAAGTAAATGTGAAAAATATGATCTTCAGCTTCATAAAAATTGCTTTGTTGACAAAATTCAAAAATATAACCTAGCATCCTTTAGGGAACAAATGATACTCATCCAATAAATTATGCATGAAACAACTCTCTAAGACACCACTAGTGAAAAACGAAAGTATCCCTTATAGGGCCTCCCCATCTCCATTTATATCCAAATGAGAATTTGCCTCCCTCCCTCCAGCCCTTCCTACATCGTCTCCTTTCTGTCTTTTGCTAGAATTAAGAATTGAATGGTCTTAAAGATCATCAAGTCATGTGTGTGTGTTTTTTTATTTTGGTGGAGACCAGGCTGGTCTTTAAGTCCTGACCTCAAGCGATCCTCCTGTCTTGACCTCGCAACATGTTGGGATTACAGGCGTGAGCCACTGCACCCCGCTATCAGGTCCAGTGTTTTATATAAGAAAGAACTAAAGAGGTGAAATAGGGCCCATTCATGCCGAGGGCATGTGGTTTGTAAGTAAAGAACAGGAAGGGGAAGAGGTCAGTGTGACTCACTCTCCTGTCACCCTTCTCACCTGAGCAGAATCCTGAAATGCATTCATTTGCTAGTAGACCCTACGGGGCTGGCTAAAGAACTAACCTGGGGACACATATCGGGAGCTAAAGTCTTCATATCTGAACAAAGTAACGTGCTTTCTGGTTATCTTTTCTAACAAAATCATCAGAAACTAGGATAAATATACAATGGGTATTCCCCAGAATCGATCTCCTCAGGAACAACCTAATGTCCCACAATAAAATGAAATTTTAAATTATGTTTCCTTGTTATGGGAAAATGTTCAGGATATAATGTTAAGAATATAAAACAAAAACACAGTACAATCTGTACTATATTAAAAGACATTTACAGCAAGAAGAAAGCATTACACTTTTCTGTATTTAAAAGTCTTTAATAGCTGTTTTTTGTTTTAAACAGTGTCTCACTCTGTCACCTAGGCTGGAGTACAGTAGCAGGGTCACTGCTCACTACAGCCTTGAACTCCTGGGCTCAAGCTATCCTCTTGCCTCTGCCTCCCAAAGTGTTGCGATTACAGGCATGTGCCTGGCCCTGTGTATTATTTTATGATGGAAAAATTATTTTTAAAAATCAGGGTAAGAATTCTGTTTCCTATATGGCATTAAGATAGGTACACTGTGTGTTCACCCAACCAGCATTCATTGAATAGACGCTGAAGACTCAAGAGGGAAGGGAGGGAAGAAGGCCAGGAACACGTATGAGGCAATCAAAATGTGCCAGGAGCTTTGTGCTCCTCACTCTATTCCAACACCATAAAATCCAGGCAAAGGTAAATGTAATTATCTCCCTCCCTGATTTTATGTTTTTTAAATGAATGAGGACAGGGGATTTCCAAAAGAGACAACGGAATCCCCGTCTCCGGGCTTGCTGCGGAGGAGAAGGATTTGGCCCAGCCGCCTCTGCTTCCTTACTCGTATTTTTTTTCTCACCACATCTTGCTGCCCGAACGCTCAGGAAGCTTTGGCTCCACTTCTACTGCCATTTGGAGTTTGATTAAAAACAAAATGCGGACCACGTTATCACAAGTGCTTTCAATACATGTTTATTGCAAAACCACAAGCACAGTAACCATAATGTCAACATAACCGTATTTCCTAACGGAACAGGAGATCGCCATGCCTAAGTGCGTGCGTTTTCCAAAGAAATGGCGGCTTATTTGGAAGCTCACACGCTGCAAGTGATGACGAGAAGCCCTGTTGTGAACTAGGAGTTCTAAACCATTAAACATTTAATTACCACTTTGGCAAAGCAATGCACATTACCATTTCTACAATGGAACAGCACAGAGATTTTAAATGCATCTTTATTTTTTAGAATCTTCAGTATTCACAATGTGTAAAATGAAGCAGCATTTTAAGTAAAGCTCTATGCCAAAACAGTTTCTTAAAAAGTCTGGATTAAAAAGAAGGAAAACCACACATGAATAATATTTATCAGTGCTCACAGTTGACACTAACTATAGTTTTTTAAAAGAATAAAAATACTCAAGACTTCAACATTTCCTTACAAAAGTATACTTGGCCATAAAATAAAAATCTATAAAACCCCAAATATTACAAAAGTAAAATGCAAAAAAATTTTGTATACAAATGTAATACAATCTTTACATGGTAAGGATTATTTAAAAACACACAGAACACTTCCTAAGTGTGGATGTGCTTGGGAGCTGAACTCATCACACACCTCTGCTCTGACCATTGCACAGACCTAGCAGGTGGCAGAGCGGGTGCACGGCCCCTGGCATCAAGTCTCAGTGTTGGCAGGTTTTAAGCTCCCCCCGTACCCATTCATACTTGCATCATCTCTTGTGCTGGAGAAGCTTGCTCAGGCATATGGGGTGTCACAGGAGCTGCGGCACCTGCCTTCCAGGAGCCTGTATATAACCTATATCCTCGTGTTACTGCTTTAAAATCAGGCCCTGGAGCTGGGAGGACTCTCAAGAGACGACCCTGTCCTCTGGGCCAGTCCTGACCCACTCTGGCAGTGAGTCTACCGCAGCCTGCTGGAGCACTATTTCACCCTGGCAGTCAGAGGGTTCCACTGCAGCCATTTCTGCCAAAAACCTCTCCCAGGATGGGCCCAGATCCCGAACAGAAAAGGACTTTGTTCTTTCACTTCTTGATGCCCTCTTCAAAGGAGTCAGAGGCATCAAGTGTCACCTGGGACTGGAAAGAAGGGAAAGGGGAGGGGATGAGTTGGAATGAGACTCAAGGCCCAAGGCTGATGGGAAGGGATGGGGGTCTGTTGGGCATGCTAGGACCCACCAGCGTGGAGAGTGCTGCAGGCTCCCTCACCAGCAGAGGCCTCTACTCTGGGTTTCTGCCATAATTCTATCTCCACTGCTGGCCTTCCTGCTCTGACTGTAATGTGGTGCAGAGCCATGAAAGCCAGACAACTAATGGCATAAAATGAGGCCAAATACACCTTGGCTCGATAACAGACAGGGAGAACAATAAAGTGCTTGGGCTTTGGAGAGTGATTTTGGTTGGACAGGCTTTCTGGCTTGCTTCTAGGTATGTGACTGAGAGAATGGAGGCAGACGGAAAAGTCTGGATGGAATAGGAGATAGTAGCTTTACTTGGATCGAAATCCCCTTAGACTACCAGAGATTTCTCTGCATCCAAGAATTGGTATGAAAAGTAATTACTCTGGCAGAATGCATGAAACACAATAAAGTAGGAATAGAAGCATGCCTTCAATCAGAGAACATTTCTTTAGAGGGGTGACTGTGAAAGTTAAAGACTTTTGAAGAAAACACAGCTCTTCCCAGGCTGCAGTGGATGTCTAGATTCACACTGCGTTCTCAGAGCACAGGAACCTCCACTATGCCAGACGGGGCATCTGTAAGGCCAGCTTCCCCAGATGGCTGGTTCTACCTTCTAGAGTTTCCACAAGGCTTGGAGTCAGCTGCTCACATTTAAGAGAAGGAAGGAAGTGTGAGATGTGAGGCTGCTTCCCCACCTCCACCTCCACAACTCTTCATGCTGGGGTCCTTTGCCCTGACTTGTTCTGCCTGTTTCCCCTGTCACTCTGTTTCTTGACCCCTCCCTCCCTCACACCCTCATTCTTTGAAAGCAAGAACTTCTAGTGCAAAGGGGAGTGGCTCTGGAACTGATGACAGAGGGAGGTTGTAGAATCTCTATCCCTCGAGAGCTGAAAAGGCAGCTAGCCAGACCCTCTGCAGGCAGGATGTGCTTGGAGGCGGGAGGCTGGGCCAGATGACTTCGTGAGAATGAGCCAGCTTCAGAGTTCTGCTTTTCAGAACCTGCTTCCACCACAACTCCATGCCTCCAAGCCTCCTCCTGTACTTTGGCTTGGCACACATATTAACAAATACGTCTACAGGTCTGGCTTCTATTTCAATACTCTTCCACTGCGGTCTCACAGATCTCCTTACATGGTTCCTGTCTCTCCCTTGGTAGGAGGCTCTTTTGGCCTAATCCCATGCCTTAATGAATGAATGCTGGCAGATCTGAAATCTTTGAAAGCTTGTTAGCTTTCCCTAAAAACCTTTTCACTTATTTTCAAGCCATCAAAACAGATTTCTCTGCCTTTCCCTTCAAAGGCTGTCCAGCGGCATTTTTTTAATTCTAAGAAGGTCACACATAACTATATATTGATTAGGGACAGCATGGATTTTTAATGGCCCAAGGAAACAGGATTTAGAACATATTTTCCCAAGAAAGTAAGATCCCGTACAGGAATCAAGACAGCTGTACAGATGAGCTACAAAGCTTCCAACAGCCCTTTTGGGGGTGTTGCTGGCTTTGAGTTAGGTTTTATGAATGGACTCACTGGAATGCAAATCTGAGGGCCAGGAGGCTGATTTGTTTGCTTCTGCACCCTCAGTGCCTAGCCCAGTGGCCAGCATGAAGTGGGAGCCCAAAACATGCTGGTGAATTATTAAATTATTAGCTACAGATTCCTCAATCCTGGTTCTTTTTTAAAAAAATCTTAATACGATCTGCTTTTATGATAAAATCCATGCCTGACTTTAGAGTGTTCATTATGTTCAGATTGTATAACAAAGTAGAAAAGATCATAGTCTGCTTTAAGATGAGAGAAACAGTTTTCCTAAGAAAAATTAAAGCTTTTAAAAAAAACATGAATGAAACTTCAGGACCTAGATAACCAAGAATTTACTGGTAAAGGAATACTGACAAAAGAGTGAAAAGGTAAGGGAATCAGCAGATGGTTCAATAGAGTAACCTTTTCCCAATTAGATGGAAGGACAATTACAGGCAACAGAATATAGCACGGAGCTTCTGTGCCTAGGTGGTCTATATTAAACTTGAGTAAAAAAAGAACAAATACAGGGACTTCTCTATTCTGAGATAGAAAAGGGTCAAACATTAGGACTAAGGTATCAATTGATTTCTTTTTCCTGAAAAGGTCAAGTGCAATTGACAAAAGAGGAGGAGGGAGGCCCAAGGTAGGGATTCTTTGGGACATGGGGCAAGGATCCTGGAGCCAAAACCCAAGGGACAGCGGAGGTATGGAGGAGAGGGATGGCTTTACTGGGGATACCTGTATTACTTACTACAATGATTTCTCAGCAATAACTCATTGATCAGGAAGAGTGAGTGCAATGCGAATTAGTGAATTCAGGGAAGGACTAAGAACCACCACCTTCAACACACACACTGAACTCTACTGAGCAGGCCCTATTCTTCCTATGGCAGGTAAGATGGGATCGACTCCCTCTCATGACTTCTTCCAGGCACTTTCTGAGTCACAGACCTAAACAGAAACAGGTAGTTATGTGTGTAGGCCAAGGAAGTGATTTTGTTTGGGACTTGTGGATGCAGTGTATTAGGATGGAGGCGGGATTTTCTTAATGCTTAATTTTCACAAGCCTCCAAAATGACATATTTCTGGTGGGGAGGGAAGTAAATTCGGAACTCGGGGCATTTGTAGTAAATGAAATAATTGGCAGGAACTAAAACCTGCCCTTTTTAGCATTCTTTGGGTTTCTGCAAAGGCTCAGGGGGCTGGGACTTCACTAGCAATACATCAAGTGTGATTAGGTTTACTCACACGTATAAACTGAAGGGTTTCTGCAGTCTCCAGCCCCCAAAGTAGCCCTGCTCTATGTGGCTACCTGATATCCCAAATTCTACCATTAGAAAGCCCCCTTTTGGTATTTAGCCTTTGTTCTTGTTAGTATTCAAATTCCCCTTAGAAAGGAGACCCACAAAGCCTTATGAGTATAAGCATCTTAGCATGTATGCATTTGTTAAATTTTGTCTTAAGAGAAGGCTGGGGTACCAACAACATTCCCAATTTCCCATAGGAGTAATAACCAATTCCTCAGCCATGGAATGATGGTAGGGTTGGGATTCCTCATGCAAAAATTAATTCTGTGCCTCCAGACAGATCCAGATCTTACTCATGAAAAGAATATCAGTGGGACAGAATGTCTTTTCCTCAAAATCAGTTATGGTTTATGATTTGAGAACAATATATGGGCTCCTGTTATGCATAATTATTTGGGAAATTGTCACTAGCTCTTTGTAATTGTTAGTTCAGGAGTGTGTTTTTTAAAAAAAAACCTTCTGACTGGGCATGGTGGCTCATGCCTGGAATCCCGGTACTTTGGGAAGCCGGCAGGAGGATCGCTTGAGGCCAGGAGTTCGAGAATGGCCTGGCCAACATGGCAAAACCCCATCTCTACTAAAAATACAAAAATTAGCTGGGTATGGTGGCGCATGTCTGTAGTCCCAGCTACTCGGGAGGATGAGGCACGAGAATCCCTTGAACCCGGGAGGCGGAGGTTGCAGTGAGCCAAGATCACACCACTGCACTCCAGCCTGGGAAACAGAGCAAGACTCTGTCTCAAAACTATCTCAAAAAAAAAAAAAAAACTTCATTTTTCTGATTATCTTTCACTGCCATGTAATTGTACATATATAAATTACTCTGCATACAGAATGAATAGTATACATGGATGAAGGAACGAATAGATATAACAGTCTGAAAGTTTCCCTAATGCTGGCACCTGTAACACATCACTAACAGGGCCTTGTAGAAGTTCCTTATTGGTTTGAGAAGATAATGTATAAACTGGGAGTACTGGTGGAAAAGTATTGCACTCATGTTTTCTACTTTTTGGTTGTGTGTGACCAAGGGGTATAGATCAGAGAACTGTAAAACTTTTCAGCAAAAAGAAACATCTTCTCTGACCCTCCTATTTCAGAAGTGAGGAAGCCAAAGTTCAAAGAGAACAGATGACTTGCCCAAAGCCCCATGTCTTCAGCCATGCAGAAGACAGACGCCCAGACTTCCTGACACTGAGGTTGGTCTTCTGGTTCACTTCTCTCTCTCAGAGCTATTAATATTATGCTCACATTATAGTCACGAGGAAGTCTTGTTGGCCGGACATGGGGGCTCACGCCTTTAATCCCAACTCTTTGGGAAGCTGAGGTGGGAGGATTGCTTAAGTCCAGGAGTTCAAGACCAGCTTGGGGGAACATAGTGAGACCCCTTCTCCATAAAAAATAAAAAATTAGCCAGGGGTGGTGGCATGCGCTTGTAGTCTTAGCTACGCAGGAGGCTGAGGCAGGAAGATCACTTGAGCCCAGTAGTCTGAGGATACAGTGAGCTATGATCATGCCACTGCACTCCAGCCTGGATGACAGAGACTGTCTCAAAACAAACAAACAAACAAAAAAACCCTTGTTTACTAACACTTGAGTACAGATCATTCCTTGACATGCTGAAACTTAGCTCTTATTCTGTAAAATATCTGCACAGTTTACTGGAAGAATCTGACCATGTGGAGATGGCATCATTGCAAAGCAACTTACAATTCTTTGATGCCTTAACTAAAGATGTAAGTTCAAGGATTGGCTTTACTACCTGACCTAACAGTTTTGATTTCTACAAGTGCAAACCCATGCTGCCTCATGATGAATCCAATCAAACCAAAGGACTCGTATCTCGTTTGATCTGATTCTGGTGAGCAAATGCAGTACCCCGACCTGGCTCCCAGTATGCTATCTCAACATCAGATGACAGATTTTTCTCTTATTGCATTTGATACATTTAATAAACCCTGTGTTTCATATATAAAGTCCTTTGGGAAAATAAACAGCACCTGCAGCTTATCTCCTCCCACAGACACTGAAAAAGCAATTTCTTCTTATTGAATGTGGATGCAGCATAAGATTTCATATGTTCACGTACAGGGCTCACATGAGGGGGGCTACCGCACAAATGGAAACACCAAGGTGCTGGGCACCTCTCCAGCTTTACAGACTGCACATGCTTTGGTCATGTTCATATTTAAATAAGAATCAACTGGTATTTCTGAATTAGAAGAAATCTAAGGGAACATTTTTGCTCACTCCCTCATTTTAGAGATGTTGCTAAAGGAGAAATGAAGTGACTTGCTCAAGGTCAAATAGCTGAAGTCACCAGGCCAGGGTTAAGAGCCAGACCCGTGGGCTCCTACACCAGTGCTCTTTTTCTCTGTCCTCTCTAGTAGGGTCCATGAAGAATCTGCATGCCCGGCTCTCTCCTCTCCACCGCTGGCAACTCGTAAAATCTGGGTGTCACACAGCTCGCTCCCAAGCATTGTCAGAAATAAGAAGACACCATCAGAAAGGGGAAAGCTGGATGGGCAAGAAGACAGGAAAGGAAAAAGTGACCAAATGAAGCTGAGCTTCTGGCCTGCTACAGTTCATCATTTCTACTGACAGCTTGAAAATTAGGAAAGACACAGAAGTTGACCAGGAAACAATAAGAATTATCAGAATCTCCATTAGCTATTTTTTCAAAAAACGAAATTGCACAAGCCAGGCTGGGCAACATGGTGAAACCCCATCTCTACGAAAAATATAAAAAATTAGCTGGCATGGTGGTATACACCTGTAGTCCCAGCTACTTGGGGGGCTGAGGCTGGAGGCTTGCTTGAGCCTGGAAGATTGAGGCTGCAGTGGGCTGAGATCACACCAGGGCACTCAAGCCTGAATGACAAAGTGAGACCCTGTCTAAAAAAAAAAAAAAAAATTGCACAAGATTATTCTTTTGGCTTCTGTTTTCTATAATATTGTGTGCCTCTGCAGAGACAGGGAAGCCAAGAAAGTCCTGTGGAGGAAATCTATATGGATTTCATAGGTCGGTTACTCACTTTCTTTTCTCACAGTACAGGGAGCTTAGTTGATGGTGTTAAGAACAGAAATTGTATTTCCAGTAAGAAAACACAATAGTGCATATTGGAACTCAACTCAATAATGCATATTGGAACTCACTTTTGAACTTTAGAATATGATAAAGCTTGATGGTACATAAGCAGGTCTGTGAAACACCTACATTAACCACAATATGCTACATCTGACAGATTCATCTGGGAGAGAAATAAGGATCTCAGAAACTTCTGCTTCTGCCCATAAAGTTTATACCAATATGGTCCAAGAAAGAGATCCCTAGGTGACTCGATTTTAAATGCCCCCCGAGTTTTTATACATAGATATGTAAATGCATACACAAGTTTCTTCTGAAAGAATGAATGATGATACCCTCTGGAGAGAATGGATTAAACAGCATGTTTGTATGGAGGTAGACTTTACTTTCTATTCCTGTACTATTTTATAATAGTTATACACTCATGTATTTCTCATGTAATTTTCAAAACTCTAAAAGAAATGAAAAAAATTACTTAAAAGAATTACTTATGGCTAACACATTGATCATTTAGGGATTGAATGCTGGTCTAGGAGCCAAGTGATCTGCTAAAACCTGGCTGTGTCATTTAACCTAAAAGGTTCTCTACTGATTTGTAAAATGAGGTGGCTGAATTAGATCATTTCTTTGATTCTATGATCCTTCTGGGTAAATGAGAAAGCCAATTAGAATTAGATGAAGCCTAAATTAAATAGTGCTTTAAAAGAAGTATCATTTTCTAACATTAAGGTAAACTGACAGTTTCTCCAAGTTATCCTTGCCATTTTGTTCAAGGTTGCAGAAGCTGTCTTTATAAATCAGAAGAATTTATAAAGTAGGGAATGCGAAGAGTTCTGTGATGTTTGGGTTGATATTCTGGTATCCCCTTTGGAGTCCCAAGCCTTACAATGTACTATGTCCAGCAAGCACGTTTAGAGTTAAAATAGCTTGATGTGTTTTGATTATTTCATCAAAGCTACTGAAATCAATTCTATGCTTTCATTTTTTAGCTAGGTTAAAAAAAAGTTTAATTCTCCCTTGTTGAATGAACAGAACAGCTGGGGCTGGGTAGCTTTTTGTTCTCTCTTTTTGAGAGTGGGCTAAGATGGAAAGCTACTGTTTGAGGCATATCAGATTCTAGAGCACAACCAAAAGACCACATAAAGCAATTAGCCCATATTCTAAAAATGCAACAAGTAATAACTATAGAAACTTGTTAGAGACCTTTGAAATTCCCATATCAAGGAAATACTCGAACTTCTAAAGCTTAGCTGTGAGAAGACCTGTTAAATCTTTCTGGAGCACCTGGGCTTACTCATGTTCTGAGCTTGCTAGCGTCTCGTTCAGGAGAGGAAACTCTGAGCGTATGGCCTTATTTCCTATTCGGGAATGAGAATGGATTTCTGCTGGGGATCCTGGAGAGGGGTTGAGGGTGAAGAAGCCTGTGTCAGAAAGTCAGTTCAAGAAAGTGGAAGGTCTCAGGGACAGAGCTGAGGTCAGATTCATCCAAGGGTTGAGAAAGGTATCTGACGAGTCAGAGCCTCAGAAAATCATAAAGTGATCTAAATCCTGACCACAAACAAATGTAAATCAGAGAGACTGAGGGCCATGTAACTGCCTGTATCACTCCCATCCCCCTGGCCAGAGATGACACCCTCCAAGGGACCCCTACGGGCCTCTGTATTAGTTCCTGGAATCCTCTCCTAAGTTTGAGGTTCCATCTGAACCAGAAGGACACGTGAGGAAATGAGCTCGAGAGCCAAGATGTCTGCTGAGTGAGCAGGCCACCCCGCCTCTACTGAGCACAAAGTACCCCACAGCCCACTGTAAAGTCCTGTTCCACTTTCTTGAACTGACTTTCTGACACCCAGAAACATTCCCTCTGAGTATTGCTCACATTTCCTAACAGACCAGCACACTGTCTGATAGTAAAGAAATAAACTATCTTGTCCCTTCTGCATGAATATAATTCCAAATCAAAGTGGAATTGCATTTTTCTCCGATATTCATAAAATAGGCTTGATAAAATGTTCTCATAGTTTCCTGCATTTCTTTTTTAATATGACATTTTCTTCATATCACAGCTTTAGTACTTGCCTTAATATGGCAAAATGATAGTAATTTCTGTACTTATTTCAGGGACAAATGTGCAATGTGATTTTTTAAACATTAATTTAAAGCAAATTTGCTATGCATTTTTATTCAATCTTGAGCCTAAAGTGAAGCTTGTACTTATGCAAACAGTAAGATGAATGCCTGGATTTTAGTAAAATAGTAAAAAACAAACAAACAAACAAACAAACAAAAAACTAATTAAAAGTTAAGTAGATGGGGATTTAACCTCTTCAATTTAAAATCCCTTAGCTTAGATCTCTCATTAGAAGGGCTTCATAAAAACAAGCTGTAAACATTCTCCATAATTAAACATGAGTACATGATCTACGAAAAAACTTGGCCCTCAGGCCATATATATTTAAATATACAAAATTACATTTGTATTTGATTCTCTCGTAATTAGCTCCATCCTCCAGTGAAATGCATTTGTGTATACAACTGTCTTGTTCCTATACCTCCACCAGGGATCATATTAAAAAATGCTTCTTCCCATAAACTGTGAAGTATTAATTGATAAGCCACAGGGAACCTGCACTACAGCATGTCCTTACCAATTAATATTGGTGTTGACTTGGTTTATGGGATTGAATTATTCATCAGAATCTTTTTACATGATGTCATTACAACCCAAGGGCTAAGAGCTGACAGAGCATCTTCAGGATAGTGATGGAGAAAAAAGAATTTTACTTATAAACCAAATAATCACCTTAACTTAATCCTTGTACTTCCCATACTCAATAATGGAAGCTTACTGTTAAAGCCCTATCATTTTTTAACATGAAGGTATTCATGCACACCCAAAATGGTCTAAATTAAGCTTCTGTGAGGTAGGAAAAAAACACCTGGTTTAGGAGTCAGAAACTGTGAGCCTCAGTTGTACTTTACCTCTCTAGAATCATTTCTATAAATTCTAAAATGAGGGTTTGGATTAGTGAAGGGTTAAGATTTCTTTCAGCTGTAACATTTCATTAGGATTCTATAATGGTTAGAAAGTGCAAAGAAAGCAGCTGGTCTATTTTGATGCATGATAGAAATAAAAACAAAAAGAAAATATGATTTGCAATATTCAAGTAAATGATGTGTAATCTTCTCCCCACCCCCAAGCCTTTTGGTTCCCTTCCTGTCAGGTTTGGTATATGAAATTTTTGATCACTTAAAACAGTTGCAGTTTATAATTAGAACAATTACCTGCTGGAGGGGTAAGCACATACAAACAAAGTACAGGGACTCGTCTCACCTCATGTATTCTAAAAACAAGAATTCTGAACAATGCAAGAATTTTTAATCACTACCACTTGGGATGTTTTGAACTAATTAGTCATTTAGGTAATACTTTTAGAGTGTTATTCTACTTTGTGTTAAAAGAAGAATTAAGCCTGGTGTGGTGGTGCATGCCTGTAGTCCCAGCTACTCGGAAGGCTGAGGTAGGAGGATCACTTGAGCCCAGGAGTTTGAGTCCAGCCTGGGCAACATACTGAGATCCTGTCCCTTAAAAAAAAAAAGTGCAATTAACCATAATTAAAATGTTCTACACAAGAAATCTTACTATTGCAGAATGTTATACCACAACATCCTCAAACATAATAGTTCGGACTAAAACCAAATACCTTATAATTCTTCCCTCTCCTTTCTCTCTTCCCTCTGAACAGGAAGGGGTGGTGCTTATTTAGCATCCGGGTCATGGTCTACGGATATCCTTAATGGCTGGCTTTGAATCATCTTCAAGGAATCCGCCTTCTTGGCCTGGTGTGGTGGCTCACGCCTATAATCCCAGCACTTTGGGAGGCTGAGGCGGGTGGATCACTTAGGAGTTTGAGACCAGCCTGGGCAACATGGAGAAACACTGTCTCTACTAAAAACAGAAAAATTAGCTAGGCATGGTTGTGCGTGCCTGTAGTCCCAGCTACTCGGGAGGCTGAGGCGGGAGGATCACCTGCATCTGGGACATGGAGGTTGCAGTGAGTTGAGATTGCACCATCACAGAGCAAGATCCTGTCTAAAAAAAAAAAAAAAGAGAATTCTGCCTTCCTTTTATTTCATTTTTATTTCAGAAGAATAACAGAATTAACTGGAACTAAGTCTAGCTTTTGTTTTCTTCTTCTCTTTAGCAAGTTCCTTAGTTCCTTCAGTCCTTCTGCTAAGTGAGCAGAGTGTTTATAAAGAGAGACGATTTAAAGATGACTGAAGACAGATGTTAAATTTGAACGGTTTCTTACTTCCCTAGTTTCACAAGTTAGGGTCTTAGAAGTTGCCAAGCAGTACTAGGATACTCCTCTAGGACCGAGGTGAGTTAATGCACAGCCTTGTACTTGCTAAGGGGGAGGGGAGACAGACTTGGGAATCTGCATGTGGGTGTGTCATGGCGCACACAGGTGCAGAGAGGAGCAGGGCCCAGTGCTGCCCAGCTTTCCTGAACCTTCACCACCTTGGCTGATAAGAGCCACTTGCACTCTGTCCAGGAAAACACAAAAGTATATATACTTAGCTGACAATGAAGGTTCAATTTCAAGTGAGGAAAAACAAGAAGGGCTGGAGGAAGCTGAGAATAATAAAGGTATAGCAGTATTCTTGACTTTTTGGGAAAAGGGTTGGTTTTTCTGTGTGAGGGGAATGATGTAAATATGAATAGTGGTGATACCATATTCTCACTGCAGTGTATTTTACGTCACAGTGAAATCTGTGTCTGACAGCCACTCAATGTGGAACTCTTATTTCTTAAAAAGCTATCTTCTGTAGAAAGAAGATAGGTACTGGCAAAACGCTGCCCTCTCAAATATGCTGACTCCACAGAGAACGGAGTATTTTACAACCTAAGCTGAAACACAGGATGTAATTCAGAAATCATTCGACAGAGCTGAAAGTTTCAATGTGATAAATTATTATTTTTAAACAAGGGTCACTGAATAAAATCTAACCCTGGTAAATAATTGTTGGCTCTGGACATTACATCTCATGCCACCATATACAGGCAGAAGACACAGTATGTCCATGTGACTTGTCATTTCACTTGTAACAAAGTGCTAGATCCTAATGGAATTACATTTTTTCATACAATATTTAATGTAATCATATTAAACATTTAGACACCCTCACATAATTATTTAAGGGCCTAGTAGATGAAATTGTATTTCACAGAAACAAGGATAAGTTGAGATGGAGACACAGTGCCTATGCTCAGAAGTCACTGGAAAGCACCTGATCACCATAGTAAAGATGGCCAAGGGCTTCTGACCTGATTAAAATAAGGAGTCATATAAGAAATGGCTTTATTAGAAAAAATGTAGTGTACATGTGGCTAATTTCCATCATCGATATACCTCTTGGCTATTTTATCATTAAAATTGGATACAGGGTTTGAACTTCTTTAGAAGTTAGTGGCATATCTTCCTATTCTGATATGTGACTTAGGGAAGGCGTTATCTTCATATGATAGACACCCTTTATTTCTTTTCATAATTACAAGTAATCAGTAGTTTAGCACTGGCACAAAACAGAGAGAGAATTACTTAGGTAGTGCTTTATGTGTAAGAAGTCACACTTCCAACCCCAGAAGCAGGCACAGGTATGCCATCTGTAGAGTTTTAAAATCCCCTATTATCACTCAAGTCTCCCATTATTATTACCTAGTAGTAATTAAATTAATGTGATAATCTGTAACCTAACAAAACCTCTGAATGAAGTTTCTTTCTTCTCCCTCTTTTCCTGTTAGATGTGCAATTCTGAGCAAATGTGCAGTGTGCAGTATTGATTTCCAGCCTCCTTTTAAACTCCTTCAAGTCTGTGCTATTAAACGGAGACAACCACATCAAGATAGAGTCTGTCATAGGATTCCCTGAAGCACAGAATGAGGAGGAGACTGAGCAAACACGACCCGGGAAGGCACCAGTTGAACCAAGACAACTCTGTAAGACAAAAAAACATGCAGTTTTAAACATTCATGTATCACCAGCAGACCACCACCTGTATGCCGGAAGGAATCTGCTCTGCATTAAAAAGTACTTATAATAAATGTACCCTGGAAGGCCTAGAAACTGGCTTTCAATAAATAGTGACAATCTGGAGACTAAGTGATGTGTGTAATATATGACGGGGCTTCCATGTGGAATATTTTTAATCAATATTGTTCATAACTTTTCATCAATTTAATCCACCTTGACTTTGGTTACAAAATAAATTACTTCAAAGAAAAAAAATCAATCACCTTTAAATGTTAGTTTGATAATTATTTTTTAAGTACCCTCTATCATCATCACTCTTGTCCCTGTTTATAAATATCTGATGGATTAAAAAGACAAATACGAAAATCATCTGAATTTTGAAATAACACTTTTATATGTTTTGGATAGAAATATCTATTTCTCAGCAAAAACATTAAGTAGAAATCACTGTAAAATAGATGAGAAAATATATTTAAAAATAAAACATACAAAAAAATCAATCATAATTCTGTCCCCAGAGAGATCACTGTGAATATTTTGGCTTATTTCTTTCTAGTCTTTTTCTCTACCAGCATGAATGGTTATATATGATGCCAATTATTGGAAAACCTATAGGCATCATCTGAATGGGCAATTCTGTTGTTGTTTGATTTAATGTGTCAAGAACATGGTTCTTTAGAAATGCTCTCTCATGAATTCAGGATTCTCCAACAAGACAATCCTCAGCCATTTGCTACCAACACACACTGACCACTGTGGCTGCCTCTAGCTGCTTCCTGGAGCTCCAGGGACCCTAGGGCTGTGCATCTGTTCAGCCTTCCTCTACCCCAATCCCATCTGCCAGTCAATCCCAAGGCTCTGAAGTGAATAGCTCCTCGGCATAAAGAGGTTGGTGAAGGTGGTGGGGACAACGTTTCTAGTTTAATATCCATTCAGCAGTTTCAATTCAAAAAATAAACAAGGAAAATAAGCTCCTTGGTGCCTTTTTTCTTTTTTGGTCACTGTTATGGGTTTATATTTTCCCTTTGTACTTCTACAAAATGCTAATACTGCCTTAATCTTCAAAAGTCATCCTAAAGATTTCCACACTGCTGCTTTAGTTTAATCCATAATTCTTATGGCTAAAGGAGCAATTTATGCTCAGGAATGGAAATCAGAAAACTGACTGGCAAGAAAAGGTGCTGCAATACCTTTTTTTCTGTAATATGCTCACAAATACAGACTCCCCACCTCTCTATTACTATGTTTTAAAAGTCAGACATGCTATTCTATAGTATGTAACAAAGACATATATTTCAATGGTATTTTTATGCAAAGCTGTTTTCTCTGCTTTACTTGGATTGGACATAGTCTAAATACTCAGAGAAGATGTGATCTATGAGATCCTGTCTTCATTCTGATGTTCCCTGAAATGACACACTGGGCATTTTCTGCTTTTGACTATATAACCCCTGGATTTCTGATAATTTTACTAGGCAAAAAGAAGCAGTAAAAAATTAAAAAGTAGTAAAATATAGACAATAGCATTTTGTTTGTATTAAAAGGGAGAGCTTGGACTTCAGGGTCAAGTTTTAAGCAACAGATAAAAAAAAGTATGGTAATTGACAAAACAGTTTACAACGATAGTTGCTATATCTTAGAGACTGTATTTTATGGGGAACTAGAGCAACACACATAGCAACAATCCGCCTGTCCTTGCTTTTCTTAAACTGAGAAACATTTCAAATATTGTCAAAACAGATCTTTTATTTCAGCGTTACTATTAGAATTGTAAAATCATTTCTTCTACATAGGTTCAGATGAAATCTCTAAAAACGTCTCATAATTGCTCTTTAGCGCCATGGTTTGTTGACTGGTTTTTACTGTGTGCCTCTCTCTCAAAAGTCAAATCCACCTCTCAGTAAATTCACTTGTCTCAATCAACTACAAGTGTTCTTCGAAATTATTTGCCTTTTTAGAAAGCAAAAAGTCAGAGATAGGGGAACCTCTACATTTTCCTGCTGAAAACCATTCACATAAACCACTGTTTAGGTGCTCTAATAAGCAAGGAAATGACTTGCTTAAAAATCTAATTTGACTTGGCAGTAGCAAAGTCAGCTGCTGTCCTTTCTGATCCCCTTTCTGACCCTGATGTAGATGAACTAACAGAATCGCGAGCCACTGAAATTTTTGTATTATAATTCTTTTCATCTTTTAAAATGAGCATGGTTTTCTAATACTCCTTCCCTTTGCCTTTCACTAGATAAAATATAAATCCACACTTGAAGGCAGGGGCCTACAGTCTGCCCCATACTTCCGCTGTGTCTCTACTGTCTACTACACAGCAGTCGGAGTGCTCATTCTGCCAACTTATAGTTTAGACAGGTGCTCGACTTTACTCAGTGAAGTGGGCTCTGCACCAAATGGTGAGGCTCTGTTGGGACTGAATTAATTGGGATTTTGCTCATCCTCTTACTTTTTCTTCTGGAAGCACTGTTGTACTTTTCACCTCATCTTTCCCTACAGTGGAGTCACGCTTTCGGTTTCTACCACTTATAAGTACTTGTCTGTTTCCAGCTACCACTCTCCAGAACAAACTTCCTATTTTCTTTTATGATGATTTAACAAGATTGTCTCCTTTCTCACTCAAGGTGAGCAGCCAGCTGACCCCATGATTTCCCAGGATAATGCCCTGCTATCTTCATTCCACATCAATTACCCAGTAGATCTTACCATCACATTCCATTATTCTGCTTCTTAGATATAAAATTACTTCTCACTAGTCCACATCTGTTGAACCTGCTCTTTGTTTTCCTGGTAACCATTAGTCAATGCCTCCCACCTCTGCCAGGCCCCTGAATCTTTTGAGTGACAACACAGCCTCACATTCATGGTCAGCCACTTTAAAATGAAAGAGCTGAGATAAAAATCATGATGCTTTTAGCAAAACCCGCTGCAAAGCTTCTAGAACAAAAAGTAACAGATAACACAAACTTCAGAATATTAAACAGAATACATTGCAGAGCACATAAAGGATACAACAGCATTCTCAAATTGATTTTTCTATGTGACATCATTAGAATAAAGCATCACTGTGCTATGTCAACTCAATGGGATTCTCAAAACAAACACAGGAAGCAACTCAGTTTTACAAATATGTTTATATTAGGGAGCAAGTAACAACTTTTTTTTTGAAAGTGACCTTGAAAAATCCAAGTCAGTAAAACTCTAAAAAACTTCTGACAAGGTTCCAGGTACCCAAAGCAGAACTGAAATAGGAGGTGGAGACCCTGTGACCCAGGGCTCCAAATAAGCCAGTGGCATTGGTATAGGAGCCTGAACCACATTTGCCCTCAATGACTGCAATGGCTCTAATCTGCAAGCAAATTGCCAGCAGAACCTAGCTTGCTAGGCAAGATATTCCATTATGGTCATTTTGGGGTTAGTCTGTATAGCCCTGAAAAATTATCTGATGTATTCATTTATCAGATAGCACACTGTAGGGGGAAAAACCCTAGTCAGGAAGTTTAGTACTTCCTTGAGAAGTGACTTAAAAAACCACAGATCTTTATGATGATTAAAAATCAGGCCTTCTAGGCTGGGTGTGGTGGCTCACACCTGTAATCTCAGCACTTTGGGAGGCCAAGGCAGGTGGATTGCTTGAGCCCAGGAGTTCAACACCAGCATGGGCAACATGGCAGAACCCCATCTCTACAAAAAATACAAAAAATTAGCCAGGTTTGGTGGCACATGCTTGTGGTCCCAGCTACTTGGGAGGCTGAGGTGGGAGGATCACTTGAGGCTGGGAGGCCAACGTTGCAGTGAGCCATAATGGTGCCACTGTACTCCAGACTGGGTGACAGAGCAAGACCCTGTCTCCCCCACCCCTAAAAAATTCAGGCCTTCTAATCACATAACTAATAGTTGAATTTTGACATATAATTAACTTCTGGGTGAGTTTTCAAGTTTCAAAATAACTGAATAATGACATATGAACACTGGCTTTAATGGAAGGGGGTTCAGTTTATCATATAAAATGTTTAGGGTACTAGGCTGTGGAACTAACAGTTATTGTTAGGAAACAGTTTTACAGAATTTTTAGATTTGCAATTTGTGTATAATCATACCTGAGACCATAAAGAATGTGGACCTCTGCTGCAGGACTTTTAGGGGAAGATCAATTAATCCTACTAAAAAGAGTTTCAACATAGATTTCATGGTTCTAGTAACTTTAGCCCTAGAGAGATGTGGACGATGTTTCTGTGTATTCATTATGCACACTCATAAATACACATATAAAAGCATTTCTTTACAATGGAAGACTAGATATTTAACTTCCTAGCATCAGTCAGCTAATTATCTAGAAGAAACAAAACAAACACTGGTGGGTGCCAGCTGTGCCCTGGACTTGGCTCTTTTACAGGTATCTTCTCATTAACTGCCTAAAATGCCAAAATTTAATGAGACCTTTTTCCTGGAAACCACCTTGGTGGATTAAAATTAATGATTATTTATAGTTTCATAGGGTACTATGCTCACTACCTGGGTGATGGGATCATTCATGTCCCAAACCTCATTGTCATGCAATATACCCATGTAACAATCCTGCACATGTACTCCTTGAATCTAAAAGAAACATTGAAATTATTTAAAAAATAAGTTTCACTTTTGTTCACAATAGTCACAAAGTTTAGGTGGAAACTTTTTAACATCTACACAAACATGTATAAGAACATGTGGTCAGAAACTGACCAAAAAGAGGGAAGTTTTGTTTCTCCCAGCTAGAAAAATCCTTGATTATATCAGAAATGGGCAGAAATAGTGCTAAGTGTTCCTTCTGCTCCCTCTGCCAAAGAAATAAAATATCTGCTTGTATCTGGTCACTATGAATTTGCAAAATGAGGAATGAGCACTGACTGACGTCGGTTCCATTTAATTCACTCCAGACACCAGATGCTGTTAAACAAGTCAAAACCGCAGCAGGACCCAGGAGAGTGACAGAGATAAACTACTGGCCAGGCAAAATGGTCAGGTGTGTACGGAGCTCTGCTGCAGTAAGACAGTTTAGGGCAGTTTCCATTATTGGTGTCTTCTCTGCCTTAAACTGATCAACAAAAATGTGTTTGTTATATCCTAGAGACCATAAGCAAAAGATTTATTGGGGGATAACATTATCTGGCACCTGCTGTTGTTCTTTTTAAATACTGGGAGGACAAAACTCTATTTCTAGCTGACAGGAAAAACCATGCTCTGCTGGGCGGCACCAACCACTAAGCAAAGCTGTGCCCATCGGCTGGAAAACTGCTTCTACCATCCCAGGGGGGATCACAGCCATCTCCGATGCTTTACCAGGCAGACAGGCAATAAGCCACTTAATTTAAATTGTGATACAACTGAAGTGGATTAAAGCTGATATGTAATGATTGTCAGACTTCGTTGTTGAGAAAACTAATTGGAAGCAAAGAACCTGATTTCTGGTGATGGCACTTTTCCCTAATGGAAGCACGTGTTTCCAGGACAACAAAGAGTGGCCTTCTGACTTCATTAATATCACTCTCCTTCATATGATAAACCAAACTTGTATCAGGTTTAGCAAAGACCTACTTTACCTGCATTACTGATTGACAGAAACAATCTAATGTACTGTTCATTATATTAAGAAATTCATCTATCCTATGGACACTTTTTGCTGTTGGGTGAAAGTGCTATGCCAGAAGTTGTCCAAAACCCAGGGATAATTATGTTTCACACTGGCTTTGAAAGTTTCTGGCCAGGCACAGCGGCTCATGCCTGTAATCCCAGCACTTTAGGAGGCTGAGGTGGGTGGATTACTTGAGGTCAGGAGCTCCAGACCAGCCTGGCCAACACAGTGAAACCCCGTCTCTACTAAAAACACAAAAATGAGTCAGGCATGGTGGCACCTGCCTGTAGTCCCAGCTACTCAGGAGGCTGAGGCGGGAGAATCGCTTTAGCCCGGGAGGCAGAGGTTGCAGTGAGTTGAGATCGTGCCACTGCACTCCAGCCTGGGCAACCGAGTTAGATTCTGTCTCAAAAAAAAAAAAAAGTTTCAAAATTTGCTTTCCAGTCAAGGAGGTTAGCACGGTTATTATTTCAGTTATAACCCTGTCAGAAACACTCCTATAAACAATTCGGCCTCTTGGAGTGTCACATTTTAGAGCATTCCTTACATTGGGTGACATCCTGTCATTCATCCCTCAGGCTTTAAACTCCATATACACCCCTAACATTAATTTACACCCTGTGTTAAGAGAGATTCGAAGTAGTTTTTAAAAAGCAATAGACCAGAGGTTCTCAATGAGAATCTACATATTTGAATCACCTGGTAGGGTAAGGCGTGGGGGTGGGGAGGATTTTAAAAATACAAATACTGGGCTCCAGCCCAGGTTAATTAATTCAGAAATTCGGGGGTGGGGGAGTACAGGGGCGGGGCAGAGAAGAGTGAGGGTGCACTTGAGCTAGAATGCATTTTAAGAAAAACAACTGAGGAATTTTTCTTTTACTGGCAATGGAAGTTCACATAAAGTAATTTGCCTTGGTGAGACTTCTCCATATAAAAACTTCTATACACTAGTGACCCAAACTTTTCTTGTAACACATTTAGATAGTAAATAAAAAATCAAATTTCTTACCTGTATGATAAAATGTGAGAAAAAATAAAAGTACTCCCATAAACATATTACTTAAAAAAGTGACAACTCCACAAGTAATTCCTTCTGGAACTGGGTAGACAGTTTCCACAAAAAGCTCAAAAAATATAGGCACGCTGCTATTCAAGAACACTCCCAGGAGAATACAGGAGGCATACAATGTCACTAAAATAAAAACACAAACATTTTAGTTTCACACTAGCGGCAGTGAGTCATATCAGATAGATCTTCGGGGTGTTCTCTTTCCTAAGTATTGACTCAAAAATTTCTTCTTTTCAAAGGTAGTTGATAAAGTTTGACAAAGCATCACACATCTGCCAGCTCTTTGCTGCAGTTTTCTGGAGTAGATACAAAACCATTTTATTGCTGGATGGGTACCAGTTTATCTCCTTTACCTTTCTGGTGGATTATTCCAGAGCACAAAACAATTTACCACTATCATATAATTAAAAGGATTCTTCTCCTGCTTGGTCACATTCCTGTAGACTTGTTCCATAATTTTAGAAAGAGAGCGTAAAATCTAAGAATAAATGTCAGAAACATTAAATGTTACTGAAAATTACATATTTAAAGAGATTGGTTAATAATTGCTTTCAAGCACAAAATAAACATTATGCAGTATGTAATTTCTTGAGAAACACAATGGAATTAGTCCTCAATTTTGGAATGGGTTTTAGGTCAACATTTTTTTTAAATAAGTAACTTTTTTGAAACACAGAAAAAGACTTCATCCAGAAATGTACAATTAATAGTGACTAGGATCCCCAATCAAACCATAAAAAGTCTGTTAACACTATTCTGTGGCAAAGTCTATTGAATAAGGATATTATTCTTATAAGAAAGTCTGGGGAAATATACTACAATTAATTTTAATCATTGCTACTACTGTCTGTCTATAAACCCTTGTTAATTTTAACTTGAAGGTGAAAACAGAACCCAAAAGGAAAGAATGATACCCTATTTAGAAACCTAAAACATGTCCCTATATCCTAATAAGTATATCATATTCACCGATAATAATGAGTAGAATTTATCCTAAGTTTAAGGTTACAAGGAAAATATTTTTAATAAAAATATTTGTTAAGGAAAAAAACAATCCTGTATGGGAACTGCAGAAAGTAAGGAAGTTACATTAAATCTGTTATGTATTATTCACACACTCACAGAACATATCAGATTATCAGAGTTTACCATAACTGATGCAATCATTAACAGTCCATGACACTGTTGAAGGGGTAAAAAAAAAATAATAGTACACACTGATTTCTAATATAATTTCTCTAATTAACCTCCACTCTTGCTTCCCCTCCAATTACATTAGTCTTCGGGGATTATAAAATATTTAGTATATTCTGATAATACAAATAGTTGGTAATTACTTTGTTTCTTTGAATAGAAGATAGATATGGAAATAGATAACAAAAGAATCACTTAGTGAATAAAGAACATACTGCTGGCTAAGGCAGTGACCAAATTATTTGCACAATTACTTGGGAAGCATCTGATAGCTATGATAAATACCATTTAAAATGTGACATAATTTTCAAGAGATTCTTAAAACGTAACCTAATACTTCATGTTCACAATATATTTGCTAGATGTAGATCAAATAAATCAATCACATTTTCTACTTACATATGACTCATTAGTGGTACATTAGGAAATCTGGGGATGGAATATCACTGGTGGCTTCTATAGAGTATTGTATTTCTAAAACACTTTAGAATTATTAATTAATTATTATTATTATTATTATTATTATTGTTGAGATGGAGTCTTGCTCTGTTGCCCAGGCTAAAGTGCAGTGGTGTGATCTCGGCTCACTGCCAACTTCCACCTCCCCGGTTCAAGTGATTCTCCTGCCTCAGCCTCCTGAGCATGTGGGATTACAGGTTCGTGCCACCATGCCAAGCTAAATTTTTTTTGTATTTTTAGTAGAGACAGGGTTTCACCATGTTGGCCAGGCTGGTCTCGAACTCCTGACCTCAAGTGATCCACCTGCCTCAGCCCCCCAAAGTGCTGGGATTACAAGTGTGAGCCACCGCACCTGACCTAGAATAATCTATCGATCAAGCTGGCATGATGGCTCATGCCTGTAATCCCTTTGGGAGGCTGAGGCAGGGCTGCTTGAGCCCAGGAGTTCGAGACCAGCCTGGGTAACATGGTGAGACCCTGTTTCTCCAAATAATAATAATAATGATAATAATAATAAAGTTTTTTTTTAAATAAAAATTTATTGATCAGTCAGTGGTAGTCAGAGGACAGAGAACCATTGACCAAAACCTTGATGAGCCTAAGAGTTTAAAACAAGAAAATACTGAAGTAAGTAACAGGAAAGAAATCAAGCTCTTAAGGACCAGCAAGTACTACTTCTGAGTAAAGATTCCCAAATTCCAATGGAATTAGCTGTTTTTAGGAAACATGTTTTGAAATAATACTTTCTACATTTTTATTTCTGAAGGAAATGTACTCCACACAATTTGTAATCAGACAAATTAAAATGTAATAATTGAAAAATAATCACAATCTGGTTAATAGAATAATTCTATGTGATAAAATAATGAAAATATAATAACACACTGAAAGGGAACTATCAATATAGAGTCTTGAAAAGAGAGATTTGACTTTAATGATTTTTTAAATCAAGCATGGTACAAAGAAAGAGGCATGGGATGTGTCAGAAGAGTCCAGTCTCTTCTGATACATCTGACGGGGAAGCAGCGGGCTGTCTGAAAACCCTAAGACCTCAAGACCATACAACTCCCTTGGCCCTCATTTCATGCTTATTAAGAATCTTTGGATTTTGGCTTTTTATGTATCTAAATCCTGGGAGGAACTTGGAAGATGAGGGATAATTAACTGTCGTTGGAAAGATAAAATTTTTATTGTGGTTAAACATTGCTGATGAAACTGTAAATAGCTCATCTTCTGGTGAGTAATTTGGAAATGTCTATCAAAATAAATAATGTAATTACTCTTTGACCTAGCAATTCCATGCCTAGGAATTTATCCTACTGCTATGCAGGTATAGGTATACAAAGAACACTTATCCAAAAAAATACAGTGTGAAAAGATTCAAAACAAACTAAGTATCCCCCAATGGGGGCGGTGTTGGTTGGTTAAAAATTTATAAAACATCCAAAGAAATATTATACAATTAAAAATGAGGCACCTCTGTATGTATTATAATAATATTAATAACTAAGATACATAAGTGAAAAAGGTGCTGAAAAGTATGTTATATTAAAATAAACGGCACATACACGTTATCTATCTGTAAATATACAGAATTCCCTGGGAGAATACAGAAGAAACTGGCAATCAGATTTGCCTTTAGAGAGGAAAACTGGGGGGGGTCACAGGAGAGTAGAGACTTTTCACTCTATACTCTTTTTCTACTACTTGAATTTGAATTTTTTACTATGTGTATAGCTTACTTATTTAATAAAATTAAAAGAAATTTCATTATGAACAAATGAATGGACAGCGGACACAACTCCACTTCATGTGAGTTTGTGAGCTCATTAGCTCAGAAATGGTTATCACCAGGTGAGCTGACCCAAAGAGCTGATGTCTATACCCAGGAGCCACATAACACAGCCTTGGCGCAGGATCCTTGACATGAAGATTTTCCCATTTGTTAGAATGCCTATTATATGGAGGACAAATGGGCTACTATATGTAGGATAAACGGATGATATAACTTCAGAGGCCAGTAATCAAAAATTAGAGATTTTCATTCAATTGTCTCAGTCTTGGTGTTTGCTTCTTGTATTACCATAAAAGTGATGACCAAGAGGTTTCTATTACAATGGATAGACATGTGGAAATCACTTGGACATGTGGAAATGCAGAAAGTAAAGAATCACAATAATTTACCCAGGAAGGGGTTAGATTGAGATCTTCATCATCAGAATGGGGGAAGGTAGCTGTGTCAGGACTGATTTAATATATTCCAGTGTTCTGGGGCATGCATAAAGCAGAGGCTGATTATTCCAAGTCTGAATTTGACTTCCATTTGAGTTTTCAGTTCTCATACATTCAGTGGGTGAATGTCATCTATTAAAAGTCAGGCAGACAAGATAATTTCCTGCTTGTCATAGAGGGTTCAAACTACATGATCATTAAGTATTTCCATAACTTTGTATAATACTGATACTAAAATTACAATCAACTGCCTTTCAATTAAAAATTCAAGGTAATTCAGCAGAACAAACACAACTGAAGTGCTGATGCAGTTTTTTTTCTAATAAAAAGCTAATAAAATTTCATGGGCCCACACTTTAAATGGTAAAAAACAAAGTCCTGTGTAGCACAAACTACAGTTAAAAATGAATGTATTTCAAGCACATGACTTGGATCATAACCCTGAAAATACTCCTCCCCACCCTTGTGCCCGTAAAAAACCAAATTACTAAACTTTAGGGAAACAAAACTATGTGTGAATACTTTTTTTTTTTTTTTGGAGACGGAGTCTCGCTCTGTTGCCCAGGCTGGAGTGCAGTGGCGTGATCTCGGCTCACTGAAAGCTCTGCCTCCTGGGTTCACGCCATTCTCCTGCCTCAGCCTCCCAAGTAGCTGGGACTACAGGCGCCCACCACCATGCCCGGCTAATTTTTTGTATTCTTACTAGAGACAGGGTTTCACCGTGTTAGCCAGGATGGTCTCGATCTCCTGACCTCGTGATCCGCCTGTCTTGGCCTCCCAAAGTGCTGGGACTACAGGCGCCCACCACCATGCCCGGCTAATTTTTTGTATTCTTACTAGAGACAGGGTTTCACCGTGTTAGCCAGGATGGTCTCGATCTCCTGACCTCGTGATCCGCCTGTCTTGGCCTCCCAAAGTGCTGGGATTACAGGCGTGAGCCACCGTGCCTAGCCTGAATACATTTTTATTAACTAAAGTTACACTAAAAACTTTGGGGATCAGTGGTTATAAAACAAATCACAGATAAGAATAAGAACTATTCTATCAACATCTAACGAGATTCTCAAGACAGCAATAACAATTACAACTTTATAATCTTGGATTTATATAATTTCTAAAAATATTTTAAAAACTGCTTTCACATATATTATCTTATTTGATCATCCTATCAGCTCTTTGAGGCAGGTATTTTACAGTTGAAGTGACCAAAGTTCTGAAAGTAAAAAAACAGCTTATTTAGAAATAGTGTAAATTATCAGTGCTAATAATATGATTAAGGCTTACAGACTCTAGCATGTTTTCTGCCAATTCACTGTGTCACAGTGAAAAAAGAAAAAAAGTAACAAGGCCTGGTATTTTTTAATCCAATGGTATTGACATGAAAGGCCTATTTCCCAAATCTGTATTCAGCACAAAAGCTGGAAGTGACTGCACATTATATGACAGAACCAAAAACAAAGAACATCAAAAGGTTACAAACAAAAAGATGAATTTTAATCACATTAAATATAAAACTGGCCCCAAATTGTTTAAGTATATAAGAGGGAAAACTTAGCTTAAGCCTTTCTTCAAAACGACTTATCAGATACCTATTACGTGGAGGCTGCTATGTTAGAGCAGTAAATAAAACACACTCTATCCTCAGATCACTCTTATACTCTAAGGAATATGATGGACACCTGCTGCCCCAGCAACCATTTATATGCACAGTGTTAAGATGATAATTATATTTCTCTCTCCAAAAAAAAAAGCATGTCTAACCATGAGAAGCAACAGCCTTGGTGCTGAATGCAGCAGGAAAAGTGTGCTAAATTCTAGTAAAATGTTTTAAGGAGGACCCTAGCAATCTATGATAGGTTTAGAAGAGAGTCATCTGGCAGGTCAGTGGTGTGGAATCCACATCCGATGAGGAATGGTCCTAAGAATGGGGTCGGGGGCAGGGGGGGATGGTTAGATTAAAAGCTAAGGTCAGACATGACAGCTGTCTTCAAATGTTTTGAGGGCTGTCAGTGGAAGAGAAAGGGAGTTGACTTGTTCTCTGCAAGCTATGTTGCTCCAAGTCAGTTATAACTCACTGGGAGGATGAACATTCTAGGCCCCAGAGCTAACAACAAAACAGGTGATGTCTTCTCTTGTGGGAGATATTTAAGTTGTAGACAGGTGAACATATACCTGGTATGTGATAGAAGAGATTCACTTACTCAATGATAAATTATATTAGATGATGCCTAAAGTTCATTTAAGTAGATGAATAACAAATTTAAATACATGTAGGGAGGAGAACTTAACCAGGATATTAAAAACAAAAATCTTGCCAGGCATGGGGCTCACATCTGCAATCCCAACATTTTGGGAGGCCAAGGTGGGCGAATCGCTTAAGCTCAGGAGTTCGAGACCAGCCTGGACAACGTGGCGAAACCCCATCTCTACAAAAAAAAAAAAAAAAAACAACGAAAGTTAGCTGGGCATGGTGGCACACGCCATAGTCAGTAACTTGGGAGTCTGAGGTGGGAGGATAGCTTTAGCCTGGGAGGTTGAGGGTGCTGTGAGCCAAGGTCGCACCAGTGTACTCCAGCTTGGACAACAGAGTGAGACTGTTTCAGAAGAAAAACAAATAAACAAAAAACTTGTAGGTGCTTCTTGGTGGAAAAGAATAATAGATTTGTTTACAGTTTTATGAAGAAATAAGTAGCATTATAAAATAACACAACAGATTTTTATTATCTTAAGGAGTAGATAATAATTATCTTAAGGAGTAGAATCAAGAATTATATCTTAAGGAGTAGAATCAAGAAATGTCCCTGAAGTGTAGGCTTATAACATTAACACACTTTACTGGACAAACTTTTATTATTGTGCATACTGACTGAACTTTTATTTCATGATAAAGTTAGGAAAGTTAACTGGGAATTATTAGATTACACCTTTATTACAAATATTTCACAATCCAATTAAACTTGAACAAGTGAAAATACACCTTTTGCAAATGAAGGCACATATAAAGAGAAACAACAAGCAGCCAGAAGAAACATTCACAGTGTTTGCTAACTATATAGTTTTTTCATAGGTTTTGAGTGTGCTGAATACATAGAATACACATGTATGTGTGTACACACACAGATATATACATTTCTATATCACTGAGCTGTACCTCTTCTCTCAGCATCACATTTCTTCCTAAAAAAAAAGTGACTGCTGTGGCCTTCATAACCTACTTCTGATTAAAATACGCAGTATATGCAACTGTGGTTCCAAAAGAGGATGAGGCATATTTTGCTGTAAGGTACTATTAAATCATGGAACGCTCACTGATACCTAGTCAAGCCCTCTAACTGTAAGAAACACAGAATCTGCTGCAAGACTTATTTCTCTTCTTGAAAATCTCCATGGATAAACATTATATGATCTGCCTCAGCATTTAATGATTCTTACATTAAGATTTTTCACAAATCCATTCTCTTCTTTTAATCCATATTCTACTTTTTCTTCCTTGAGCTGTCTGTCATGAGCATGAGACTTTGTCACTTTTAGTCCATAAAATTGAAAACAGTAGTTAAGAACAGAGGCAAAAGACATGAAAATATAGTAAGAGGATTACTCTCTAGCCTATACATGTTGAATGCCCTTTTATTTTTCTTTTTTTAAGAGACAGGATCTCACTCTGTCATCCACGTTGGAGTGCAGTGGTCATGGCTCACTACAGCCTCGAACTTCCAGGCTCCAGTGATCCTCCCACCTCAGCCCCCTGAATAGCTGGGATTACAGAAACATGCCATGATATCTGGTAATTTTTTTATTTTTTGTAGGGACATGGCCCCACTATGTTGCTCAGGCTGATCTCAAACTCCTGGCCTCAAGTGATCCTATTGCCTTGGCCTCCCAAAGTGCTGGTATTACAGGCATAACCCACTGACCCAGCTGTTGCATGCCTTTCAATACAACTGGGTATGTTTCCTTTCTTTAAATAACACTTGAAGTCACCTTGTGGTCAGCTATCACTCCCTGGGGGCTTCTGTCTAGCTAGTTGTCCTTCCTTACTCCCCCATCCAGCATGTTTCTGATATCACTGTCATAGCATTCTAGTAAGTTTAGATGAAATTAGATAAATAATCTCTCCCAAGGCAACTTCTGTCAAACAGTCAAATTATACTGTTTCAGTAAACTCAACAAAGTGCTAACATTTTTCAAAATGCCATTTTCAAAGCATTCATCTGTTCAGTACAAAATGACTTGGTGAGTTGTGGCTAACAGGGCTGCTAGACATCTAGTTCTCAGATAAGGTGAATAATGTATTTTCAAAATTTTGTTTATTGCATAAACTTCAAGATTTTGAAACTCGTGTTATCTGGTCATGAGGTTATTTATTCGCCCTATTCTAAGTACTTCAATTTAAATAAAGACATAATGCAATTTTAAATATTCTGAGTTTCCCTAAGGAAAAGCATCCAAGAGGATATATGTAAGCAAGTAAATGTATCAAAACAGTATGCTCTGGGATAGACTGGAATGACCCAGTTTTTATTCTGTAGAGATGGTAACAATAATATCACAACCAGTGAACTACAGAAAGATTGCCATAGAAAATTTTAGTTTTAATGAGGTTGGGCGTGGTGACTCACTCCTGTAATCCCAGCTACTTGGGAGGCTGAGGCATGAGAATCACTTGAACCTGGGAAATGGAAGTTGCAGTGAGCTGAAATTGCACCACTGCACTCCAGTCTGGGTGACAGAGTGAGACTGTCTCAAAAAAAAAAGACAAAGTTTTAATGAGACAGCAGTAGCACTTATAACACATGGGTTGAACAAAATTAACTAGCTTTCCATTTATTAAACAGTTTAATACATATATTTACAAATACGTTTCAGGTAGATTCTTCTGATATATAAAAAGCAGTAAAAGAAATTCTAAGTTTGCTAGGAAAGAGGAAAAAGACTAGATATTTTCCTGATTAAAATAGGAATGACCAGTAAAAAAGAAACATGAATTTACCATTACAGACTTTAAATACCAGCCTAAAGGTATAGATTTGTCTATAATTAGATTTTGTAGTAAGTTTCCTTTCATGAAACCTCTTTTACTTAAAAGGAATTAGGTCAGATTTTTACAAGGCTTGTAAGGGTATCTGTGACATATTTATTCAAATTCTCGTGTTCCATTTAAAACATGCCCTTCTACCTTCCTACAGCAAGTGCTGAATAAGAGTGACCACAATTGCTGACTACCACTGGCAACAAGTAACATTTACTGTGGCTCAAATGGAGATAACATATACTTCATTCATTCATTCACTCCTTCTTCAGGGCCTGTGCTAGGTTCCACAGTGGGAGTTGGCACAAAACCATGCTCCAGATTTTCAGACTGGTAGGGAAGATAAGACATATATACCTAAGTAACTATTAAGTAGTATTAGGGGAGAGAGACAAAAACCTGCTATAATTCAGAGAAGGAATGTGGACAAATCTAGTCCGTAACCCAGTGTGCTTGTAAGGTAAAAATACATCTTTCAAGAGTATCTAAGTGACATTCAAAAACTTACTTGCAATTGAAAACAACAGTAGAACTTATAAATTCTGTGGTTGTTAAGGTGGCCACATCAATTCTATCTTTCAATTCTGGCCTTAATTAGAATTCTGCTTTCCTTTCTGTCCAACATAATTGTTTTCAATACCAGACTGGTAAAATATGGTCTTGACTAGGGTCAATCACATCAATTTTAAGATTTAAAAGATGAATAATTTTCAAATGCATTTTTCCGATTATAAAATTAAAACATGCTCATACAAATCCAGACCAAAAAAAAGAGATTAAAAAATTAAATTCATTCTTAATATTCTACCCAGAGATAAAGCTGTTATCACATTAAATTGAAAATACATAAAATTTAATGGAATGTACTATCTTATAATAAAAATTCTACACTTAATTCAAGGGAAAGAAATCTGTTCTTTATGTACTCATGACTATGTTCTTGTAAAATCCCACAGATGCTAACTTGACATACAGTATCACACACAAAAAATCTGAATGTAATGCCATGAATAAGAAGAGTTGTAAACTAAGACTGTTCCACCAGAATGTTGTACAACTGCTAAATTATGAAGTTATACCAGAATAAAATTTTAAAAAAATTCTGGCTCTGGCTCAGAATACTTGCCAAAATTGTTCAAAACTCCAATGTAGGATGCCAGTTGTGTACAACAGTGCACAGTATTTTACTCTGTATCTAATTATTACTTTGGACAACTGGGTTTTCCAGGCAAAGCATGTGTACAGAGAAGAGGGACTGTTGGCAGGATGGTGTAGAACAGGGATTTCCAGGCCTTCTTTGTTCTTAGCACTCCTAGCGTCTCAGTAATTTTTTCAGTGTTCCAAGGCCAAGAGAAACAGCTAACAATCCCATTAATCACATCTTTGGTTCAAACTATTTAATAACATGTATGATATATCCTAACAATTTAGTAGCCATTAAAAAAATAATACTCATAAGCTGAAAGAAATATATTTTTATTTCATCCTTAAAGAACCACAATTACTTATTGATGAGATGTGTGCACTGATGCGCACTGCAAGACTTTTAAAAGTTTTGGAATCAGACTGGACACCCCCACCCTCATTTTGTGTTCCACACTAATTTTTGTGTGGTACTTGTGTGGTACTTCCTTTTTATCACAGCAACCACCAAAAAAATTACTTTGCAAAGATACGATGTCATCGAAAAGAATGCAGCAGAATCTAATGCTGAAACTGGGAACTTCTCTGAACTAGAGGTTCAACCAGTATCTGACAGATGTTGCAGATCCCTGTGCTGCCCTTGTGAGCTTACTGAGGCACTCCAGGGTGGCTGGCTTGGTGCAGAGGTTGCTAATTTTGAGTATAGGGCAATCTTATCCCCTTGCCCTATTATCACTGTAAAAGTGGTAGGAAATCCCAAATAAATGGCTGTCCTTGAAAGATTTGATGCCTCTGATGTGTAAACTGCTGGTTCTTTTATTACAGAGTATAGAGATCCAAAGTGGGATATTCCTTACATATAATGTAGACCAAAAACACCTGCCTTCTCAAAGATTCCCATGGAACATACATGCCACTGGGCAATAGGTCCCCATGGAGTCACTTTCAGACTCTTATTTATTTCTACTCACACAAATGCTTGTTATAAATGACTGTTACAATCTTACAATCTACCAAATAATCCTATAATTAAATATATAATGCAAAAGGTGGCTGAATATTACTTGCAAATAATATAAAATATGCATCTTAATATTTTGCTGGAAGAAAGGAAGGAGTAATAACAGAGTCTCTGGTTTATAAGCCAATAATAATCTGTCATAGTAATTTTAAAAAGATCCCATGGTAGGCAGAGTAATGCCCTCCCTCCCCTAAAGATATTCATGACAATCTCTGGAATTTGTGAATATGTTATTTCACAAGACAAAGGGGATTAAGGTTGAAATGGGACTAAGGTTGCTAATCAGCTGGCCTTAAAATTGACAGACTTTTCCAAATTATCTTGGTGGGTCCAATGTAATCATAAGCATCCTTAAAAGTGGAAGAGGAAGAAAGAAGAAGGCAGAAGGGAAGGGTTCAGAAGCAGATGTAACGATGGAAGAAAGGCACAGATAATGCAACGTGAAAAGGACTTGACCCAAGGTTGCTGGCTCTGAAGGCAGAGGACAGAGCCATAAACAAGGAATGTGGGTGACCTCTAGAAGTTGGAAAAGGCAAGGAAAAAGATTCTTCCCTAGAGTCTGTTCACATTTTGATTTTAGCCCAGTGAGACCTGTATTGAACTTCTACTCTACAGAAATGTAAGATAATAAATTTCTGTTGTTTTAAGTTGCTAAATTTGCATAACTTTTACAGCAGCAATAGAAAATAGACTCTGAATTGATGATATTAATAATGACAAGAAAAACAACAGCAACTAAAAATGTTTCAGGTCCATTAGATAAGCTAAGTAAGCTGGCTGTAATATACTTTCAACAGGTATTTCCAGTAAGTTTTGCTTTGTATTAATGATGGAATAACACTAAATGTAAAATAAACCTATAGGGGCTGGTTCAAATAACTTTACTGAAGTATACCATAGTTTTTTGCCTTGTTAATTATTATTATTATTTAACAGTGATATAATGACTATAACCAAGATAAAAATCTTTGTATTATGCTCTGATAGAAATTTTAAACAAATATAAGCATTTCCATGCTCTATGTGTTAAGGCTAAAGATTATACTTCTTTTCCATGTGAAAAATACCAATTAAAATATTTTTAGTTATTTTTTGGACTCTTTAGATAAGATGATGGTTTGATGACTGGACAAGAGAAACTTTTTTGTATATTTAACAATTACTTACAGAAAGCAAGAAGAAGTCCTACTGTCAGAGTTATGTACACTTCTGTGAATGAAAATATTTATTAAAAGTTCAAAAATAGCCTATGCTCACCTGTGGTTAAAGGTAGGTGTGTGATGCTGTTCAAACAGGTCAGGGTGAACCACGTGGATGACAGTGTAGCTCCCGAAAACAGGAGGAGAAGAATTAGTTTCAGCATACCCCTGATAAAATCTGCAAACCTAAAAACAAAAATGCTCTATTAATTCTAGTGGGATTTAAAAATACTATTTAAGCAAATGACACACTTTCACTAACAACTACTTGAGGAATTTTCCATATATTCTTTTAAAAGACAGTTTTCAGTGTTTTTTTAAAACAAATTTTCTTGTATGATGTTACTTTGTGATAATTTTTTTTCTCTTATAAAACACAAAAAACGGCATCTTTGTTCAGGATCTATAATTTATAGGATATATTCTGAGTGTTTACTTTTTTTTAGAGACAGGATCTCACCATTGCCTGGCTGGAGTGTAGTGATGTGATCACGGCTCACTGCAGCCTCACCTCCCAGGCTCAAGCAATCCTTCCACCTCAACCTGCTGAGTAGCTGGGCTAATTATTATTTTTTTGTGTGTGTACAGGGTTTCTCTATGTTGCCCAGACTGGTCTTGAACTCCTGGGCTCAAGGATCCTCCCACCTCAGCCTCTCCAAGTGCTGGTATTACAGGCATGAGCCACCATGCCCAGTTGATTCTGAGTTTTTAAGTGTCACTGTCATTTTCTTCATATTTTTCTATACTTTCCAAACATTCTATAATGAACATGTATTATCTTAGTTTTGAAAATCAGGCTAACTTGTTGACATGAACTTGCAAAGATCTCTCTCAAAATTCAAACTCACTTAGAGAACAAACACAGATGCCTACACCAGAGCCTCTGAGGTCCTATGTGACCTGCTGCCTGGCCCTGCTCTCTCTTCTTCTACTGTTCTCCAGTTGGATGGCCATGTTTCTGTTTCTCATACATGCCATGGTTGCTTACCACAGCAATATGTAGCTTCCGTACTTGTTCCGTCTGCCTGGAATGCTGGTACCACCCGGATCTTCACGTCTTACTCCTGTTTACCCCTCAGGTCATTCAGGTCTCAGTTCAACAAGGCCCTCTGGGCTCAGTGAAGAAGTCTTTCCCCATCCCACCTCCACTTTCTATTTTATTTCTTCATAGCACTTTCTCTATTGGAAACTCTTGTTTTTGCATTTATTTTTGTCTTCCCTACCAGATTGTAAACTTCTTGAGAACAAAACATACACGGCATCTGGAATAGTGAATATTATTCTTCTAAACTTGGGACTTTTATAGCATTTTAAGTTTTCATGTTTGAGTTTTCATGAAACTAAAGGGCATCTGGTAGAGACGCTTATCATTAGCTATGCCAAAAAAATTTTCCACTTGCCAGCTGCTTTTCCTCACCTGTGGATTAACTGTTGATTGTACGGGCACAATCCTCTGGCTGCACAATTTATTCTGTCCTTCAGAACTGTTCCTCTTATAGAATAGCTGATCCCATCTCAAATACAACATTTACTATATTCTCTTCACTTTTAATTTTCTAAAGTTGATTTACATTTCTATTGTAATTATGTGACTGTCCTTCTTAAAACTTTGAATACTATCTTCTGTTTTGTACTTATTTGACATGATATGGTTAATCATGTTTGTGTTTTCTAGAATAAAATGACTTCCTATGAGAGCTGATGCCATCTTTTGGTGGGAAAAATGAATGCACTTTTGCCCAGTGACTTAAATTTGTCCTCAAGCAGAAAATTCTTAGGTATGCTGAAAAAGTTTCCACAGCTTTACAAAATATTCCTCAAGAAAATCCAAAAGACTGTTTTAATCCCACGCTTACCTAACAGTTTTCAGATTTACATTTTGGTATGCTGCATAAACTTATTTGTCAGATACAGAGATGACAAGGTATAAGAGAATAAAACAGGCTTTTAGTACAAATCAGAGTTGAATTGCAAGAAAGTTTCACAGAAACTGATCATACAAGAATAAACCGACAACTGTAGTCTGCTATTTTTGGAGATCCAGTCCTTTCGAATAGGCTGATACCATTGAAGTGTATTATTAGGACGAAGAAGTATCTTTAATAGTGGTCTTTAATTACAAAAATATCACCCAAAGCACTCATGTATGTCTACAAGGTAGCACTGTCCTAGGGAATCCCAAAAAATGGTGTCAGGAAAGTAATTTTAAAATTGATTTTAGGGCTAGGAGATAACTGAAATTGACTTCAGATCCCAGAGTAAGGGTAGTATTTTTTTAGAACTTCCATTTCAACAAATTAAAAGCAGAAAAGTCCTCATTCTAAATTTTCCCTTTAATTATATCTATATCTAGTTAAAATTAAGGGGTATAGAAGGAAAATAATGACAAAGGAGCATTTGAGACATCATTTTTGATACATAATTGTTCCCCCTTTGACCAATTTGGTGCTCAGAATAGGATGTGATCAATGACTCACTATAATTGGCTTGGAGATTTAACTAGAAAAATGAGGTATGATTCTTGTCAAAATAAGACAGGTCAATGTATTTTTAGTATCAGTGATTTCCTACAAATACTATATTCCCCTTCTGCTTCTTTAGCTTTTAGTTTTCTTATATTTTCCTAACACTTCAAATAAAGTGATTTAGAAATTACAGTGTCAATTTATTCTTTCAATATCCCTGAAACACTATGTGAACCATAAAGTCTAGGTATAACATTATCCTGTATCAATTATATTCAAGTATTTAGATATTGAGGTGATATGTGGATCTTATATTTGATCTTCCCAAATATATAATTAGATTCTCCTCTTCATGGTAAAGTTGATTGCCTAATTTTGTTTTTGAGCAGAGTAAAATGATTTGGGAAGTGAATGAATATTATCTCTTTGGAAATACCAAGAATAGTTTTATAGGCAGTTGCCTAAGAGAGTAACATTTTAATTCTTTTCCTTTTTTTTTTTTTTTTTTTTTAGAACGAATGGGACCTTTTTCCTACTTCTGACTCATTCTAACAATGTGTTGTTGTAATAGGTTATGATCAAAGAGAGTGTGATGAAACTGAAAGTCTTCACAGACATTTTGCATCAAAAAGGGATAACCATAGGAAAATACCAGCCAAAAAAGACCATAAATAAATAATGTCTGCTAATCAGGACACTGCCTGTTCATGGAAAGTTCTATTGACACTTTTACAAATGATTTCTTCTCAACCCTTTTAGTCTCCACAGCTATTAATTTGTCTTTATTATTATATTACCTTTTTTGGTCTCCATTTGTAGATGTTGTTCTCCAATAATATGGAAAGAGGCACCTTAACTACACTGGAAATACATTTCCAGTCTCCAGAAAAAAACACTTGAGGAAGGGATACTCCAGAGAAACTTTCTTATAGCAGCAAATTCTTTTTTTTTTTTTTTTTGAGATGGAGTCTCACTCTATTGCCCAGGCTGGAGAGCAGTGGCGTAATCATGGCTCACTGCAACCTCTGCCTCCCGGGGTTCAAGCAATTCTCCTGCCTCAGCCTCCCTGGTAGCTGGGACTACAGGCGCTCATCACCACACCCAGGTAATTTTGTGTTTTTAGTAGAGACAGGGTTTTGCCGTGTTGGCCAGGCTGGTCTTGAACTCCTGACCTCAGGTAATCCGCCTGCCTCAGCCTCCCAAAGTGCCAGGATTATAGGCGTGAGCCACCATTCCCGGCCTGTTAGCAGCAATTCTATATAACGCATATGAATTTTCTTGTACTCTGAACAAGTACCCCTTTCTGACCTTTGCTTGTTTTACTTTTCCCTGAATTGTAATGTTTATTTAGGGGAGCCTATTTATCTTTAGGCTTTTTCCCCCTGCTCTGTCCACTCACAAGTTTAACAAAATATTCTCACCTTGCCATAGCTATTCCAACAACACAGCCTCCAACTATGGACCAAAATCCAATCCAGCCAGCATCTACCTGTTAAGAAAGAAGCAGACACATTTAATACAAGACAATCATACTGCAATATAAAAGGAATGAAAAAAAGTCCTCTATAATCAATATGTTAGTAGCTAAATGGATGAAATAAAAGAATTCATGTGTAACTAATGTATACAAACATCTAAAATATGTCCTTGATTAACTGTTTATTGGAATATTGAAAACAAAATAATCAACGTCATCAAACAAATATTTTCAAGTATGTACTACATGCCTAATATTGGACTAGGAACTCTTAAAATAAGAAAAGGATGGAAGATAGTCACAGCCTGAAAAAGTTTAAATATAACCAACATAGGAAACTGCTAGGTAATAATGAGATGCTAAAACATGGGGCAACAACTAAAAATGTATCAGGAGGTGGAAGGCAGGGAGAAATGTGGGGCTGAGCAAGAGAGTAGACAGAGAAAAAGAAGTTGAGCTGGGTTTCAAAAGTATAGCTTGTTCCCCTCTTGAGAAAACATTTCCAGCCCTGTCATTTACTAACTGTGTGACTCTGAGCAAATTATGCCTTTTTACCTGTAAAATGGATTAAATGAGATAATTTGTATACAGTACCCAGATCAGTGGCCAAGACATAGGAAGTGCTCAATAAACATTAGCTGTTCTTATTATTACTAACTGATGAGGCGTCTCCATCTATCTTGTCTCTTTCCTGCTTGTGTGGCCACATTTTTTCACAGCAATCTACGAATGCTGCCTACATTCCTCATCACTCCTGTATCTTTAACTCTTATTATGACTTGGCTTCTGTCCCAACTCATACTCTAGGTCTCAGTTCCTGCATTAGTGGAATGGGGATAATAAAGTTTTTCTGAGGGTTAAATAAGTTAATAAATGTAAAGTGCTCAATGCATGTTAGTTGTTATGAATGAAATTTCATGTCTCTAATAATACTGGTTCCTCTTTCTCCTTCCCATGACCACCATGCTTGCTTTTATTATCTTCTTACTTCTTGACCCCTGTCAGAGCTTCTTAAATGGTCTTCGCAATCTATTTTGCTCACTGTTGCCAGAATAATTATCCTAAGCATTCCGTGTCCCTGCTCGGAAATAGTTACTGGTTTTCCTTGTGGTTACAGGACAAAGTCCAAACTTGACCTGGCACTTGAGCATTGTGCAAACTAGCTTCTACCTTTTGTTGTTTTTCGAGTCATATTTTTCTTTTTCTTTCTTTTTTTTTTTTGTTTTGAGACAGAGTCTTGCTCTGTCGCCCAGGCTGGAGTGCAGTGGCACGATCTCGGCTCACTGTAAGCTCCGCCTCCCGGGTTTACACCATTCTCCTGCCTCAGCCTCCTGAGTAGCTGGGACTACAGGCGCCCGCCACCACGCCCGGCTAATTTTTTGTATTTTTTTAGTAGAGACTGGGTTTCACCGTGTTAGCCAGGATGGTCTTGATCTCCTGACCTCGTGATCCGCCCGCCTCGGCCTCCCAAAGTGCTGGGATTACAGGCGTGAGCCACCGCGCCCAGCCTTTGAGTCATATTTTTCATTACACTTGTGACAGGGATTGCCAGCTGTCCACCAAACGATTTCTTCTTCTACCTGGGTACTTAGCTAGATGACATGTCCCAGTTCCTAGCTGGAACAGGTGACCATGTGTCAGTTCTCATTAATGGAAGTGAGCATAAGTGAAGTGTGCCACCTCCAGGTTAGAACTTGGAAGAAGGTGTATGCCTCCTCCATGCTTTCTCTCCCTTCCTGCCAGCTGCAATCTGGACGTAGCTGCCCAGCTGCACCCATGCATATAATGACAAGGTCCTAGGGGACAGAAGAGAATACAAGTGGAAGCAGCCTCGGTCTCTTAAATCAGTGTGAGGAAAAGAGCTGTCCAAACTGGACAACTGTCCTAGATTACACACGCTGTCCCAGATTGCAATGTGAATGACAAATAAATTTTTCTTAAGTCTCAGAATTTTGGAGGTCTACTTCTCCCAGGAGCATAGCCTATTCTAAGCGATACAGTAACTTTATATGAGTCTTTTGCTCTATTGGTGTTTGCTGCCAGAAGCAAACATGAAGGCTCTCAGGAGAAGGATAACATCCTGAAGCTTAAATTATCGCTCTATAGTTTTTCACACTATTGGCATTTGAGGCAAGAGAATTCTCTGTTCTGTAGGACCACTCCTCTCATTGCAGCACATCTGGTATCTATAATCCAACGCCCACTAGGCTCCCACAAACACTTCCTTCTATCCTCTAGGTGAGTGGGGTCATGCTCTAGGTTAAGGACCACTGCATATCTGGCTGTACTGATGCTGGTACTTTCAGAACATTTAGTACTTTTCTACTTGCTTTGTTCATGACATTTGCCCTAGTTAATACAATTCTACCCAATACTTAATTTAAAAATTTAAAAAATTGCTTTCATGTAATTTTAAATTCTACTTTATTTAATAACTGATATGATTCAGGGTCTCTATCTCTCTCAGAGTTTGTACCAAGAAAGATACTTGGAAGGACTTCTTAGGGTTTACAACATGAAGCACAGATCTGCCAAATCAATATCATTTTTTGTGTGAGTGACATGGGGCCTTACTCTGTCACCCAGGCCGGAGTATAGTGGTGCAATCTTGGCTCACTGCAGCCTCCGCCTCCTGGGCTCAAGTGATCCTCTCATCTCAGACTCCCAAGTAGCTGGGATTACAGGCGTGTGCTACCGCGCCCAGCTAATTTTTTGTATTTTTGGTGGAGACAGGATTTTGCCATGTTGCCCAGGCTAGTCTCGAATTCCTGAGCTCAAGTGATCCACCTGCCTCACCCTCCCAAAGTGCTGGGATAACAGGCGTGAGCCACCATACCCAGTCAAAATCAGTATCATTTAAATGGGTGCTACACTTTTCCTTAACAGAACTGAGCATACTTGGAATACCTGCCATCCAGAAAAACAGGTGAGAAAACTAAAGGAAGCCTTTCTTATTATAGTAAAGGTGCTGCTATGGTCTGAATGTTGGTGTCCCCCACAAATTCACATGTTGGAACTTAATCCCTAAAGTGATCATATTAAGAGGTGGGGGCCTTTAGGAAGTAATTAAGGGATGAGTGCCCTTATAAAAGAGGTTGAAGGGAGCTGCCTTGCCCCTTTGCCACATGAGAATGCAGCAAGAAGGGGCCATCTTGGCAGCAGAGAGTGAGCCCTCGCCAGATATAAATGAGTTGGAACCTTGATCTTGGACTTTCTAGCCTCCAGAACTGTGAGAAATAAATTTCTATGATTTATAAATTACCCAGTCTAAAGTATTTTGTTGTGGAAGTCTGAACAGACTAAGACACGTACACTAGGTAATTTAGGTTAGTATTCTGGTTGAGAACTAGAAAATCTGGGGAAAATTTTATCTGAAGCCATCAGAGAGCCAAGAAAATAATCCAGAATTCTGAAACCATGATCTAGGATGGGAAGATAATCTGAAGAGATAAGCACGGTATTTGGAGACAATTTTCCTTTAGGGTTGTCTGCTAATTTCAGACAAGGTGGCTAAGGGACTGAGAAGTTATTGACAGCCTCACTGACCTAGAAGAAAAAATATGAGTTTAGGGCCTGCTGTGGGGTGCCTTTGTAAAAACCCCGGGTTTTAACTGGGCACTCTGAAGGGCTGTACCTAAGAGCAGGAGGAACTAGAAATGGAACAGCCTCCTGAGGGACTAAAGCCCAGCTTTAAGTGATCTCAAGCTCTGAAACTAGATTAAGGTGATTCTCAGACTTCTGCCAGAAAAAATATAAATTCTCTCTGAAGGAAAACAATATCATCTTGATACTTAAATTATCTCCACAGTTTTTCATGTACTATGTCTAGCACTCAATCAAAAATAACTGAATGCATAAAGAGATTTTTTAAAATTACCAAATATCAAACATATAAATAGACCTACAAGGGACCAAGATAATGGAATTATGAGATACAAATTTGAAATAACTATTTTTAATAGAGAAAAAAATAAGATATCAAGCATTTCTACTGAAATCTGTCAACTATAAAAAAGAACCAAAGACAGGCCAGGTGTGGTGGCTCATGCCGTTAATCCCAGCACTTTGGGAAGCCAAAGCAGGCGAATCACCTGAGGTCAGGAGTTTGAGACCAGCCTGGCTAACATGGCAAAACCCCGTCTCTACTAAAAATACAAAAATGAGCTGGGTATGGTTGTACGCGCCTGTAGTCCCAGCTACTGGGGAGGCTGAGGCAGGAGGACTGCTTGAACCCAGAAGGCAGAGGTTGCAGTGAGCTGATCACGCCGCTGCACTCTAGCCTGGGTGACAGGGCAAGACTCCATCTCAAAAAAAAAAAAAAAAAAGAATCAAAGATAAATTTTATAAAATGTAAAGTAACTCACAGATGAATTTAATAGCATATTTGACACAGTTGAAAACTGAAATAGTGAGTTGGAAGAAAAGATAGCTAAAATATCTAGTCTGAAGCATAGAAAGGAAAAAGAATATGTCATAACAAAAAAAAGTGGGTGGGAGAAGAAAAGAAAGGCAAAAGAGACACAGAGAATACAGTATAAAGGTATAATGTATATAGTTAGAATACCCAAAAGAAATTAGAGAAAACAGAGCACAAGTTTTGAAGAGACACTGACTAGAAATTTTCAGAAATTAATGAGAGACATCAAGCTAACAAGACGACATTCAATAAGTTGTGTAAACCTCAAGTAGAATAAATTTAGAAAAAAAATGCCACCTAGTTATATCATATCAAAGCAAAACTGCTGAAACCAATGATATACAGAAAATCTTAAAAGCAGCCAGCTTTTAAATTTGAGAGCTAACTTCTCAATTAAAACAATGGAAGCCAGAAGAAAATGGATCTTTTTTTTCAAAGAACCAAAAGAAAATGACTGTCAACCAATAATTCTATGCCCAGCAACAGAAAAACTCTAAAAATGAAGATAAAATGAAGACATTTTTAGACCAAAACAACAACAAAATAAAATGCAAACACCAAACTAAAGAATTTGTCACCCACAGACCTGTACAATAAACAAACAAAAACACTAATGGGTGCTCTTTAGATAGAAGAAAAATGACTACAGATTTGAAGACTGAAGATAAAGAAATAAAGAACAAAATGAGTAAACATGAAGATAAATTCGAGTCAATGAATATTAACTGTGTAAACAATAATGTCTTGTGCAGTTAAAATATATGACAGTAATAGCCTGAAAGATGGGAGAGGGTTAAATGAAGTTAAAGGGTTCTAAAAACCTTAGATTATCCTAGAAAAGGTAAAATTCTAATTTGATAAGTCAAGTGTGCATTCTGTACTTTTTAGGGTAATCATTAAACAGTAAAAGAGTCTATAACTGCCAAGCTAATAGAGTGGGGGGAAATTAAAGTAATAAAAAATACTTAATCCAGAAGGTAGGAAAGATGACAAAAAGAATAGACAGGGCTGAACAAAATAAAGACCAATAGTAAGATGGCAGGTCTAAACCCAAACTTGTCAGTAATTGTATTAAATATAAATGCACTAAATACTCCAATTAAAACACAAAGATGGCCCGACATGGCCCACACTTTGGGAGGCCAAAGTGTAAGGATTGTTTGAGCTCAGGAGTTCCAGACCAGCCTGGGAAACATAGAGACTTCATCTCTACAAAACTTGAAAAAATTAGCTGGGCGTGGTGGTGTGCACCTGTAGCCCTAGCTACTTGGGTGGCTGAGGTGGGAGGATCATTTAAACCCAAGAAGTTGAGGCTCCAGTGAGCCATGCTTCTGCCACTGCACTCCAGCCTGGGCAACAGATCAAGATGCTGTCTCAAAAAAAAAAAAAATCAACTCAAAATGGATTAAAGATTTAATCCTTTTCCTGTTTGCCCTGAGAATACTCGCCAGAGGTGCTTTTGCAGCTGCAGCATTTACCCCAAGATATCTTTGCCATTAACTATCTTGCTTTTATGACTATTTTCACATCACTCTTAGTATATCAACTTTGGCGACAAAAGACATCGTTCTACTTATAGCATTCTGTTTTTAGTAGTGGTATTTCCATTTACAAAATATAGTAATTCTCAACTGCTGAAAATGTCAAATCCTAGAAAAAGGAGCATTCCTACGTGTGATATTAACATCGTTCTCAAACAGTCGTTGGCTAGAGATTTATTTGACGGATCCGATTTTTCTGAAATAGACGATTCTGATGATTCAGATGATTCTGATGTTAGTTCTATTTAGAAATAACTCCAAGAACAGTTTTTATATTTTCATATTGAAAGTCAGTCAGATTTGCTTCAGCATCAAAGAGCATGTTTATATAAAATTAAATGAGTGCTGGCAGCGAGCTGCACTTTTTTTTTTTCTAAAAGGGAAAAGGGTTCAATGTAAGACTTGAAACTATGAAACTACTAAAAGAAAACATTGGGGGAACACTACAGGACACTGGTCTGGACACAGATTTTTTGAGTACAGCCTCAAAAACACAGGCAACAAAAGCAAAATCAGACAAATGGGATTACATAAAGCTAAATGGCTTCTGAACAGCAAAGGAAACAACAGAGGGAAGAGACAACTTACAGAATGGGAGAAATATTCACAAACTATACATCCAACAAGGGATTAAGAACCACTATCTATCTATAAGGAACCCAAGCAACTCAACAGCAAAAAAAAACCAATCCAATTAAAAAATAAGCAAAAGACCTGAATAGACATTTCTCAAAAGAAGACATATAATGGCCAACAAATATACAAAAAGAAATGTTCAGCATCACTAATAATCAGGGAAATGTACAACAAAACTACAATGAATAGCATCTCACCCCAGTTAGGATAGCTATCACCAAAAAGACAAAAAGTAACAAATGCTGACAAGGATACAGAGAAGGGGGAGTGCTTGGACACTGCTGGTGGAAATTAAAGAAGTACAGCCATTATGGAAAACGGTACAGAGGTTCCGTAGAAAACGAAAAATAGAACTACCATATGATGTAGCAATCCCATTTCTGGGTATATACCCAATAGAAAGGAAATCAGTATATAAAAATCAGTATATAAAATCAGTATATGAAAAAGAAATCTGCACTCCCATGTTTATTGCAGCACAATAGCCAAGGTTTGGAAACAACCTAAGTGTCATCAACAGATGAATGCATCAAGAAAATATCAGATATATACACAATGGAATATTATTCAGTCACAAAAAAGAATGAAATCCTGTTATTTGCAGCAACATGGATGTTAAGTGAAATCATGTTAAGTGAAATAAGCCAGGTATAGAAAGACAAACATTGCACGTTCTCATTCATATGTGGGAACTAAAAAGGTGGATTTCAGGGAAGCAGAATGTAGAATGATAGTTACCAGCTGCTGATGAAGAAGGGTGGGAGGATGAAGAGAAGTTGGTTAAGGGGTACAAAAATACAGTTAGATAGAAAGAGTGAGTTCTAGTACTTGATAGTACAGTAGGGAAATTACAGTTAACAACAGCTTATTGTGTATTTCAAAATAGCTAGAAGAGAAGAGTTGTAAGTTCCCAACACAAAGAAAAAATAAATGTTTGAGGTGGATAGCACTCTTACCAATTTGATCATTATACACTGTGCACAGGTATCAAAATATTATATATCCCCCCCAAATATGTACAGCAATTACATATCAATTTTAAAAATAAGAAAAATAAAATAAAAATTTTAAAAGCTGCTCAGCTTCAAAAAGTATCAAATACCTGAGAATAAAGCTAACAAACACATAGAAGGTATCTTTGCTGAAAATTATAAAGCATCATTCAGAGACATTGGGACCTAAGTAAATGAGGAGAAATATAATGATCATGGTTCAGAAAACTCAAATATTATAAAGGAGTTAATTTTGAAAATGATCTGTAAATATAAAAACTCTAACAGAAATCCTAATAAAGGGAGAAATTTACTAAATATCAAAACTAGTACTTATTTATAACACTAGTATAAATAACACAATTTGGTATTGGTGCAGGGACAGACAAACAGACTAAAGGAATAAAGTCTAGAAATACACCAGTGTATATAAGGAGACTTGCTTACAACAAAGATGAATAGAGGGCAGTGAAGAAAAAAAATGATCTTTTCAAACACTGATATTAGGTTAACAAATATCTATGGGGAAAAAAGAAACTTAACGCCTATAATAAATATAAAATCAATTCTAGGTTTAAATTCTAGGTAAATGTGACAGGTAAAAGAACAGAGCTCCAGAACAGCACTGTCCAACAGAACTTTCTTTGATGATAGAAATGCTCTCTATCTACACCGTGCAACATGGTAGCTGCTAGTCTCATGTGGCTATCCCGCACTTGAAAAGTGCTACTGCAACTAAGGAAGTGATTTTTTACTTTTATTTCATTTCAATTGGTTTAAATATCAATTAAGTTTGAAGTTTATTTTGAATGTGGCTAGTAGCTACTATACAGGATGACACAGTTGTACAAGATAACATATTTATGAACTTGGAGCAAGCAAAGATTTATCTTTCTCTTTTCTGCATTATAGCCTCAGTCTGCTAAATCCAACATCTAGAGTATCTAAGAGTTGGTTTCTAATGATTGCTTTTTTAATTTTTTTAATTTTATGTATCTATATTTGAGACCACCACACCCAGCCAAATAGGGGTCATACTTTCCTGTTTCTTTACATGTTTAATGCACTTTTTTTTAAATTGTATACTGGGCCAGGCATGGTGGCTCACGCCTGTAATCCCAGCACTTTGGGAGGCTTAGGTGGGCGGATCACGAGGTCAGGAGATTGAGACCATCCTGGCTAACATGGTGAAACCCCGTCTCTACTAAAAATACAAAAAAATTAGCCGGGTGTGGGAGGCACCTGCAGTCCCAGCTACTCGGGAGGCTGAGGCAGAAGAATGGCGTGAACCCGGGAGTCAGAGCTTGCAGTGAGCTGAGATCGCGCCACTGCACTCCAGCCTGGGCGACAGAGCGAGACTCCATCAAAAAAAAAAAAAAAAATTGTACACTGTATGTTGTGGATGACACAATAAAGAGATTCTAGATTCTTTTATCTTTTCTAAGATGGCTGGCTTTTGTTCTAGTAGGCAGTTCAATTACTAGTTGATCACCTTGAGCATGTGTAGGCCTCATTTTGTACTTTATAAGGATAGATCTCCAAACTCTCTCCTCTTCAGATTTTTGTCTTTGTTTATAATGGGTCTACACTAGAGTAAGGCTTCCTCTACCTAGGGCATGGTCCTTGATTCTACAGTTTGGCTATTCTGGTTAACAAGTGTGAATGAGGTGTTACCATTCTGGCTGGGCCAGAACTCCAAGACAATCTTGACGTCTTCTATCTTTGTTCTGCTTTCAACCCATACCACTCTCTCTGTTAAGCCTCCAGTAGTTTTGCCCTTTATATGTGCAGCCCATTTCTCAGCCAAAGATTACTGGAGTCCCCCAAAGTCCTCTGGGGAGCCCTCTTCTGCACAGCCCTCTTCTTTACGTATCGGTAAGAAAAAGGCAGCCCAATAGTGGGCAAGAGACTCAAACTAGTATGTCACAAGAAAAAGATATTCAAAATATCCAATTCACACTGAAAAGACACCACAGAAGTCACTATGATGGCATACAACTGCACAGCTATCAGCATGTCTAAAGTGAAAAAGACTAATATTATCACACAAGTGGCAAATGATGTGGGATGATGAGAAATTTTTGCTGGTAGGATTACACATGGATACCACCACTTTGGAGAAGTTTGGCATCATCTACCAAAGTAGCATATACTATACGCAGCAGTTCCATTCCTAGATATGTATCCAGTAGAAATGTGTATAGAGGTGCATAGAGACATGTAAGAGAGTGTTAATACAGCATTGTTTGTGGCTGTCAAAACTGGTTAACAATCCAATCCAAATGTTCACCAAAAGCAGAATAGACAAATTTTTTTTTTTTTACTCATACAATAGAATATCACAGCAGTGTGTTCTCTTCTATTTACCTCTCAAAATTTCTCTCTCCTCCTTTCTACCATGCTATCTGGAAGCAAAGAGAAGGAATGGATGACATCAAGCATATAGGTGAAATGTTTATTTTTAAAGAAATGAAATACCCTTATTTGGAGCCCAGAGAGAAAGTCAGAAACTAGATGAAGAAATAGCTATATATTTGATGATGGGATCTTAATCTTCTTTATAAGGTACGAAGCAAGGATAAAGAATGGGGTCAACAAAACTAAGACTTCCTTCCTTTTTTAAAAAACCAGTAGTATCATTAATAATGCCCACAGAAATGTGAAATTCACAACTATTGTCAAAATCAAGGAGGAAAATCAACATTATTTTTTACCTATTCCATAAAGATCTTGCTTTTGCAACAATGGTATAGGACGATGTTTTACCCAGTCCTTGAAGCTAAAACCAAGAACACGTAACCAGTATTTATAAATTAAATGAACAAAAATACCTACAACATATAAAGAAATAAAATACTTACTTGGCTGACATGCGCTGGTGTTAAAATTAAGTCCAGAACTCCAGACCAGCCAGCAAATACACCAAGTGGTATGGCATATGCTAAAGCAATCATCAAAAATCGAAAATTGCTGTGAATGAGAAATAAAAGGAAACATTGTAACAAATTAAAAATCTAGAATAAACTTAGTCATGAAAAATGTATGTCATTTGGAAACTGGAACACCAGAATCAGAAAATATCTGCAGAATGGCATTAAAAACTCAAAAAAAAAAAAAAAAAAAAACGTGCTGGAAAGGTAGCAGAGAAAAGGAAACGCATATATACTGCTGGTTGAAGTGTAAATTGGTTCAGCCACCATGGAAGGCAGTTTGGCAATTTCTAAAAGAACTTAAAAGAGAATTACCATTTGACCCAGCAATCCATTATTGGGTAAATCACTCCACTATAAAAACACATGCACGAGTGTATTCACTGCAGCACTATTCACAATAGCAAAGATGTGGAATCAACCTAAATGGCCATAAATGGTAGACTGGATAAAGAAAATGTGGTACAAATACACTATGGAATACTCCACAGACATAAAAAAGAACAAGATCACAACCTTTGCAGCAACACGGATGGAGCAGGAGGCCATTATCCTAAGAAAACTAACACAGGAACAGAAAAGCAAATACCACATGTTCTCACTTATCAGTGGGAGCTAAACATCAAGTACATATGGACACAAAGAAGGGAAAAACAGACACTGGGACCAACTTGAGGGTGCAGGGTGGGAGGAGGGTGAGGACAGAAAAACTACCTATTGGATACTATGCTTATTATCTGGGTGACAAAACAATCTGTACACCAAACCCCCATGACATGGAATTTACCCATGTAACAAATCTGCACACGTACCCTGAGCCTAAAAGTTAAAAAATATATATGTATATATACACACATATACACATATGAATAACTATATATACACATATATGTACAATATGTGTATGTACAGGTATATATATATATATATTCTTCAAGAAGCTCAAAGTGGCAAGCTTTATAAAAGAAAAAAATCTGTCAGTTAATAAATTCAAGCTTCTTGAAATTTTTTTTTTTTTTGAAGATGGAGTTCCACTCTTGTAGCCCAGGATGGAGTGCAATGGTGTGATCTCTGCTCACTGCAACCTCCGCTTCCCGGGTTCAAGTGCTTCTCCTGCCTCAGCCTCCCAAAGAGCTGGAATTACAGGCACCTGCCAGCACACCCAGCTAATTTTTGTATTTTTAGTAGAGATAGGGTTTCGCCATGTTGGCCAGGCTGGCCTCGAACTCCTGACCTCAGATGATCCACCCACCTTGGCCTCCCAAAGTGCTGGGATTACAGGCGTGAGACATTGCACCTGGCTCGCTTCTTGAAATTTTTTATTTTTATAAGAATAATATTTTGTTCATATTGTTTAAAATTCTCAATGTTTATTATACAGATAACCAATATTATTTCATCAAATGAGTAGGTAGTTTAAAAAAAGCTCTGGCCAGGTATGGTGGCTCATGCCTGTAATCTCAGCACTTTGGGAGACCAAGGTAGGAGAATAACTTGAGGCCAGGAGTTCAAGATCAGCCTGAGCAAGATAGTGAGACCTCACCTCTATAAAAAATATATAAAAATTAGCCAGGTATAGTGGTGTGCACCTGTAATCCCAGTTAATTGCAAGGCTGAGGCAGGTGGTTACTGTGTGCTATGATCACATCACTACAATCTGGCAGTACTTGACAAATTAAGCTTAGACTATTTTATGACCTAGCAATCATGTTACAGGGTCTGTTTTCCAAAGAAATTTTCAGGTCTATGGTGACGTGCATGAGGATGTCACTGCAGTAGTGTTTATGGTAACAATAAATTGGAGGCAATCTGGGTACACAATGAGAATGAGTAGATGAAATGTGATAGATTAATACCATGGAGTACAAAGAACTAGGTGTACACACAGCAGCAGGGGTGCATCTTGAAACAGAGTGCTAACATCACAAAATGAGAGTTGTCCAGATATTATACGCCTCCTGATGAAAGGAAGCAGCATCACTTACGAAGCGGTCTTGTAAAACAAAAACAAAAGCAAAACTAAAACCTGAATCACAACATACTTTACAAGAACCATAAAGGAGAGGGGAACATGTCAAACTATACAATGAGGAAATCAACAAAATCCAGATGTTGGGAATAAAAGTGCTGGCTCCTCAACAATTAAATTATAAGAAACAAAGAGCCATGTTAAGGAAACCTATAGATTCTAAGGCACTTTGGACCAATTGCAATGTGTGGCCCTAATGTGGAAACTGTTCAAACAAACTGTTAAATGTTTATGAGATAATTGAAAATTTAAACACTGATTTGATATTAGCAAATTATTATTTAAAAGTTTTTAGTTAAAATAACGGCACTATATGTTAAAAAGAGTCTATTTTTGACATATATTGCACATATTGAAATATTTCTGGATGAAATGGAGTTGTCATCTGGGATTTGTTTCATGATGCAGGAAGGTGGGAAGTGGGAAGTGGGTGGTACAAAGATAAAACGAGACTGGTTGTAAACTCACTGACAATTGTTGATACCGACTTATGGGGTTATACTATTCTACCTTTGTATATTATTGTAACATTCCCAAATGAAAAGTTAAAAAAAAATAAACCATGTAGTGCTTAGTGAAAAATGTCAAACAGAATGATATGCACAATATGGCATAATTTAGATGAATTAAACATAGATGCATACAAAACAGTACACATACTGCAAAAGCACAGAGACAAAGAGATACACATTAAAGGCATCTGAGAGGTGGCCTGGGTTGGGGGAGGGAAATGGGAGAAGGAAATATAAACGTAAAAAAAGTAGATGAGTAAATGTGTTTACGTGCTGGCAAATAATCTGATTAACTCAGAAAGCAATGATTTCAGGAATTCTATGAGAGACTGGGGGTAATTACACTGGTAGGAAGGGAATGGGGCATGGCAGGCCCACAGAACTCCCCTGGAGAGCCCAAAGGTAGAAGCTGGCATTCATGCAGAGTAAGCAATAAAAGACAAAGGAATGTTAGGTACTGGTGAAAAGGACTCTTTATAGAGAAGGAAGATCTTACACTTTACGGTTTAAACAGAATGAAGAGTTTGACTCTAGGGTAATTAGAAGTAAACACAAGTCAAAGGGGTTGGGGGGACAATTTTAAGTTAACTGTTTTTCCTTGTCAGAACAATCCTGTACATAACTTCTTGGCTTAAAATCCTTCAGTGACTCACGATTTCCTACAGAATAGTCCAAAATTATTAGTACGTCATAATATGACCCCAATCTACCTGTCTACCCTTCTCTATTGCTATCTAACATCTGCAATCTTTTTTTTTTTTTTTTTTTTTTTTTTTGAGACGGAGTCTCGCTCTGTCGCCCAGGCTGGAGTGCAGTGGCGCGATCTCGGCTCACTGCAAGCTCCGCCTCCCGGGTTCACGCCATTCTCCTGCCTCAGCCTCCCGAGTAGCTGGGACTACAGGCACCCGCTACCAAGCCCGGTTAATTTTTTGTATTTTTAGTAGAGACGGGGTTTCACCGTGTTAGCCAGGATGGTCTCGATCTCCTGACCTCGTGATCCGCCCGCCTCGGCCTCCCAAAGTGCTGGGATTACAGGCGTGAGCCACCGCGCCCGGCCTAACATCTGCAATCTTGTACATAACTTCTTGGCTTAACATCCTTCAGTGACTCATTTCCTAAAGAATAGTCCAAAATTATTAGTATGTCATAATATGATCCCAATCTACCTCTCTACCTTTCTCTATTGCTATCTAACATCTGCAGCTAGGTTTGCATGGAAAAAAATTTACTTAAGTGGCATTGTTTTTAAAAAACGATCATTTTAAACTGTCATCTTACAAATGTGTGCCACTAATCACAATTCAACCTAACATTTTTTTTACCTATTATGTGAAAGGCAATGTACGACGTGCTATAGAGAAGTGATTTTCAAAAACTTTTTACTGTACCCAGAGTAAGAAATTTATTTTTACTTTGTGACCTACCTATATGCAACATATATACTGAAACAAAAGTCTAAAAGAAGGTATCCTTATTACATGTGATGAAATAATATTTTCTATTCTATTTTATTCCATTCTATTTTGCTTAAGGAAAATGGCTGTCACCTCACTGAATTAGTTGGCTGTAAACCAAAGTTTGGAAAACAATATTACATAGCATTTGAAATGTGGCTGGTGCAACCAAGGAACTGAGTTTTTAATTTTATTTCATTTTAACTAATTTAAATCTAAATTTGAAGCGAAGCAGTGAAAGTTACTTTTCCATTAAACGTAACTCTGTTTGGTAGGAGTACATTTTACTTTAACAGCTGCAACACTAAGATATTATTATAGTGTGCATGCTGGGGCATGTGTTGTCTCTAGTATCATCATCCATCACTGATATTGGCGTCAATGAATGGATTCAGTTCTAATTATTTTTTTCTACACACTGATGTGACATGTGACATTGTAATTTGTGTATTTGAATATTTCCTGTAGAAAGAAGAGACCAAAAGAGAAGACGGCATGTTGCAAACTTCACAATGAACGGCAATTACAATTTGCTACAGCAGAGCAAAATAAAATGTCTGCTGTGGAAAAAAAGTTTAGAATAATTAAGTGAATAATATTAAAAGACATTTTAGCAAACACATGGTCAATTTTATAGACGTTTCTTTTCAGATCAAAAAAGAATCAAGAAAATTAGTTGCCTGAAATCAGAATTAAATGTCCAATGAACACTTAAATGATTTTTAACAGATCTGAACTAATAATTTGGCCAGCTATAAAACTGTTTGGATCCTTGTACAAAAAGAAAAGCATTTTAGATCAAGAGATGGTAAAGGAATTGTTTTTAGCTATGGAAATTTGTTAAAAATTACGAGGAAAAGAATAAAAATAGTATTCTACAGAAGTGTTAGATCTGCAATTAAGCCCCAAACAATGGCCTATAGAATGTAAGATCCTTTCTAACGATAGCAAATATCTGTTGATTCAAAATTTCAGAAACTAATTATTTATTTTTAACTTAGGATAAACAGTGCAATACAAGAGACATTGCTCAATGCATACTTTTTCAACGGTAAATTTAGTGATATCTGAAATATTCCACTTAATTCTACTGGAAATCAAGTATTTCCAGTAAAAATTTAATGTCCAAATTGACATGTGCTTTAAGTGCAAAATATCCACTGAATATCAAAGATGTTATGAATAACATATCTCATTAATAAGTTTTAATATTGATTACATGTTAAAATAATGTTTTAGATATGCTTGGTTAAACAATATGCTACTAAAATTGATTTTACTCATTTCTTAGAACTAATTTTACTTATTAATTTTACTTATTTCTAATTAATTTTACTTATTTTTCCTGTTAAAATAAGATTATTAAAAATTTTCAAAGATTTTTATCCCAAATATACAAAAAATTAAAACAAATTTTTAAAAATTTCAATAGCTTTTGGGGTACAAATGATTTTTGGTTACAAGGATGAATTGGATAGCGGTGAAGTCTGAGACTTTGGTGCACCTGCCACCTGAGTAGTGTACAGTGTACCCAATATGGAGTTTGTTACCCTTCAGTCTCCACCATCCTCTCCATTCTGAGTCTCCAAAGTCCACTATACCACTCTGTCTTTGCCTACCCTAAGCTTAGCTCCCACTTATAAGTCAGAACATACAGTGTTTGATTTTGCATTCCTGAGTTACTTCACTTAGAATAACGGCTTCCAGCTCCCTACAAGTTGATGTAAAAGCATTATTTTGTTCTTTTTTTACGGCTGAGTAGTATTCTATGGTGTATATACACTCATTTTCCTACTCATTGGTCAATGGGCACTTAGGTTGGTTCCATATCTTTGGAATTGCAAATTGTGTTGGTATAAACATGTATGTGCATGTGCATACGTCTTTTTCATATAAAGACTTTTCTCCTTTGGGTAGACACCAGTAGTGGGATTGCTGGGTTGAATGGTAGATCTCCTTTTAGTTCTTTAAGGAATCTCCATACTGTTTTGCATAGAGGTGGTACTAACTCACATTCCTACCAGCAGTGTATAAGCATTCCCTTTTCACCACATCCATGTCAACATCTATTGTTTTTTGACTTTTTAATAATGGCTATTCTTGCAGGGGTAAGGTGGTATCTAATTGTGGTTTTAATGTGCATTTCCCTGATGATTAGTGATGTTGAGCATTTTTTCCTATGTTTGTTAGTGTTTGTATGTCTTCTTCTGAGAAATGTCTCCTGGTCATGACATTTGCCCACTTTTTGATGAGATTTTTTTTTTCTTGCTGATCTGTTTGAGTTCCTTTGTAGATTCTAGATATTAGTCTCCTGTCAGATACAGAGTTTGCAAATATTTTCGCCCATTCTGTGGGCTGTTTGTTTACTCTGATGATTACTTCTTTTGCTGTACAGAAACTTTTTGTTTAATTAGGTCCCGTTTATTTTTGTTTTTGTTGCATTTGCTTTTGGGGTATTAGTCATGAATTCTTTGCCTAGGCCAATGTCCAGAAGTGTTTCTCCAACATTATCTTCTAGAATTTTTATGGTTTCAGATCTTATATTTAAGTCTTTGATGCATCTTGAGTTTATTTTTGTATAAGGTGAGAGATAGGGATCCAGTTTCATTCTTCTACTTGTGGCTTGCCAGTTTTCCCAGAACTATTTATTAAATAGGGTGTCCTTTCTCCAATTTATGTTTTTGTATGCTTTGCTGAAGATTAGTTGGTTGTATGTATTTGGCTTCATTTCTGATTTCTCTATTCTGTTCCATTGGACTGTCCCATTGACTACTTTTATACCAGTACCATGCTGTTTTAGTAACTATACCCTTGTAGTATAATTTGAAGTCAGGTAATGTGATGCCTCCAGATTTGTTCCTTTTGCTTAGGATTGCTTTGGCTATTTGGACTCTTTTTTGGTTACATATGAATTTTAGGATTTTTTTTTCTAATTCTATGAAAAATGATGTTGCTATTTTGATAGTAACTGCACTGAATCTGTAGATTGCTTTGGGCAGTATGGTCATTTTCACAATATTGATTCTTCCAATCCATGAACATGGAATGTGTTTCCATTTTTTTGTGTCATCTATGATTTCTTTTTATTTTATTTTATTATTATTATACTTTAAGTTTTAGGGTACATGTGCACAATCTGCAGGTTTGTTACATATGTATACATGTGCCATGTTGGTGTGCTGCACCCATTAACTCGTCATTTAGCATTAGGTATATCTCCTAATGCTATCCTTCCCCCCTCCCCCCACCCCACAACAGTCCCTGGTGTGTGATGTTCCCCTTCTTGTGTCCATGTGTTCTCATTGTTCAATTCCCACCTATGAGTGAGAACATGCGGTGTTTGGTTTTTTGTCCTTGTGACAGTTTGCTGAGAATGATGGTTTCCAGCTTCATCCATGTCCCTACAAAGGACATGAACTCATCATTTTTTATGGCTGCATAGTATTCCATGGTGTATATGTGCCATATTTTCTTAATCCAGTCTATCGTTGTTGGATATTTAGGTTGGTTCCAAGTCTTTGCTATTGTGAATATTGCCACCATAAACATACGTTTGCATGTCTTTATAGCAGCATGATTTATAATCCTTTGGGTATATACCCAGTAATGCGATGGCTGGGTCAAATGGTATTTCTAGTTCTAGATCCCTGAGGAATCACCACACTGACTTCCACAATGGTTGAACTAGTTTACAGTCCCACCAACAGTGTAAAAGTGTTCCTATTTCTCCACATCCTCTCCAGCACCTGTTGTTTCCTGACTTTTTAATGATCGCCATTCTAACTGGTGTGAGATGGTATCTCATTGTGGTTTTGATTTGCATTTCTCTGATGGCCAGTGATGATGAGCATTTTTTCATGTGTTTTTTGGCTGCATTAATGTCTTCTTTTGAGAAGTGTCTGTTCATATCCTTTGCCCACTTTTTGATGGGGTTGTTTTTTTCTTGTAAATTTGTTTGAGTTCATTGTAGATTCTGGATATTAGCCCTTTGTCAGATAAGTAGGTTGTGAAAATTTTCTCCCATTCTGTAGGTTGCCTGTTCACTCTGATGGTAGTTTCTTTTGCTGTGCAGAAGCTCTTTAGTTTAATTAGATCCCATTTGTCAATTTTGGCTTTTGTTGCCATTGCTTTTGGTGTTTCAGACATGAAGTCCTTGCCCATGCCTATGTCCTGAATGGTATTGCCCAGGTTTTCTTCTAGGGTTTTTATGGTTTTAGGTCTAACGTTTAAGTCTTTAATCCATCTTGAATTAATTTTTGTATAAGGTGTAAGGAAGGGATCCAGTTTCAGCTTTCTACATATGGCTAGCCAGTTTTCCCAGCACCATTTATTAAATAGGGAATCCTGTCCCCATTGCTTGTTTTTGTCAGGTTTGTCAAAGATCAGATAGTTGTAGATATGCGGCATTATTTCTGAGGGCTCTGTTCTGTTCCATTGGTCTATATCTCTGTTTGGTACCAGTACCATGCTGTTTTGGTTACTGTAGCCTTGTAGTATAGTTTGAAGTCAGGTCACATGATGCCTCCAGCTTTGTTCTTTTGGCTTAGAATTGACTGGGCATTGCGGGCTCTTTTTTGGTTCCATATGAACTTTAAAGTAGTTTTTTCCAAGTCTGTGAAGAAAGTCATTGGTAGCTTGATGGGGATGGCATTGAATCTATAAATTACCTTGGGCAGCATGGCCATTTTCACGATATTGATTCTTCCAACCCATGAGCATGGAATGTTCTTCCATTTATTTGTATCCTCTTTTGTTTCATTGAGCAGTGGTTTGTAGCTCTCCTTGAAGAGGTCCTTCACATCCCTTGTAAGTTGGATTCCTAGGTATTTTATTCTCTTTGAAGCAATTGTGAATGGGAGTTCACTCATGATTTGGCTCTGTTTGTCTGCTATTGGTGTATAAGAATGCTTGTGATTTTTGTACATTAATTTTGTATCCTGAGACTTTGCTGAAGTCGCTTATCAGCTTGAGGAGATTTTGGGCTGAGACGATGGGGTTTTCTAGATATACGATCATGCCATCTGCAAACAGGCACAATTTGACTTCCTCTTTTCCTAATTGAATACCCTTTATTTCCTTCTCCTGCCTGATTGCCCTGGCCAGAACTTCCAACACTATGTTGAATAGGAGTGGTGAGAGAGGGCATCCCTGTCTCATGCCCATTTTCAAAGGGAATGCTCCTAGGACCAGATGGATTCACAGCCGAATTCTACCAGAGGTTCAAAGAGGAGCTGGTACCATTCCTTCTGAAACTATTCCAATCAATAGAAAAAGAGGGAATCCTCCCTAACTCATTTTATGAGGCCAGCATCATCCTGATACCAAAACCTGGCAGAGACACAACCAAAAAAGAGAATTTTAGACCAATATCCTTGATGAACATCGATGCAAAAATCCTCAATAAAATACTGGCAAACCGAATCCAGCAGCACATCAAAAAGCTTATCCACCATGATCAAGTGGGCTTCATCCCTGGGATGCAAGGCTGGTTCAACATATGCAAATCAATAAATGTAATCCAGCATATAAACAGAATCAAAGACAAAAACCACATGATTATCTCAATAGATGCAGAAAAGGCCTTTGACAAAATTCAACAACCCTTCATGCTAAAACTCTCAATAAATTAGGTATTGATGGAATGTATCTCAAAATAGTAAGAGCTATCTACGACAAACCCACAGCCAATATCACACTGAATGGGCATCTATGATTTCTTTCAGCAGTGTTTTGTAGTTATTGTAGAGATATTTCACCTTCTTGGTTAAGAATATTCCTAGGTATTTTAATTTTTTTGCAGCTATTGTAAAGAGGACTGAGTTATTCATTTGATTCTTGCCTTTCTCGTTGTTGGTGTAGAGCAGTGCTACTGATTTGTGTACACTGATTTTGTAACCTGAGAGTTTACTGAATTCATTTATCAAATCTAGGAGTCTTTTGGAAGAGTCTTTAGGGTTTTTTAGGTATATGATCATATCATTGGCAAACAGTGATCATTTGACTTCCTCTTTTTCCAATTTGGATGCCCTTTATTTCTTTCAGTTGCCTGACTGTTCTGGCTAGGACTTCTAGTACTTTCGAACTGAAGTGGTGAATGTGGGCATCCTTGTCTTGTTCCAGTTCTCAGGGGAAATACTTTCAAGTTTTCCCATTCAGTATGATGTTGGCTGTGGGTTTGTCATATACAGCTTTTATTTTGAAGTATGTCCCTTCTATGCCTAGTTTGTTGAGGGTTTTTTTTTTATCATAAAGAGATGCTACTGAATGCCTTTTCTGCATCTATTATGATCATACTGTTTTTGTTGTTAATTCTGTTTATGTCATATATCACATTTGACTTGCGTATTTTAAACAATCTCTGGTATGAAACCCACTTGATCATGGTGTATTATCTTTCTGATGTGCTGTTGGATTCAGTAAGCTAGTGTTTTTATTAAGGATTTTTGTATCTATGATCATCAAGGCTATTGGCCTGTAGTTTTCTTTTTTGTTATGTCTTTTTCCGGTTTTGGTATCAGGGTGACACTGGCTTCATAGAATGAGTTAGGGAGGAGTCCCTCTTTCTCAATCTGGTTTTGGTATCAGGGTGATGGCTTCATAAAATGAGTTAGGGAGGATTCCTGCTTTCTCAATCTTTTGGAATAGTTTCAGTAGGATTGGTATAAATTCTTCTTTGAAAGTCCGGTAGAATTCAACTGTGAATCCATCTGGCCAATCTGACCATAACCTTTTCTTGGTTGGCAATTTTTAAGTTACTGAATCAATCTCACGGCTCATTATTGGTCTGTTCAGGGTTTCTATTTCTTCCTGATTTAATCTAGGAGGGTTGTATGTTTCCAGAAGTTTATCCATTTCCCCTAGATTTTCTAGTTTGTGTCCATAGAGGTGTTCATAGTAGTCTTGAATGATCTTTTGTATTTCTGTGGTATTGACTGTAACGTCTCCATTTTCATTTTTAATTGAGCTTAACTGAATCTTCTTTTCTTGGTTAATCTAGCTAATGGGGTATCAATTTTGTTTATCTTTTCAAATAGCCAACTTTTTGTTTTATTGATCTTTTGTATTTTTTGTTTCAATTTTATTTAGTTCTGCTCTGATCTTTGTTTTTTCTTTTTTTCTGCTGGCTTTGGTTTTGGTTTGTTATTGTTTCTCTAGTTTCTTGAGGTGTGACATTAGGTTGTCAATTTGTAATCTTTCAGACTTTTTGATATAGGCATTTAGTGCTATAAACTTTCCTCTTAGCGCTGCTTTTGCTGTATCCCAGAAGTTTTAATAACTTACATCACTATTACGGTTCATGTTAAAGAATTTAATTTTCATCTTGATTTCATTGTTAACCCAAAAATCATTCAGGAGCAGATTGTTTAATTTCCGTGTGTTTGTACAGTTTTGAGGGTTCCTTTTGGAGTTGATTTCTAGTTTTATTCCACTGTGGTCACAGAAGATACTTGATATGATTTTGATTTATAAAAATTTATTGAAGACTATCAGAAAATGTAAGATTACTTATGTGGCTTGCATTTTATTCCTACTGGACAGTATTACTGCAGCAGATGTAAAGACATAGATACTGCTTCTTGACCACAAGAAACTTACCATCTGGGGAGAGGAACCCAAGAAAAGAAAGAACCAATTTAGAGAGAGTTGTTGAAGAATCAATAAAAACTCATAACAACTACCTGTGAAAAAATTTCAAATGACAAAGTCTAGTGGTCCAACTGCAAATCATAATCAATAGTGGTATTTTATATATCCCAAGAATTAAATTCAGTACTGGGCATTTGAGCCTTCAAGAGTAGAGTTTAATCTAACTATACTAAGTTATACCAATAAAATTAAATAATATATTTGGTTTCTTAAAGTATGATCCTACTGCTCGTACAGAAAATGATTTCAGGTGATATGTGAATAATATTATTTATTTTATTCACTTTGTATTGACTACCACCTGCTTATTTTAATATGCCTTAACAAATACATAATAAGTTAAAATAATGTGCATATTAGGAAAAGTATAACACATAGAATTCATGATTTCACAGACACTATTGTATGATATGGGATTCTTTAAAAAAGAAAATTATTTAAGAAAAATAAAATATTTGATTTTTAAAACATTAAGCAAATAATAGTATAGGTGATATGTAGAGAAGGCAAAAATTATAGAAGTTTTTGTTTTTGGTGATTTTTCAAGATAGATTTCTGGTAGGAAATCTAAAATATTCAATTAGTATTTTATCAATTACTTACAACCTAATTAATAGGTTGCTGAAAAATTACTATCTTAAATTATTTTTTAAAAATCTGAAGTTACCTTGAAGGTGTCAGTCAAAGCCATCCAGTGACTCTCAGTATATTTACCTTAATAATCTACAAACGCTTCTCCGATAACTCAGCCGCTGGCTAGCTGCAGCAACACTGGGAGGAAGAGGAGGTCGGGGTGGGAAATAAGCTAGTGTTGCAGAAAATATTAAGCAGACAACTCCAAATTCTGAAAGAAAAAAATAGGTAAAATGTTAACCAGGAAACACAAAAAGTTGAAGACTTCAAGTATTTATTTGTTTTTTGAAACAGGGTCTCACTCCGTCACCCAGGCTGGAATGCAGTGGCATGAACATGGCTCACTACAGACTTGACCTCCTGGGCTCAAGTGATCCTCCTGCCTCAGCCTCCCAAGTAGCTGGGACCATAGATGCATGCCACCATACCAGGCTAATTTTTATTTTTTATTTTTGTAGAGATAGGGTCTCACCATGTTGTCCAGGCTGGTCTCGAACTCCTGAGCTCAAGTGATGTTCAAGCCATTCTCCTGCCTCAGTCTCCCAAAATGCTGGAATTACAGGTGTGGGCCACCATGCCCGGCCTCTCAGGTATTTATTTATCTAACAAATATTTACTAAGTATCAACTGAGTCTGAGACGTATAGAGATAAGCAAAATATAGTATCTAGCCAAGATTGCTCAGTCTAGTAAAAACAAAATTGAATATATAAAAATATAAATTTCAACAAGTAATTGGTAAAGAGGTTATACTAACAATGATGTATATGCTGATACTATGGCACACAGATAAAAAGACTGAGGAAGTAAACAAATGTTGTCTTATGGAGAAAACATTAAAAGCCAACAGTACCTTACTATAAAAGAGATTGTGAAACAGGTCTAGGATGATTGTCTAATAAGTGTGGCATTCAGAAAAAAAAACTGGTAAGAAATAACAGGATAGGAGGTTTGTTTGATTCATAATAGGATAGTCTGATGCATTGTATAAGACAGACCCAATTTACAGACTGTATGGAAAATTTGAACAAGAAAGCATCCAAAAATAAGAGACCAAGAGACAGGGAATAGAATTTAAACACAAGACTAGCTAATGTAGAGTATTAAACAATCAGAAGTAAAATGAATACCCAAACAATCTTAATTTGTCCCCATTATAGAAGGGAAGGTTCTAGCATCCCAATCTTTCCCTCTATAATTCTGGCACTTGGAAGTTCCAGCTTTTGATAACTGTGTCCAATTTTGTAGAAAAGCACAGCCCTAGTAGAAAAGTCAGGAAACTTGGAATATAGACCTGTCTATGCCATTAATTAGCTTGTAATTTGAACAAATCCCTTAATCTTTCTAGGCCAATAAACAGATTGAATTTAGTGATTTCTAGAGGTCCTTTCAGTTGGATAATTTTAATTCTAGGGCTATATTCTTAGCAAAAAAGGACAACATTCCTATAAGACAATTAACCACAGATAATTCTGTTTAATTCAGTTAGAAATTTAAAGATTCCTATTTTTTTAAACACAAGATTGTTAGCAGATTCCTTTTTTTTCTTTCTTTTTTTTTTTGGTGTTTTCAGTCTGTTTAGTCTTTGTCAATCTAAGGAGCAACAAGAAGTTAATGAACTGTTCTAATTTAGAGTTATTTTAATTATTAGTAATACTGAATGAGCACCTAAAATATGCATATTGGCCACCTGTATGTCTTGCATGATTGCCTTATTCATATTCTTTGACCATCTACTGGCATTTTTGTAAACAACTTCACTGAGATATAATTCACATGACATACAATGCACACATTTAAAGTGCACAATCTAGTGGTTTTTCATTTACCAGCAGAATTGTACAATCATAACCACAATCAATTTTAGAATTTTTTCAACAACCCAAAAAGAAACTCTGTACCCATTACTCTCAATCTCCCAGCCCTAGGCAACCTCTGATCTACTTTTAGTCCCTATAGATTTGAGTATTATGGACATTTCCTATAAATGGAATCATATAATATGTGGTCTTTTATGACTGGCTTCTTTCACTTTGCATAATGTTCTCAAGGGTCATTCATGTTGGAGTATGTATCAGTACTTTAGTATTTTTTATTGTCAAATAATATTCCATTGCACAGATATATCACATTTTGTTCATCCACTTATCAGTAGATAGACATCTGGGTTGTTTCCACTTTTTCGCTATTATAAATAATGCTCATGTATACATTTTTACATGGGTGTATGTTTTCATTTCACTTGGATATATATCTAGAAATGTAATTTCTGGATTGTATGGTAATCTTTGTTTAACATTTTGAGGAACTGTGAAACTGTTTCCAATGCGGCTACACCATTTTACATTCCCACATATGGGAATGTATGAAGGTTCTAATTTCTCCACTTTCTTGCCAGTACTTTATTATTTTCCATTTTATTGATTCTAGCAATCCTACTGGGTGTGAAGTGTATCTTACCATGGTTTTGATTTGCATTTCCCTAATGACTAATGACACTGAGTATCTTTCATGTGTTCGATGAACATTTGTGTATTTTCTTGGGAGAAATGTGTTTGAGTCCTTTACCCACTTCTTAATGGCGTTGTCTTTCTGTTGTTGAGTTGTAAGAATGCTTTATATAATCTGAATATAAGTCCCTTATCAGATATATGATTTGCAATTATTTTCTCCCATTCTGTGGACTGTCTTTTTCACTCTCTGGGTTCTTTGAAGCACAAAAATTTTAAATTGTGATGAAGTCTAATTTATCTTTTTTCCTTTGTCACTGGTGCTTTTGGTGTCTTTTATAAAAAGGCTTCACCTAATCCAAGGTCATAAAGATTTACTTGTTAGTTTTCTTCCAAGAGTTTTATAGTTTTAGCTCTTACATTTAGGTTTGAGTTAACAACGGGGTTCAAATTCATTCTTTTGAATTTGGATATTCAGTTATTCCTGTACCATTTACTGAAAAGACTTTTTCCCTTATTATCTTGGGACCCTTCTGAAAAATCAATTAACCATAAATGTAATGGCGTTTCTACGCAGTATCACTTTTTTAGAATCTCATTTCTATTCTACTGATTTATATGCCTATCCTTATGCCAGTACTATGCTATCTTATAGCTTTGTAATAAGTTTTGTAGTTGAGAAGTCTGAGTTCTCCAATTTTGTTCCTTTTCAAGATTGTTTTGGATATTGCTGGTCCTTTGCATTTCCATGTAAATTTCAGGATCGCCTTGTCGATTTCTGCAACAAAGGCAGCTGGGATTTTTAAAGGGATTGCACTACATTTGCAGATAAACTTGGGGATATCTTCACAATATTAAACCTCCCAACATGAACATGGAATGCCTTTCCATTTATTTAGGTCTTTTTAAATTTCTTTCAACAGTGGTAGTCTTCAGATTATAAGTTCTGCACTTCATTTGTTAAGTTTATTCCTAAATCTTTTATTCTTTTTGATGCTATTGCAAATTGAATTGCATGTTAAGATTGTTCATTGCCAATATATAGACAATTGATTTTTACATATTAATCTTGTACCATAAAACTTTGCTAAAATCTTTTTTTAGATCTAATAGTTTTTAGTGAACTCCAGATAATTTTCTATATTCAAGATCATTTTCAACAGAGATATTCTTTACTACTTCCCTTACAATCTGGATATCTTTTGCTTTTCTTGTTCAGTGATACTGCCTAGAACCTCCAGCACAGTTTTAAAAAGGCATGGAAAAATGGACATCCTTGTCTTGTTCATAACCCTAGAAGTGAAATGTGATGTTACCTCCAGGTTTTTTGTTTGTTTGTTTGTTTGTCACCCAGGCTGGAGTGCAGTGGTGTGATCTTGGCTCACATTATAACCTCTGCCTCCCAGGCTCAAACGATTCTCGTGCCTCAGCCTCCCGAGTAACTGGGATTACAGGCATGTGCCATCATGTCCGGCCATTTTTCTTTTTAGTAGAGATGGGGTTTTGCTATGTTGGCCAGGCTGGTCTCAGACTTCTGGCCTCAAGTGATCCTCCCTTGTCGGCCTCCCACAGTGCTGGGATTACAGGCACAAGCCACTGTGCCAGGCCTCTTGTGGGTTTCCAATAGATGCTTTTTATTAGGTTGAGAGAGTTCCTGTCTATTCCTAATTCATTGATTGTTTCCAGTTCATTGAAAGGGTGTTGGATTTGTCAAATGCTTTTTCTTCATCTTTTAAGATGATCATGTTTTTTCCCTTTTATCTGCTGATATGATACATTCCATAAATTGAGTTTTGAATGTTAAACCAACCTTGCATTGCTGGAATAAATCCCATTTAGTCATGGTATATCATCCGTTTTATGATATATGTTGCTGGAATCAGTTTGCTAGTATTTTGTTCAGGACTTTTGTGTTTATACTCATCTGAGATTTGGATCTGTAGTTTACTTTTCTTATGTTACCTTTGTCGGGAATAATTTAAGAATCTCTAACTTTTTAAAATGACAATTCTAGTACAGTATTTTGAATAGAATGAAGTCCTGGGACAGTCTTTCAGAAAGGCAGATTGGCAAACATGAAAGCAATGAAGAAGTAACTGGGAAGCTTTGAGCAGGGGCTTCTGCTTGACTGCATGAGAACCATGAGCTGCATGTACTGCATTAATATATGCTTAACAGTGCTTAACATCATGTAAAAAATACAATCATTGCTTAGGTTTTCAATAAAAATAATAACATGACCAAAATAAAGTTTAAAACTTATGTTTCACCTGCGTTCAGTTTTATTTACTCATTTTTACATTTTTATTTTTTCTTTAAAAGGAATAAGTTGTGTAAAGGAGGTGAAATGCTTTATATACTGCTGCTACCCTTGCTTTCAGTTTTAATCCTTCTAAACCATATTTTGAAATGTAAATGTCATCAAATAACTCTCTGACATACAGTTCTTCAGAGTGTGGCCTTTGCCTACAATGTGGTGAACCTTAAACCCTTCAGGCCTGCTTAGAAGGTTTGCGTGGGGCTTGCCTTCCTCTCTAGCTTCACCTACTAGTACTCTCACTAGATCTAAGCCACTCTGGGCTTGAACGTACCAGGGTGTCTCCCTTCACTGGACTTCTCCTTTAAGTTTCCTCTCTACAGTGTAATCTTCCTGCCTACTGTATTTAACCATCGTTCTCTCATTCCTCAGGCTCTGATTTAGAAGCTGCATCTCCAGGAAGCTCTACTTTACCTCCAAAATCTGGGTTAGGTGCTCCTTCTCCGAGCTCTCAGAGCAATTGTAGGCCTTTGGTTTATAATACTCCCTGCTCTATTTTACAATTGTTTACCTGTCTGTACCATTCAGGACACTGTAAGTTCTGTTACACCAGGAACCATGCCTATCTCAGTGACTCACATAGTGACAGATACATAGGCGTTCAAAACATGTTTGTGAAATTTATAAGTGAACAAAAAAGTTAAAACAAGGTTCAGTATAATTGGGTCCCTTATCATTCCAGTCTCATTTTCTGCCACTTGTTACCCATACCCAAACACAAACATTTACACCACTCCAGCCATACTCAATTACTTGCAGTTCCCTAGACATACTGAGCTCTCTCATACCTTCCCTGCCTTTGCAGTTACTGTTCCCTCTGTATGGAATACACTAACCACTCAAACACTTGGTGAACTCCTACAAAATTCTTAACTTTAATTATTACATTCTTGTTGAAGCCTTTCCTGCCCCCTCAACTTCCCTACAAACCCAGGCAAGTTAGGTCTCCCAACCTCTGTATATCTCTACTTGTATTATAATTGTCTCATCGTTGACCTTACCAATTCCTAGTGCTTAGCACAGTGCTTGGCATATAGTAAACACCTACAAAAAGTGTTCTGAATGCAGAGGAAATAACAAACAGGGATATAGAGAGAGGGGCTATATCTATGAAAATCCGTAGGAGACTATACTATAAGAGTGGACCAGGGCTTGACTCTAGAAATAAAATAATTCAAAGAATATTTTAGAAAGGTCAGTATCCCTGATAACAGACTAAACATACAGAGAGTAGGAAATGAGGATAAACTGTAGATGATCAAGGTAAATAAGGTTACAGAACATGGCTAATAATGGAGAAACTACAAGGGAGAAAACGGGCTTAACACCTACCAACAGATAGATGTTTAACAAAAGGTTATTGTCAGTCATGACGTTTTATATCCTGATAAGATATCTAGAGAGGACATAGAAAATGTGTTATACAGTACTTAACCGTAAATAGATGAAAAGACTAAAATTAAGAAATACCCCTCCATGTGGCAATAATAAATTTAAAACTTAACTTCCTAGGAAGAGTGTTCAGTTTTAATTAAGCATCTCTATATCATATGACAAGGAATGCACAGTGCATGTAAATTTACATATTAGTCCTCTCAAGTATTTCATATGAAGGTATCTGTTATACAAAAAGTAGAGTGAAGATGATTGAGATAAAAGACAAAGTATAACAAGAAGAAAATAAACTTCAAATTACCTGCATATAACACAGCCTCTATGCGATCTTTAATATGCGCCCTGCTGCTCTCTGCAGCAAGAAGAGGTGATGTCCCATTGGGAGCTGGAACAACAAGTGGTCCAACTAAAAATGCACATGCTCCCCCAAGATAACTGAGCATTGATGCAATAGCTGTGGCTGTGGCCCTTTCATCTGCAGAAAACCACGTCGTAGAGAGAAATGGTGCTGCATTCATTACAGTTGGACCTGCCAATCCATTTAACATCTGTCCTCCATGAATTAATCTGGAATTTAAAAATTAAAAGGCTGTGAGGTATTTGAAACAGGCATTTTCTAAGACAAAAAGAAATGAGCCAAACAGCAGTTTTTAACTATGGCAATAAGTATACATATCTGTAAAGAATATGACATGCCTAAAAGACATGTTGATTTACCTTCTAAAACAGGTATGTTGACTCCCTATGAGGGAGGATCAAACATAGTAATAGTTACCATTTATTCATTTCACAAATATTTACTGTGACCTATGATTTGTGCCACACATCAAACTAAGTACTTCCTGTAAGTACTTAGAACCTTGCTTCATTTAGTTGTTATAACAACACTAAGTGGTAGCTATTATGATCCCCATTTACTGAGATGAAAAATCCTAGATTTGGAAAGATTAAGAAACTTGCCCAAGCGCTGACAGGCAGAGCTGAAGTTTAGATCCAGGTCTGATTCCAAAATCCATACTCCTTCTACTAGACTGCCACTCATTAACAGACCTACTAAGTGCCACCAGCCTTATAGTTGAGCTCAACATTTCATACCCACTCTTTGCCAAATGGTGGAAATACAAAAAATGAAAGACTCATTAAAATATCTTCTAATAGAAAAGGTAGTTGAGGAACCGGAGGACCTGGGTTCCAGCTGAGCTCAGGGCTAGCCCTGAACAATACCTAACTTTGTGGGGTTCCATTTCTTCCCTCGTGAAATGAGGAGATCAGCTGAAGTTGAATATGCATTTACGGAGCATCTGTTAGGTTAGGGTACTGTAATGACAGGACCACTAAGTCCCTTCCAGTTCTCATACTCTAATTCTGACTTTAATTGTAAGGGTTAATGAAAAGCAGTTTCTTTTTTCCATTCCATTTGTTCTCTTGCTGACCTTTTCCCAATATTCTCCTTAGCACTCCTGTTCCTTGTTGACCAACTCTTTTCTCCCATTACTCCCTCACCCCCAATATACACATTCACATTTAAGAGCTGCCTTGAAATAGAAAAGAGGCCAGAAGTCCAAAGAAAGCATAGACAAGAAAGGGAGATGTGTCGACCTCTCTTGCCCTGGAGGTAGAGGAAAGGGAAGGGACAGTACATGTGACATTTCATGATATGAACTCATCTTTTTCTTCTGCTTGTTTTGCTTTCTAAGCACTATGTGAGTCTCAAATCCTCTTTTTTTTTTTAAACTGCCATCTTAAGCCAGTTAGAAAAGTTTGCTGAATGCCGAAGAGAAAAATAAACAGGCACGTGGGGAGAGGAAGGGCCCTAATGTAGAAACAGAAGTGAGTGGGAAGTGAAATATGTGAATTAGGGCTGCCCATAGCTTCGTTATGTTGGAAAAATTATATGAAGGCAACATAGCTCCAAGTGTCATTGATATTGATATTACTAAATTAAAAAAACTCAAGACATTTAAAAATCTCTCTGTGTAAGGGGAATTATTTTCCAGATGACAGAAATAATTTAAACTGTTTATGTCCTCCAAAAGCCAGTGGAACCAAAGCTGTCCCACAGCAATTTTATTACAGAAATGTTCCAGCAATAACGTCATTAAGTGGTTTTAATCATTGCATGTGATGGCACAACAATGAGACAGTGTGTGATGACCCATAAAGTAACTGCTTTGATATTTGATACTTTTAATGAGGTATTAGACTCATGTCAACTAGAAGGCTTGGAATGAGTAAACTTTACTATGTCTAAAAATGTTAAGGGTAGAAGGAGAACATGGAAGAAATAAATCAAAAACAAACAAACAAAAAGACTGATAAGAAAGCAGGACTCCTGGCTGGGAACAGTGGCTCATGCCTGTAACCCCAGCACTTTGGGAGGCCGAGGTGGGTGGATCACTTGAGGCCAGGAGTTCAAGACCAGCCTGGCCAACATGACAAAACCCCACCTCCTCTAAAAATACAAAAATTAGCTGGGCATGGTGACGCATGCCTGTAATCCCAGCTACTCAGAAGGCTGAGGCGCGAGAATCACTTGAGCTTGGGAGGCAGAGGTTGCAGTGAGCAGAGATTGTGCCACTGCACTACAGCCTGGGCGACAGAGCAAGATTTTGTCTCAAAAAAAAAAAAAAAAAAAAGAAGGAAAAAAAAAGAAAGGAAAGGAAAGGAAGAAAGGAAGGGAGGGAGGGAAGGAAGGAAGGAAAGACGAGAGGGAGGGAGGGAAGGAAAAAGAAAGAAAGAAAGAAAGAGAAAGAAAAGAAAGGAAAGGAAAGACAGGAAAGAAAGAAAGAGAAAGAAAGAAGAGAAGAGAAGAGAAGCAAAGTGAAGCTCCTCATAGTTAAGGTATAAAACTCAAATTATTGCCATGGCTTAACTCTTTGTCACCTCTCAGTGGAATCACAAATAGACTATTACCCAAGCAGCAGAGTCTGACCTAAGAGTCAGAGAATGTGTGAGTTTCAGATAATTTAAGGGCCATCCAAATCCAGTTTACTTGACTCTTAGACCAGAACATTTCTCACTACGATACAGTACGTGTTAAAGTAGTATCCAAAGAAGGAATAGCACCAGGGACACTTCAGATGGGTTCTTGGTTTAAAGGTCCTTGAACTTGGGAGGCCAATCTAGGGCATATAAGTTAGAGTTAAAAACCATCTCAGGAATTAAAATAAGCTTATGTGGTGTTGCAAAGTTACTCCAATTTTAGATAATTACATGCTTTTGTATTAAAAGTCATCATACATACACTCTTCATAAACAAGCTCAGTAGGAGAACTAGTTATCCTCTGAATTCATGAGAAACCTGGCAGGGAAACCCAGTCCCACTCCTCCCAGCACTTTGTAGTTTTCCAGAACTTAGTCCTGCTCCTTCTGACACTTATATCCTAGCGTCCCTCAGGGTTCAGCAGCTTCTAATGTGTTACAACTGGTCATAAGCACTGTTGTCCTGGGGACTGTGATGTTACAGTAATCTGTAATATTAAGATTGTCATGTTTGCCTGACACTATTTTCTACCACCTACCATTAACAAACATCATTTTACGAAATAAATCTGTAAAAAGATATGTAAAAATAAAATTCTGCTTTATACATTAAGTCTAATTTTTCCATTTAATAGGAATGCAAATTAGAGATACATTTTTTCTGGAAAAATATTGACCCTAAGACATCATAAAATCATATGAACATTACCATAACCTCTTTAAAATGATAATAAAGGAAATAAAATAATTATAAAATGGTAACTATGCATTTATTACTTAATTCAACAAACATATATTGAGTAGTCACCATGTGTTGGGTAGGCACTGTGACAGGCAAATGAGAATGTAAAATTAAAAAGCTAAAGCCCTTGCCCTTAAGAATCCCTAAAAGTACAGTGATACTAGCACTGTAGCAGGAATATAAAGAAAAAGAAGGCAATAGTTAGGCCTTGCCCTATGCTTATGCTGCCTATGACAAGAGTACAGATGGAGGTCTCTGCATGTCCTTCTTCTCTTCTGACCTCTGGCCCTGGCCTATATATCAGGGCTTTGCATATATGCATGTGGAGCTGAAGGTCCAACTCCATCTAAGCTCCAACTATCCCCTCCAAACAGCTGCCCCTTAGCTATCCCTTAGGCCTAGGAAGTACACAGCAGGGATGCAGCCTACTCTTGGAAGAGCAGGCCTGGGAAACAGGCTTGTTGTAAGGCCTATTTCTGGGGTCTTGTGTAGCTAGTGCATAAGACTAGAGGGTAGAGGGCAGGGTGTGCACATCCCCTTGGCCCTATGAAATCCTCAACCCACATGGAAGGGCAAGGCTGAAAGAAAGCCAGAATGGGACACCCTCAGGCATGGAATCCAGGACAGGGACTCTATGGCATGGTTTAAAGTGGTACTGGCAACACAGTGGGGAGGTGGAGGGCGGATGGTCTGGAGAACCGTTAAGGTGATACAATATATATGGCAAGGAGAGGGGGTGGATACTGGAGGGCACCCATAACTCTGTGCAAACATCTAACATGTGGCTAATATAGGCCAGAAGCTAAGAAAAGCAGTCTGAGCTGAGAAATATAAGTTGTAGGTGGATTGGGGTGGGGAAGAAACACTAGAGAATAACAACATTTTAAAAATAGAGGAATGGGAGTCGAGCAAGATGATTGAGAAGGAGCCATTACAAGGCAGAAAAAAAGCAAAAGAGGAAAGACTGGTATCACGGCAACTAAAGAGAGACGAGTTCCAAGAACATAAGAGCAAGTGGTCAACAACATCACATCAAACAGAAAGATCGTTTATAATAACTGAAATGTAACCACCAGATTCAGCAAAGAAGAGGTCATTTGTGGTCTGAGTAGAAGCAGTTTCAGTGGAGTGTTCAGCATGGAAGTCAGACTCATGAGGAAATCGAAATCTAGATTTAGACTATTTCTAGAAGAAACAGATGCAGGAATAAAAATTAGCTATATAAGCTTAGCGAAGTGAACTGAAAAGAAAAAACATCCAGCTTAAATGAACAGTCTGAACTAAAAAGTCTCTCCACTTTCACACATTAAAAGATAAAATGCGACTCACGATTATCCTAATGCTTTCTAAGCACTTATGAAAGAAGCTGGCTCTCAGAAACTAGTACCTGTTGATCTGGGCTGACTATTAAAAACGACAAAGAAAAACGAAGGAGGGGGATTCATAATCTTCAGTACAGTGAAGTCAACCACACAGTTTAATATTAATTGTTTGTCATCATTACATGCCTCAGTTTTGTTTTGCTAGGTAAAAGTTAAGGTCCTTGTAGGTCAGGATCATGGCAGCAGTCCCCACAGGCCTCACTCCCATAGCGCTAAGGCAGTGTGGATGCTCTCGGGAACTCACAGACTGGGCCCAGTACAGGGACATGCAGTCACTGAAATATGCAACTAAACTGTGTTTCCAAAACTTCACAAAGTTATCCAAATGCATACATCAGATCAGTTCTATTGATAAATTTTAACAAGTTTAAATTCAGTAATACAAAAAACAAGATGACTAATATTCTCAAAATAAAGCTTTTAAAAAAAGATGTTTTAGGGTGCTTTAAAAGCAAGGCCAATGTGACATTTTAAAAAAGGATGTTTTAGGGTGTTTTAAAAGCAAGGCCAATGTGACATAACTGTCTCAAGCACAGTGGACTTGGGAAGGGTGGGCAGAAGTTAGGAGTGTGAGGAGGCAGTTTTGTCTTCTGGGCAATAAGCTCTGGAGCAGAAAGGCAGTTGTCCAGTAATGGACTAGTTAATTCAAGGGGTCTGACTCTTGCCTCCTTACCCGAAACTCCACACCTGATGAAAGCACGTGTATCCTCACAGTTAATGGACTGCATTTCTCTTGCACCTCTGCAGGTCAAGCTGTGAGAGATCTGTCAGGAAGCAGATGTGTGCCTCCTCCTTCAGCCCAGTCTCCTCATACTGACTCCTTAACTCTCTCCTGTTTCTCCATCCACCTCCCAACCCACGGCCCCCAACTCCCTTTTCTTCCCTCTTCTCTGAAGTCTTTCTCCTTTTCCCTTTTTTTCCTCCTTACCTAGCCTCTGTCTACTTCTGAAGCCTGGCTCATCCCATCCCCACAAGCCAGATGGAAAAGTGAATGAGAGAGGGTGTATTAGTCCATTCTCTGCTGCTAATAAAGACATACCCGAGACTGAGTAATTTATAAAGAAAAAGAAGTTTAATGGACTCACAGTTCCACATGGCTGGAAGGCCTCAGAATCATGGTGGAAAGCGAAGGAGGAGTAAAGGCATGCCTTACATGGCGGCAGGCAAGACAGTGTGTGCAGGGGAAATGCCCTTTATAAAACCATCAGATCTCACGACACTCACACACTATCACAAGAACAGCAGCATGGGGGTAACCACCCCCGATTCAATTACCTCCCACCAGGTCTCTCCCACATGTGGGGATTATGGGAACTACAGTTCAAGATGAGATTTGGGTGGGGACACAGCCAAACCATATCAGAGGGGAACTTCTCCTGCATTGGCAGAGCAGGAATGGTGGAGACTAGAGAGGGAGACCTGGTGCTGCCCACTAGCATCAGCACTGCTGAGACTTCTAGCCTGTGGCAGGAATAGGAGAGGACCCAGCCAGGCTCAGCCCCAGGTGCGCTGCAGAGTCCCACTGCCCTCGATTAGTGCCCCTGCCCACAGAGGACAATGCCTGCAGGGGTGCGTGGGATGGAGCTGGTGCACAGCTGCATTTCTTTCTGTATCATTCAATTGACTATAGCTTTTCAGACAAATGCCAATAGCTGAAGTTCAAATTGAAGATCTACAGTTCACATCTTCTAATGTAGTTGACATTTTAGCTTGCATTTAATATTCTGGTATCCTAACCTTTTGCTTTCTAATATCCTGGAAGAAATACCTATGACTCCTAAATTATTTCTACTTAAATAATATGATGTTTTAGAATTAAAATCTTTAGAGCCAGAAGTGACTTCAGACCTCACCTAGATAACCCAACCCCTTCCAGAAAGTTAATAACACATGTAAAATCACATTTATAATTTTATAACTTTCCTTTCTTTAAAAAGTATTGGAGGGAGCTCCAGTCATACAACTAGCTAATGGCTCAGCCAGAACTAGAAATCAAAATTATAGCTAATTTCATCAGTCCACAAATCTCTACTCTCTCACATGATCCCATTCTGAAGGTTCTCTGTTAATAATAAAAAAAATTACTGATTGTTAAGAAAATCCAATGTTCCTTAAATCCAAAGGCACACAGTACAGAATATTTTTATTCTGTTAATCAACCTGCTTTATAAACCTCTAGTTTATTATGACTAACATTGATGCTAACATTCGAGTTGGCTTTTTAGAAATCTGGCAGATACTTCCTCAGTGCTATTCTAGTATTCAGAATTTAAATTCTATATATTTTTAATATGAAGTAATTTAGAATACATAAAAATACTTACCTCCAAAACTCATTAGGTCAATAGTTCAGAAACTTTCTCCCAATTCCTAATTATGCCATATCAAAATAAACTCTTAGCTCATATTCTTTAAAAAAAAAAAACTTTAAAAAAAAGTCATGTGTTTATAGGATTTTTTTGATGTTGAAAATGGCAAAAGTGCTGGAAATAGTTTTCCTTTATTTAGCCCAAGAAAAGGTGGGCAATAAAGAGGGTTAGAGATGTTATGAATTAACTACAGGAAAAAGGAAGACAGGAAAAGAGAAATAGAGGTGGTGGTGGAAAAGTAATGAGCATTCCAAAAACTTTGGTATCACAGCCTCAGTTTTCTTTCACAAAAATCTATTTTATTTTTGTATCCTTTATTAATTTTGGTCAATAATGATTCAATTAAAAATATCTATTGAGTATCTGCTATGGTCAAGGCACCTGCAGCTAGGCACTAAAGGGAATATGAAGATGAACATTACAGTCTTGGCCCTAAAGAAGCTTTTAATAACTTACCAAGTACCAGCTATAGAAAATACATAAAAAAATACAGTGAAAATAATATTAGATTAGCTATCACAGGGCTTAGCTTCTAGTCTTAACTAAATTTATTAACCATATAATCTTTAGAAAATCACATTCTCTTTCTGTTTCAATTTCTCCAAAGATACTTTCTGTCTCACAGGATTTTTTTTTTTTTTTTTTTTTGAGGCAGGGTCTTGCTCTGTCTCCCAGGCTGGAATGCAGTGGCACGAAGGCAGCTCACTGCAGCCTCGACCTCTGGGCTCAAGTGATCCTCCCACTTCAGCCTCTCAAGTAGCTGGGACTACAGGCACACACTAGCACACCTAATTTTTAAATTTTTTGTAGAGACAGGGTCTTGCTATGTTACCCAGGCTAGTCCTCCTGGCCTCAAGTGATCCTCCTGCCTTGGCCTCCGAAAGTGCTAGGATTATAGGCATAAGCCACAGAGGCTGGCCTCTCACAATATTTTTTTTTTTGGGGGGGACAGAATCTCACTCACTCTGTTGCCCAGGCTGGAGTGCAGTGGTGTGATTTCAGCTCACTGCAACCTCTGTCTCCTGGGTTCAAACTATTCTCCTGCCTCACCTCCTGAGTAGCTGGGACTACAGGCACACCCCACCACGCCCGGCTAATTTTTATATTTTTAGTAGAGATGGGGTTTCACCATGTTAGCCAGGCTGCTCTTGAACTCCTGGCCTCAAGCAATCCACCCACCTCAGCCTTCCAAAGTGCTGGGATTACAAGTGTGAGCCAACAAGCCCAGTTTCTCTCACAAGATTTTTATTAAGGTCATATACAATAATCTCTCAGCAATGCACAGGGGAAAAATGGCCTTAGTCCTGGTCTGAAAGATGTCTACCTCCCCTCATTTTGTTTCATTCCTTGTTTCTTGTCACATAACTTTTATTTTGTCTTTTTGTTTAAGAGTATATATTAATACATATTCATAGTAGAAAATTTTGAAAAGAAATGCATAAAGAAGAAAAAAAATCATCTATAAATGGAATACCCCAATTCAGACAACCACTACTAATATTTTGATTTTCCAGTCTTTTCTTCAGTTTTTTTCCTAATGCATCTCTCACTCTCTTGATCAATCAATACTTAATCGTACATAGGTAACCACAGATACCATACTGAATATACAGCTTATGCACTAAGTCATTTTATGGTCTATCAAGCATTTTCTCATTTCATTATTCTTTATAATAATTGTTAATGGTTTTGTGATATTATATTATACAGATATATAAAATCTCATTTAACCATTTTCCTAATGTTGGATAGTTGTTTCCAACAACTTATTTGCTAATATTAATAATGCTGGTGTGACAATCTTTGTATGTGAATATTAGCTACTTTCAAAATTATTTTAGGGTCAGTAAGTTAAAATGTGTGAACACTCTAGATCTTAGGAAATATACTCGCAAACTGTTTTTCAGGAGGATTAGTAGTAATTTACATTCCCATCAGTAGTAGCTGACAGTGTCTGCTTCATCAGCACAGAGCATCACTATTTAAAGATACATGCACACTGGGCAAGGTGGTGCACACCTGCAATCCTAGCACTTTGGGAGGCCAGGGCAGGTGGATCATGTGAGCCCAGGAGTTTGAGACCAGCCTGGGCAACATAGTGAAACCCTGTCTCTACAAAAAAAAAAAAAAAAAAAAAAAAAAAATTAGCTGGGTGTGGTGGCACATGCCTGTAGTTCCAGGTACTTGTGAAGCTCAGGTAGGAGGATTGCTTGAGCCCAGGAGATTGAGGTTGCAGTGAGCCACAATTGCCTGGGCAACAGAATGAGACCCCATCTCAAACAAAAAAATCAAAGAAAACAATAAATAAATAAATAAAAATACACACACACACACTCTCTCTCTCTCTCACACACACATGCAAAACTTGGTGACTAGTTTCCTAGTCCTGCTATAACAAATTACCACAAACTCAGTGGTTAAAATAATACATACGCGTCATCTTACAGTTCCATAAATCAGAAGTCCAACATGGGACTCTAGGGCTAAAATCAAGGTGTTGGCAAGGCTGGGTTCCTTTCAAGAGGCTCTAGAAGAGAATCTGTTTCCCTGATTTTCCAGCTTGTAGTGGCCGCCCGCATTCGTTGGCTCAGGGCCCTCTTCCTCTGTTTTCAAAGGCAGCAACTGCAGTTGCTGGAAGATGCAAGAAAACATTTCTCTGACTTCTTCTTCCTCAAATCTATCTACCTTTCTCTTTATGATTTTCCTTTATTTTCATGCTTGGAAAAAATATCTTTCCCATGTGGAGATCAGATAAATACCCCCATATATTGTTTCTCAGCTAAATATTTAACCATTTTGTTTATTTGAATTTATTTTGACACATTATATGACATGAGGATACAAAATGGTCTTTTCCTCCCAAATAGGTAGCCAATTTGCCTGTGGTAGAGATGATTAACTATTACCCCAGGGTCATTCTGTTTTCCTTTTAGTTACAGAAGACCTTAAGTTTTTGCAGGAGTAAAAGCGCTCCTCACAGATAGCTGGGGCCTTGTTATTACTAAGTTCAGGCCAATGAGATTAGAGCAGGGGGACCTCAAGGTCACCTCCATGAAGACAGAACTGTTCTCCCTGCTCTGCTTCTTCCTGTGGGTGCAATGTGACCACTGTGCTGATGAACTGGCTGTTGACTATACTGTCAAGGTCATCTCCCTGGGGAGAAGGTAACAAGATAGAGGGAACCCAGGTCCCTAGACAACCTCGTAGATCAGAACTGCTACCTGCCCTGGCCCACCTGCTTACTCTGGACTAATAATAAGAAAGAAATATTGTCTTGTTTGAACCACTCTATTTTGAGATCTCCTCATTATAGCAACTTAATTTGTCCTCTAATTGAGAAATTAGCTCAAGAATTGGGGTGCTGCATTCACAAAGGCACAACATATTGGCACTGACTTAGTGGTCAGGCTGTAGGCAGAAAAGGCAGGTGACCTGTGGCCGCAGCAATACCACTGCTTGTGATGACCTGGGATTTGCTGGAAAAAAATCAGAACATTACTCTGTGTTTCTTGCTCCTTACTGAGTGTAGGATGGCACAAGAGAGATATAAAGAATTAGCTGGTTTGCAAGCAGAGATGGAAGGGACAAGAGCTCTGCTAAGGGAGTTTCTCTGCCCGAGGCCTGCAATATAAATTTAATGAGAATCCAGAAATTTGAAGCCTCAGGTTGCTTCTGAATCCAAATGGCAGGAAATAAAATGTGCTTCAGAGCCAGTCTAGCAGCAAAAATTAGGTTAAGGGTGATATTTTCCTTCCCAGGCCTACTTTTTTCAGATGGCATCAATGTGGATACCACTAAATTGAGAAAATCTGGGATGGGTACCCAAGCTGGTAAAGTAAAGAGGAGATTCAACAGGTATAAGAACCATAAGCAGAAGGAGAAATATTTTGGCATGGCTACATTTCCATGGAACCTACCTGATGTAAATAGACCAAAAGACTATTAAGCATTTGAGGGAAGCGTATTGCCAAGATACTACAAAACGCTTCTACCAAGGATTAAGACTGCTTGATCCCTAAAGTAATCTTCAGGTTCCCAAATCAGCATCAAGCAGAAAGTGAAATGTCCAACAACCACTTCAGGTGTGGTCACTGGGAATAATGGACCAAAAAAAGAGCTTTCCAGAGGACAAAGCCAAAAGCCACAAACAATAATCAAAGAAATTACTTTCAGAGAGCCACAAAGATCTGATAGAGCCCAGAGATTCTGGATTTTGAGCTGGATGCATTAATTGGACAGGACTTTGAGTTTTCTCCATTGAGGAAGGATGAGTATGTTCTCTACATGGGAAGAGGGGAGTGCATGGACACATGGAGGCATCTGACAGCAGAGACTCCTAACTGTCTCTGCCTATTTATTCTCCCTTTCTTTGTTTTGGTATGGCATCCTTGAGTTTAACTACATACATTGCTGCTGAGCTACTTTTCCAACCTCTCTTCCAGATCCATGTGGCCAAGTTTTAAGTCTGCAACCAATGGGATATGGCTAGAAATGACACAAACAGGCCAGGCATGGGGGCCCACATCTGTAATCCCAGCACTTTGAGAGGCCGAGGCGGGCAGATTACTTGAGGCCAGGAGTTCAAGACAAGTCTGGCCAACATAAATAACCTCATCTCTACTAAAAATACAAAAATTAGCAGGGCATGGTGGCAGGTGTCTGTAATCCTAGTTACTCAGGAGGCTGAGGCAGGAGGATTGCTTGAACCCAGGAGGTGGAGGTGGCAGTGAGCCAAGATCATGCCACTGCACTCCAGCCTGGGTGACAGTGAGACTCCATCTCAAAAAAAAAAAAAGAAGATGCAGTCACCTGCCTTGGATATCCCACTTACCCTCCTGTGGGCTGGAATGACAGCATGATACAGACAATAATATCACCCTAGGAGATGCTGGAGCAACAACAGAGAAGGGGCCTAGGTCCTGGAGGACCTTTCAGAACAAAGCTGCCTACTTCCCCTGAATAGCCCACTATTGTTTAGACCAGGGGTGTCCAATCTTTTGGATTCCCTGGGCCACACTGGAAGAAGAAGAACCGTCTTGGGCCACACATAAAATACACTAACACGAATGACAGCTGATGAGCTAAAAGAAAAAAAAAAGTCACACAAAAAAACTCACAAAAAAATGTCACACAAAAAAATGTTTTAAGAAAGTTTACAAATTTGTTTTGGGCCACATTCAAAGCCATCCTGGGCCGCATGCATGCCACAGATTGGACAAGCTTGTTTTAGATTGTTCCTTGAGAGAAAAATGAACTTCTACCTTATTGAGCCTCAATATTTTTGGTTTGTTACACAGCTCAGTCTGTACTTTACTAACATATACATATGCTGTCAATAAATGTTGACTGTTGAATTATACATTTAAATGATGAAATCTGAGAATCAACAATTGTTAGCCATGTCTACTATGTCCATTTTTCTATTCAATTTTCAAAAATGCTCATGTTACTTATAAGTTATCTATTATATTTGCAACACATATTTCTCCCAGTTTGCATTTTAATTTTATAATCTGTTTTGAAGCATAAAGCTGGAAAATGTTGTCAAAATGTTAGCCTAACTCTAACCTGAAAACCCAAATCACAAATCTTTCCCTTTGTGATTTGTGTTTGTTTTTGTTTTTGAGACAGGGTCTTGCTCTGTGGCCCAGGCTGGAGTGCAGTGGCGCAATCTCGGCTCACTGTAACCTCCGCCTCCCAGGTTCAAGTGATTCTCATGCCTCAGCCTCCCAAGTAGCTGGGATTATAGGAATGCACCATGCCTGGATAATTTTCGTATTTTTAGTAGAGACGAGGTTTCACCATGTTGACCATGCTAGTCTTGAACTCCTGGCCTCAAGTGATCCACCTGCCTTGGCCTCCTAAACTGCTGTGATTACAGGTGTGAGCCACCACTTTCATTGTTTTTATGCTTGGGAAATAAAGCAATGTCTTTAAGATTCATTTTCCCTTATCCTGTCTCATTTTAAATACACAGCTCTCCAATCCATCAGGAATATGTTTTAATGCATGGTGCAAAGTAAGGATTCATTTTTTTAAACTAATATGTAATGAATTTGCAAAAATACATAAACTTCTATTTAATAAAATATGATTTTTCAAATAATCCTGATTTTTTAAATTATATGTTAAATTGTTATCAACATCTGCCTCTAGCATATTTTGTTCCTCTAATCATTTTGTTGCAGATAAAGTTTTAATTGTTTGCCCCTTTGGTATTAAGCGGAAAAGAAATCTAAGGCAAATCCTTATTTCAAAGAAAAGAATAAACATTTGCAATAGGTTTTGAATATATTCTTAATAAATTTCAACTCGGTCTACTTTGAAAATTCTATCCATTCATGATTGTGATGATATACAGGAGGGAGAGAGAGGATTATGAGCAGGAAGGGGCACGCAGGAGACTTCTGGAGTCTGGGCTGAGTGACGGCTACATGGGTATCAGTCTGATGATACACATGTATGTTGTATATACTTCTCTGTATGATGTACCGAACAAGAAAAAAGTCAATAAAAAATTCATAAATGACATTGTGGGCCCTTGGAAAAAATGTCTCATAAATAACCGTATTTCAAAAACAACAAAAAGGTTAAAAAAAGAGTTTTCCAAAACTCTAAAGACAATTTTACACAGCTTTTTTTTTTTTTTTTGAGACAGAGTCTCGCTCTATCGCCCAGGGTAGAGTGCAGTGGTGCAATCTCAGCTCACTGCAACCTCCACCTCCCGGATTCTCCTGCTTCAGCCTCCCGAGTAGCTGGGATTACAGGCAAGCGCCTCCACGCCCGGCTAATTTTTGTATTTTTAGTAGAGACTGGGTTTCACTATGTTGGCTAGGCTGGTCTTAAACTCCTGACCTCAGGTGATCCGCCCGCCTTGACCTCCCAAAGTACTGGGATTATAAAGGCATCACGCCCTGCCTTTACACACCTTTTACTCCCTTTTTTTCCCTCTTAAATGCTTATCATGACTGGTTATCTTTTCTTACAAATCTTTCTTAAGTCCACCTGACCACTATGCAGACATAGTCATGAGTTTTACTTGCCTTGAGTTGCCTTGAGTTTTAAGAGTCAAATTAAGGCAAACAGATTTATTAAATAGAGGCTAATCCTTAATCTGCTTTAAAATAAGACATTAAATGTATTGTGTGATTATACTGTAGGATGGACAAGCATAAAGGTATTTGTTTAATCAATTACTATTTAAAGTGAAGATGGGAGGTAGTTCTCAAATTTAAATGAGTATAAGACTAGGGAACTAGGAAAGTAGTTCTCAAATTTAAATGAGTGTAAGACTAACTAAAAGAGCTTGTTAAAACTGCTCATTCTCAGGGTTCACTCAAGAGCCTAACTAAGTGGGACTGGGTTGGAGCCCTGGGATCTGTATTTTAATAAGCAGGAAATCTGTGAATGATATTTTAGAAGACACTGATATAGGGGAATCTGAATCTTCTGTATTTTACTGAGAAAAGTCTTAGTTCTTAAATCTACCAATTGCTCATTTTTACATCAAAAGATTTACATTTCTATGCTGGGCAAATTTATAACCCTTCCTTCTCTTTACTTTTCCTATTATTAAGGCTCTGAGGTGGTGATTTTAGTTTTACTTAGCTAGTGCTTTCAGTTAAAAAGGTAATATAGGCTGGGTGCAGTGGCTCACACCTGTAATCCCAGCACTTTGGAAGGCTGAGATGGGAGGATCACTAGCACCCAGAATTTGAGACCAACTCAGGCAAAATATTGGGACTCTGTCTCTACAAAAAATTTAAAAACTAGCCAGGTGTGATGGCACATGCCTGTAGTCCCAGCTACATGGGAGGCTGAGGCAGGAGGATCCCTTGAGCCTAGGAGTTTGAGGCTGCAATTAGCTATGATCACACCACCACACTCCAGCCTGGGCAACAGAGTGTTTCCAAAAGAAAAAAAAAAGCTAATATATGCACATGGTAAAAATATTCCCAAAAGTAGTAAAAAATAAAAAGTAAATGTCCTTTCCACCTCAGACTTCTATTCCTCAGATGCTCTTCCCAGAAAAAACCAATGATACCCTTCCCATTTTTTTCCAAGTAAGAACATACTAAACATAATATTCTAAAGTTTGCCTTTTAACTAAACAATATATTTTGGAGATATTTTCATATTAGCACTTATAGGACTTTTACTTCCTTTTCATGGTGCAATATGATTCCATGATATACTGCATCCTAATCAGTTCTCTGCTGAAGGCATCTGGGTTACATCCAGCCTTCTGCTATTACAAGCAAAGCTGCACAAACATGGTAATTCTTGCAAACTGACAGAGCTTTATATGTGGGCTAATTTTCTATAAGTGCAAATATAGGTGTAGGTTAAAGACATGTATATTTGAATCTGGTAAATACTGCCAAAGTGCCCTCCAAATAGGATGATGCCCCAAACTGCTCACACATCAGCAGTGCCTGTTTTTCCCCACATCTCAGGCATAGAACATTATCAATTTTTTTCATCTTTGCCAGTAAATAGACATCTGTCTGCTATTTTAATTTTCATTTATTTAATTATGACGAAAGCTGAATATTCTCCTGAGTTCTCTCGAGTTCTCAAGAAAGAATTCTCTTGAACTTCTCTTGAGTTCATGCCATTTATATTTCAACTTCTGTAATTGCTTGCTCATATCCATTACCTATTTTCCTATTGAGTTGCTATTTTTCTTATTGATTTCAAAGAACTAAGGAATTACTCATTTGTCTTACGGTTGCAAATATTTCCCAGTTAACTCATCTTTTGACTTTGTTTTATAGTATATTCAATCATAAAGATAATCTAAATTTTTACATAGTCAAATATATCAAGGCTTTCTTTTATGGCTTCTGGGACTTGTGTCTTAATTGGAAGGTCCTCTCCACCCTCAGATTCTGTAAAACAGTCATGTTCTAATACTTTTATGATTCATTATTTACATGTAAGTCTTTGATACAGCTGGGATTTACTTAAGTGGTAAGGGAGGGATCTAGGTTCTTCTTCCTGTTTATTCAGATAGCTAAGCAGCTGTCACAAAATCAGTCACTAAACAATTCACCTTTTTCTGTTAGGGTCATTTTAAACATAATCCTGCCAGCTGCAAAGTATTTCACAATGGAGTATATTTCTAGAAAATCTATGTTTACTAGAACCAAACTATTTAATACATGTTGGTAAACATTAAGTATTGTTAATATTAATGAAAATTACACCGAACTGAAAAGATAATGTGGCATGTGTTGCACATGTTTACCTACGTAATAAACCTGCACATCCTGCACATGCATCCTGGAACTTAAAATAAAATTTAAAAATATACATGGCATGTGTTACAGGAATCACTGGATACACCTATGATTACGAGCAGATATAACTTACTATAAGTTCACCCTTCAGAAGTCCTTAAGTTGTTTACTGGGAAAGCAATATAATAATATTTCACACTATAGAGTAATAGCGCTCATTGCAATAGAGTGATGGCTTTTACAATTTTTTTGGGGTATTATTTTGTTCGAGATCATAGAAGAAAAAATGCTTTATAATTTGTTATACCAAGTTCCTTATTTATCTAAGATGTTATAAGAAAAACGTGGCAAAATAATTTTTTCCTGAGTTTTCATCAGTACTATGCAAATAAAATAAATACTGATACTATATATAAGTAGAACACCATTAGGAAGAGCTTGTCAGAATGCTGCTATTCTCATGTCTTGATACTTAAGGGAGCTAAGATACAGGAAGTCAAGGGTGCAGGGGAGCCATTCCAAAAGGCTGGGTCAAAAGCTCAAAAAGCTCCGAGTGAAACAAGGCCACAAAAACACAGACTTGTAAATGCTTGTTTCAACACTGGCCTTCCCTGGAACATCGGATGGAGACTGAAGCTTAAAAGTGATGGCTATACACCTGATTTGTTGAAAATACATGTTCCAATTGTAGCATTTTCATTTTAACAGCTTCATCATGCATTGTTAACAACACTGCTTAAAAGATATGCTTAAAGACTACGAAATGAAGTCTTATTTCAAGGGGTTAATACTCCTGTATTCTTTATAGATGAATGTATAAGATTGAAAATTCAATTTATACACTCTTTTTATGAAAGATTCAATCTCTGAACTTTTTATTTCTACTTCTTACCTGTTCTACATTTGTTTACATTTATTTATGAATTGTTTCTTTTTCATACCACCTTCTCCAACAAGATGGAGGGTCAACTCTATTATTCCCAGAATTTTGTATATGGAAAGGATATAAAGGGATATGAGACTGGAGGCAAGTAATAGTATGGATGGCCCAAAACAGAAGAAAAACTAGCAAAAATATTAATAGGTATTTTTTTTGAGATGGGGTCTCGCTGTGTTGCCCAGGCTGGTCTCAAACTTCAGGCACAAGAGATCCACCTGTCTCAGCCTCCCAAAGTGCTGGGATTACAGGTGTGGGCCACTGCACCTGGCCTTAATAGGCATTTTAAAAGAAAGCAGTGTTGAATTTAAGCTTACATGAAAATCTGTACTTAAAATCTGTGGATGCTTGAAAAAACACACCTCTGGGTGTTTGAAAAATTAAGAGCATCTCAAATACAATAATGAGACTTGTGTTAAAATCTAACTGAGAAGGATGGAAAATTATGACTAGCTTTCCATAGGAACCTAGATGATTGTCTTATCTCCCTTTTCAAACATGAACCCTTGTACCCTAAATTTTCTAGAAAGAAAACACATTTTGAAATTCAAAACTGAACATTTATTTTGAAACTGAAAAATTCTGTTCCAAAAGAAAGTCAACATCTTGTCCCTGAAATCCACTCTCCCCCACTTCTGTGTTCCCCATCTGTTAATGGAATCAACAATTTCAGAGTCCCTCGAGTGAAACTTCCAGCATATCACCTCCCATCTCTTTTTCTCACACTTCCCCTCATGTCTGTGCCATCCTTTCCATTCCCCCAACTTCCCACAGCATGGAATCATTCTGGACTCCTTTCTCTTACTTCCCACATCTGGTCCATCAGCAAATGGACCAGAATATAATCAGAATATAATTACATTTTGAATATTCAAGATGATCAGAATTTGACCACTTCTCACCACTCCCACTGCCACCACTATGGTCCAAGCCACCATCATCTCTCACCTGGTTTATTGCACTTGTTTCCCAACTTTCCTTACTTATGCCCATGACCTCAAGCTTCAGTCCATTCTCAAAGGAGCAGCCGAGCACCATGGCACTCTCAGCTCAAAACCTCCAGTGGTTTCCTAGCTCAGAAAAAGCTGAGGAGCTGACGTGGTCTTAAAGAATCTGGTCCCACCCTCCCACTACCACTCTGTAACCGCTCTGACCTCATTTGCTACCTGCTTTTCTCATGCCACACCAGCCTCCCTGCCAGGCATCCCTGTCCCTCTTCCACCCTGAACTCTTGCGGTTCTCTCTGCATATAATGCTTGATTCCTAGATACTGCATCATCCATTACTTCTGTCAGGTTTTTATCCCAAAAGGTTATCTTCCCAGTTAGGTTTTTCTTTCTGAAATCTCACCATCCTTTCCTCGCCTTTTCATATCCTTCTTTCCTATTTTGTTTTACTCTCCATAGCACATACTATGTATTTTACTTATTTATCTAGTTTATTGCTGGTTTCCCTGAGTGGAATGAAACTACATCACAAACATAGTATGTCATGTAATGTACATTATATAGTAAATTACTATGTACTATGTAATATACTATGTAATTTACTACATTACATAGTAATTTTTATCTGCTTTGTCTTCTGTCATATTCCCAATGCCCACAAAGAGGTTGGCACATAGTAGAAGCTCAGTGAATTCTGTTGAATGAATGAATGACCTAATAAATGAACCAACAAAAGAATGACTTCAGCTTGGGGTCCCACTGTATCTTTCCAGGTCTTCTGCCAGCAATCTCTACCCCTTATAATCAAGCCTACATATCTCAATCCATAGTGAATATAACATAGGTCTGATACTAGCACTCCTCTGATTAAGAGCCTAAGGGGTTTTCCACTATCCAGTGAGTAAAGTACACTGTTAATAATACAGGATGGCATCAAGACCCTTCAGAATCAAAATATAACCTTCTAACCTCATCTTTTTATATCCCATTCTTACACCTTAATCTGTAGACCAGTATCTCTCGAACTTGAGTAATTTATGGGTCCTTCTGAAAGGGAAAAAATTTCTCAACGACTCTCAAGGTCACATTCAAGGACCCCAGTCTCGGAAACACTAATTTAAGAAATTAACATCCTGGTCAACAAAAATACCTTTTTATTGCAGATTATTACTGGTAAAATAATACTGTATCATAACCAATATAAAAACAAAATTTAAAACCTTCGTATACCTTACACTCCCTAAGAATAAATCCACGGTCCCAGTTGCAGAAAGGCTGCTATATACAAATAAGACTACCTATCCACCCCAGAAAAGGCCTATGCTTACCTGCCTCCATGGCTTCACTCTTGCTATTCCCCCATCCTGGAATACCCTTCCCCTGACTATAGTTACCAACATTCTACTCATCATTCAATGCCTAGTTTAATTACCACCACCTTTATGAACTCCTCTTTTTGATACCCACAGCCAAAACTTCTCCTAGTCTCGAGGCAATTTTGTATTTCTTCTGTAGCATTAACTACACTATATATATATATAATATGTTATATTATTATACTTACAAATGGTATGTTATACTATTATTTTCACATGATTATTATTGTTCCTGGACAATATGAAGATTAACTTGCTCTTTTTATTTCCACAACAACTAGTGTCTTCCATGACAACTGATAAATATCAATTAAATTAATCATCATATAGAGTAAAAAAATAAACGCTTCTATAAATATGACCCTTTACTGATCTTCTTAAAAATTTATACACATAATAAAATGAAAAATGGGGGAGAAATGTTATTTACAGGATTTACCTTCTTTTAAGGATTAAGTCTGATATAGGTATGCATCTTAGACCAGTTCCCAAAACCATAAGGAAGGATGTCAGGAGCACAGTTATCCGGAGACCTAAAATGAAACAAAGACATTGAAATTATCTTGATTTTCTCCTAAGTCCAATGTTAAAAATAAAGATTATTTTTAGTCAATCATACTGACATTATATGCTAATATTATGGCTTTTCTGTATAACTTTAAAAATGGAAAAAAAAAAAAACAACGAACCCTACATGCTGAAAATGAAATGATGGGCTGGGCATGGTGGCTCACACCTGTAATCCTTGCACTTTGAGAGGCCGAGGTGGGCAGATCACCTGAGCTCAGGAGTTTGAGGCCAGCCTGGGCAACATGGTAAAACTGTCTCTACTAAAAATAAAAAAATTAGCCGTGTGTGGTGGATTACACCTGTAATCCCGGCTACTCGGGAGGCTGAGGCATGAGAATTGCTTGAACCTGGGAGGCAGAGGCTACAGTGAGCTGAGATCACACCACTTCACTCCAGCCTGGGCGACAGAGTGAGACTCTGTTTCCAAAAAAAGAAAAAAGAAAATAAGATGATTCTAACTTTAATGGAAAATAGGAATGTTCATATCAAAGATGGAGGAAGAAGTTCTATTAGCTCTAATTTTTCAAAAGGAATGTCTAAAATGTTCCGTTCAGATATAATACTTAAAAATATGGCAAATAATTTTCAAAGACTAGATATTTTAGTTTTATATCTCTAATAGAAAAATCTGAATTTTCAAATGTAAGCTGCTAATAAAAAAAAACTCTTAACTGTCCCTAAAAAGTATTTTAAGGTGATAGAGTACTGCCTTAACTTTTCTCAAAACTGACAACTAGGGAACTACATATTTCATAATCAGAACAAGCTAAGGTTGTTAAAGCGTCATAGGAAGTGGTCCTTTAGAACTCTCTGATTATTAATATAATCACAGTCTTTATTTTTTTCTTGATTTATCCGATGGTTTTCATTATAGAATAATGCTTAATAATGTTAAAAAAAATCACGGCTTAGGACTTTAGAAGACAATGTGGATCACATAGTTTTTTCCCCTTGTATTCCAAACACAACAATTACTTTGAAAATGTGTGTCAGTGGTTGGTCACACAGAGGGCAAAGTATACAAATACAAAAACAAGATAATCAGAAATAGACAACAATATTCTAGCTATGGCAGAATAATCTAACAGAACTCTATCCTCCTATTGTTGGAATGCTACGCCTCTGTTAATACTAAATTAACATATCTTACTGTTTGTGGCAGCCACATCACACAGGTGGTTCATACAAAGTCTATGGCAAAGGTGGCCACATTGCTTCAAATTTTTCCCAAATCCAACATCACCTTGAAACCACTTCACACAGAGAATAGACATAAACTGACTGATGTAATATTTCTTTTTTTCCAGGGCTCTCTCCTCTCTTTTTGCAGAGGGTACATGGTTAAATGTTTGGTTTTTAAAGAGCTACTCTCCTTGAAGAAAATTGAAAGTCAACAAGACTATAATTATGCAGATCAAACATAGCAAAGAAAATAAACTTGAGATCCAGACATGCTACATTAAGGATAATTTGTGATATGAACTGAATTACTTTATAATATTCTTATATAATCTGGATATGATTAATACAATTTACCAGAAGGAATACCATAGGGAACTGTGCTTCTTGGTAACAAGTAATGCATACATACTGCTCATTTACTGCTTCTACTAACAGAATACAGACTTTAAAAATCACATTATAGCCACAGGAAACAGAGTGCAATTAATGAAACGTACATACATGGTCATAAATATCCTAAAATCACAAAATGTTGCTCTTACAAGGATATACTGGGTACCCTACGAGATACTGAATAGAATTTTTATAGGTTGGGGACCATAGGCTTACATTCTACATGATATTTATTTTTTTCTAAAGAGTTTGTTTTTAATTAAGGTAAGCAGACACTAAGCAAGCAGTGAGGCACTGTTTATGGCCATATGGTCCAATAACCAGGCTTCCTATTGTTACTGCTGAAGGCTACCATACTTTACTCAGTTATGCTTTTTATCAAATATTTAACAATACAACAGCTAATATAAACTTTTAAGAGTAAATAAATTGTGAAAAACTGCTTATTAAAGCAATCTGTGGCCAGGCACTGTGGTTCACGCCTATAATCCTAACACACTGGGAGGCCAAGGTGGGAGGATCCCTTGAAGCCAGGAGTTTGAGATTAGCCTGGGTAACATAGTGAGACCCCATCTCCACAAAAATACAAAAATGAAAAATAAAGCAACCTCACAAGTACAGTGTGGTGGCTTTCTTGTGTATTTTTAATTGCTGCCAAGTGTTGTTTAATCTATCCCAGCTGATGATCTTGAATAAAATGCTTTCCTCATGTCACTCACATCCTGACAAGGCATAACTCTATAATTCCATGTAATCAAAAAGATATCAGCTCATCAAGGGAAAGGAGTTATGAGGACCCCAGGAGAATAGCCTAATATAGTTTGGGTATTTGTCCCCACTCAGGTCTCACGTTGAAATGTAATCCTCAATGTTGGAGGTGGGGCCTGGTGGGAGGTGTTTGGATCATAGGGACAGATCCTCATGAATGGCTTGGGCCATCCCCTTGGTGATGACTGAGTTCTTGCTGAGTTCACAGGAGATGAGATCTGGCCCATTAAAAGTGTGTGGCATCCCCCTCCCCGACTTTCTCTCTCCTGCTCCTGCTTTCACCAAGTGATGTGGCTGCTCCCCCTTCACCTTCTGTTATGATTGTAAGCTTCCTGTGGCCTCCCTGGATGATGAGTGAATGCCAGCACCATGTTTCCTGTAAAACCCGCAGAACCATGAGCCAATGAAACCTCTTTTCTTTACACATTACCCAGCCTCAGGTATTTCTTTATAGCAATGTAGGAACTGCCTAACAGATTGGCTTCTGAGACATATAGGACTGTTATATAAATAGACCCCAAGTGATTACAACAGTAATAGGATGTAAGTGTAAAAGCCATCTGTGAACAATTTCAGAAAAACAAACATCATTGAAAATAAAAATATTTCTTTTCAAACATGGCATCCAACATTCAGAATGCTTCCTTTCAACAGATGTGATAACTCCTTTTGCTGGGGACCCATTGAGTGTAGGAATGGAAATCTCCACAGCAGATGTCTAAAGAATCAGGCTGCAGAGTTGACTAAATCCCTCCCCCACAACCCACACACCCATAGTGGAAGCATGGAAAATCAGCAACAGGCACAGAGCTCACCTGGTAAGACCACCCTCCCGTGGCTCCACACTTCCATCAGCTGAAGTGAAGATGAGCTCTGCTGGCTCCGGGGCAGATCCCCTTTTCCCTGCTCATAACCCTCACAGCCTTGTCACCCCAATCTGCCTTGGAGATTGTCAGAACTAATGACATCATGCCTGTTTTTCCTGTTTAAATCAGACACAAAAGATTCAAGATTCACAGGTCATCTTTATCCTGATATGGCTTTATACATCCCCTAATGAGACCTCATCTCTTCTTCCTACCTCCTCAACTCCAGAAACCTTCCTCTGTGCCTTCTGGAGTGCTCAGGCATAATCACTGGAATCCCTACCTTCCTGAAGCTCTTCTCCAAACATTCTCTCTACCTTCTTACTCCCAGAGAAATCCCTTACATTGCTTTCCCTGCCACTTCCAGATCATTCCTACTCTCTCTGCCCACAAGTTACCTGGTCTTTTTTCTCTCCATGCTTTTAAGGATTTCTCTTTATCACTGGGTTTAAAGAAGTATGACCATGATGTGCCTTGGTGTAGGATTCCTTATGGGTCTTCTGCTGGGATTCTTAAATTTCTTAGATTTGTGGGTTTATAGAAGTCATTAAATTTGGAAAATGTTCTGCCATTATTTCTTCAATTTTCTTGCACCACTCCATCTCACTCCATGCTCTCCCTGCTTACTTCTCTCTCTTTTCCTTATGAGACTCCAATTACATGCATATTAGGCCACTTAAAACTGTCCCACAGCTCACCGATACTCATGTTTTTTGTTTGATCGGTTTTAGTCTTTATTTCTCTGTGTTCCATTGTGGACAGTTTCTAGTGCTATATACTCAAGTCACACGACCTTTTCTTCAGCAATGTCTAGTCTGCTGTTAAATCCTGTCCAGTATATTTTTTTCATCTCAGACATTGATTATATTTTTCGTCTTACACATTGATTACATTTTTCATTTCTAGAAGTTCAATGTTGTTCTTTTTCTGTCCTCTTTGTCTCTCCTTAATGTGCTCATGCTTTCTTTCTTCTATCTTCTTGAACATTTGTAGTATGTTTGCAGAGGTTTTTCCATTCCAGGTCTTGGGAACATGAACTATTCCCAGCCTGTGTGATCCTGGGGAACTGTTCTGCCTGCTCTTTTTTGGCAGTCCTTCCTCCAGTCTTGGCTAATTTCCTCACATGTATCCTCTGATCAGTTTTCTGCTGAAGACTCAAGAGGAACACCCTGCAGATCCAGAACATTCTCTGTAAAGTTTCCTCCTCTGTTGTTTTATACCTTAAGAATTCTAGCTATGTTGGCCTCTTTGAATTCTCACCTCCGTCTCCTCAATTCAGGAAAACTGCTGGGCTCTGACTGAGCTCCCCATTTCTGTACTCCTGCCTGGAAATTCTCTCTGGATGGTAAACTGAAGCAGTCATAGGGATCACTGCCCTGTCCTGCCCTGCCTGTCGCCCAATGTTTGAAAACCATTGTTTTACATATTTTGTTTTATTCTAATATTTATTTATTATTATTTTTTAGAGATAGGGTCTCACGATGTTGCCCAGGCTGGTCTTGAACTCCTGGCCTGAAGTGATCCTCCTTTCTCAGCCTCCCCAGTAGCTGGGATTACAGGTGTGCTATGCCTGGCTCATGAAATTTATTTAGTTCCATATATTTTGATTTCTTATTTTTCATTTTTAATTAAGACAGAAGGATAAATCCAGTTCCCGTTACTCCATCATGGCCAGAACAGCCTTTGGTCTAATTTTTTCTGACTAATACCCACTGCTCCTTGCTGTGGTTGTCTACAGACCACCACACACCTGCCTCCAGGTCATTCGCCTTCACTGCTTAAAGATGTCTTGGCTCATTATTACTCCTCAGGACACTACTCCTTTCATAAACTTGGTGATTTCAATATCCACTAGATGATCCTTTCAGTATGCTGGTCTCTCAGATCTCTGACCTCTTGTTCCATGGTCTGAGGTACGCTCTTTTCCCTACCTCTGCCATCCATGCTTTTGGTTATACTCTGACCTTATCTTTACCACAACTACATCCATGTCATAATCTCAATTTCTTTTTTTGTTTTTGAGATGAGGTTTCGCTATTCATCTGGAGTGTAATGGCGCGATCTCGATCTCAGCTCACTGCAACATCCGCCTTCTGGGTTCAAGTGTTCTCCTGCCTCAGCCTCCCGAGTAGCTGGGATTACAGGTGCCCACCACCAGACCTGGCTAATTTCTTGTATTTTTAGTAGAGAGGGGGTTTCTACATGTTGGCCAGGGTGGTCTTGAATTCCTGACCTCAGGTGATCCACCCAACCTGGCCTCCCAAAGTGCTGGGATTACAGGCCATAATCTCAATTTCAAGTACCCCATTCCTCAACCATGGCCTCCTCTCTTTCCCTTTCATTCCCTCTAGTAGTCTAACAAGAACAAATTATTGATTAAATACGGAATGACAATTTGGGAGCTTGCTACTTCTTCTCAACCACCTCATGTGTTTCCTTTGTCCTCCTTAGATTCCATGGTCCACTGTCAGATTGCTCTCTACCTAACCCTCTACTCTTGGCCTGTACTTGTCAGTCCTATTCACCTGGTAAAACTGCAACTCTGGTTAAATCTCTCTGCCAACTCTGCCCATGCCTGTACTTGCCCAGCAGAACAGGCTGGAGGGAAACACACAACCATGCTGACTGGTCTGACTTCAAATTAATAATCAGTCACTGAAAGCAGGCCCTCAGTGCTACCCAAGAATCCTACTACAATTTCGTAAACCATGTGTTCTCCATTTTTCTATAAAATAGTTTCATAATTAATCCTCTCTCCAGTAACTGTTCCCCTATTCTCCCTCATCAGGGGATCATTTTGTTTCTTATTTTTCTGAGGGGAAAAAAGCAAAGATAACTTCTACAAGCTCTTATCATCCACCATCTGCACCTTATGTGTATACTCTATCTTCTTTCCCGTTACTACTAAAGAATCAACTGTCAATGCTTCTATCTAAGGCCAACTTGTCTACCTGTGCCCTGGAGGACCACATCCCATCTTGCCTACATGGCTACAGCAGTTCCTCCCTTTCCCTCCGGCATCATCAATTTTCCCCTTTTTATAGAACTGTTAGGATGCTGCATTAATAGATATACTTTAATATCTCTTACCAAAAAAAAGAAAAAACAAAACAAAACCTAAACCTCCTTAGTACCCACATTCCCTCTGGCTACTGCCTATTTCTCTGCTGCCCTTTATGGCATAAATTCTTGAAAGAAATTTCTACACTCACTGTCTTTGATTCCTCTTGTTACATTTTATTTCAAACTCACCACATCATTCAAGGGAGATGATTCTTTCAAAGGACACCAAAAGATCTCGATGTTGCTAAATCCAGTGCTCTATTCTCAGTCCTTACTAGCTGGTTCTTTCTTATCTCCCCAACCTCTGAATGTTGGAATGCCCCAAGGCTCAGTCCTCTACTCCAGGGAAGCTCCACCCTTCTCCACAGGTGATCTCACCCAGCCACAAGACACTTTTTATATTTTTCTTTTTTCTTTTTTTTAACCAATAAGAATGAGCTTGAACCAGCCCCATTACTTTAAATACCATTGTAGGCTGACAACTCCCAAATATACTGCACAGGCCTCTCCCCTTAACTCCATACTTGTATATCCAATTGACAGTTTAATCTGTCTACTTGGGTATCTAATAGGCATTTCAAATCCCTCATCTCCACGCCATCTGCTCCAAAATTGCTCTCTCTACCATCTTACACAACTTAGTAAATTGAAGCTGTATTCTCCCTATCAGTAATACTAAAAAGTTGAGAAACAGCTTAGACTCGTCTCCTTCCTTCACGCTCCACATCTCATCCATCAACAAATACTGGTGAATCTACTTTCGACACATATCTGCAATCTAACCACTTCTCAAATCCTCCACTACTATCACCTTAGTCAAAAGCCATCATCAGCTCCCATCTGGGTTATTCTACTAGCCTAACTTGTCTCCCTGTTCTGGCTCTTGTCCTGAAGACAAGAGCATAGTCATCGTTTTACTCTTCCACTTAAAGCCCGTCAATGGAGTGAGCCCTCCTCACTGGATAATGGCTGAGATGCCATTTAAGAATGATTTACAGGGCCCTGTATCTCCTGGCCTCTCACCACCTCTCTGACCTCATTTCCTACCACTGTTCCCCTCAGTGGCTCTACTCCAGTCACAAAGGCCTTATTGCTCTTTCTTGGACATGCCAGACAAGTTTGGAATCTTTATCTTTGCTATTCCCTTTGCCAGAAACAGTCTTCTCCAGAACTAACATGTCAGGTGTCATTTTTCCTTCAGGTGTCTGCTCAAATACACCTTATCAGTGACACCTTCCCTAAAACCTTATGTAAAGTATGATACCACTCTATCACATTCCCTTCCTCCTTTACCCTGCTTTATTTTTCTCCAAAGCAAGTATCAATATCACTAGGTGACATACTAAATATTTGCTTTTCTTGTTTGCTGTCTGGATCTCCTTACTAGGAGGAGGGTCTGTGAGGGCCATGTCCCCAGTGCGTGGAACACACTGGGTTGCTATCTCCTTGAAACTTCCTTTAGTTAGCTTCGAGGGCACACTTGGTCTTGGCTCTACTACCTCTCTGGCTAGTCCTTTTCTGTCTCCTTGCTGGTAAATGAAAAAGGGTGGGAAGGTACAAACCCATTTTAGGAAGATAAACAGTCTCCTAGGCTAATCAGGCTGGGGCGTGAGGCAGCACAAAGGCCAAACAACCACCTACCCCCCAGGGTGCAAGATATTTTGGTGCCTTGCTTGAGCCTAGGAGTTGAAAACCAGCCTGGACAACATGGTGAGACCCTGTCTCTGCAAAAAATACAAAAAACTAGCCAGGCTTGGTGGTGCGTGCCTGTAGTCTCAGCTACTCAGAGGCTGAGAATCACCTGAGCCCAGGGAGGTTGAGGTTGCAGTGAGCCAAGATCACACAACTGTACTCCAGCCTGAGTGACCAAGTGAGACTCTGTCTCAAAAAAAAAAAAAAAAAAAAAAAAAAAAGATATTTTAGTACCCAAGGATGCCAGAAGCAAGAAAGAACCTGCTTTCTACGTGCGTAGATGGAACACCTGTAGCAGGAAAGCCAACATATAAAAGTGTATTTGCTTTCTTCTACTAAAAATGAAAACTACTTCCTAATAAAGAGAATTTTTAAATGTATTTTTTATTGCTTCAACCAAAGGAAAATATAAAATTGAATTCACCATATAGTCACAAGAACTACTGAAGAACTAAAGTACCTTATTTTATAAAGTGAATGGGTAGTTTCTAATTTATCCTGCCATGGATAGTAGGTACAATTATAATAAGAAGGGTGCAAATTAACATTTTTCTACCATAAAAAACAAGGTTGGCTAAATTTGGGGAATAATATTGAAAAATGCTCCTGATAAAAATAAAAAGAAACTATAACACAGCATTTTCCCCTGAATTTAGCCAACCTTGTTAAGGGAATGACCAAGGAATTATCACAGATTGGAGGAAACTAAAGAGAAATTACAACTAAATGTAACAGAGGACCCTAGACCGAATCCTGGAACAGAAGAAAAATACATCAGTGGAAACAAATACAATCTTTTTTCTTTTTAAAAAAATATTATTGTAACATTGATTATAGGTAAAGTACTACTTTGGGTTTGTTTGTTTGTTTGTTTTGAGACAGGGTCTCATTCTGTCACTGAGGCTGGAGTGCAGTGGAGCAATCATAGCTCACTGCAGCCTCTACTTCCTGGGCTCAACTGATCCTCCAGCCTCAGCCTCCCCAGTAACTAAGACTACAGGCGCATGCCAACATGTCTGGCTAATTTTTGTATTTTTTGTAGATTTGGAGTTTCACCATGTTGCCCAGGCTGGTCTCTAACTCCTGGGCTCAAGTGACCCACCCGCCTCAGCCTCCCAAAGTGCTGAGATTACAAACATGAGCCACTGAGCCCAGCAGAAACCCAGAGAAAATCAATATTTAGTTTAAAAGCAAACAACAATAACCCAAAGAAAATCTCCCTTTGGTAGGAGAAGCCCTTCTTCGGCATCTAGCACACATCCTCTGCAAAAGTATTTGCTCTAGCTGGAAGTTCTACAGCAGTCAAGACACACCCATTCAGGGCTGGGTATCTTTGTTAGAAGGTTCTTCCTTGTATTGCTTTGAGTTACATTTCTTTGTAACTTGACTCAGTCTAGTTCTTCCTCCTAGAACAACACATAAGTCGAATTCCTCTTTGACTTGATCTTCACATAGTCTATATCTTGCCTCAAGTTTCTTTTTGAAGTGTGATACACACAAGTTCCCTTCATTTTACACATCATGATTTTTATACCCTTTATCATTCTTGTCGCAGAACCTTTAAAGTTCTGCAGTTTGTCAAATGGCCTTCTCAGAATCAAGCTCAGAACTAAACACTAATGTAGAGCCTATCAAACTATTTTGCTTCTTGTTTTGGACACTATGTTTCTATGCCTAAACTGTCCTTTCTTTTTTAGCAGCTACATTATATTGTTGATCATTAAGGAATTCACAATCAACTATTCCTTAGTCTTTTTCACATGGATTCCAATGAAGGAATTCCAGTGAAGGAGGAGAGAAGGAAGTATAACTACTAACATCACCCTGCTATTCTATTCTCTTAATAACCAACTAATTTTGAGTGCTAACTACATGCCAGACAATTGCAATTCTATACCTACCTACACTTGACTTTTGCTGAGGTCTGAATGTGTTCCCCTCAAATTCATATTTTGTTTATGTATTAATTTTTCTGAGACGAGTCTTGCCCTGTTGACCAGGGCAGAGTGCAGTGGTGCCATCACAGCTCACTCCAGCTTCGACCTCCTGAGCTCAAGCAATCCTCCCACCCCAGCCTCCCAACGTGCTGGGATTACTTGAGCCACTGCGCCAGGCCTCAAATTCACATTTTGAAATCTTAACCCTCAAAATGATGGAATAAGAAGGTGCAGCCTTTGGAAGGTGATTAGGTTATGAGGGTGGAACCCATGTGAATAGGATTACTGCCCGTATAAAACAGACCTCAGAGGGATTCCCTAACCCCTTCTTCCATCTTATGTTATAGTGAAGAGACCACTGTGTAGGAAGCAGGCCCTCACCCGACACCGATTCTGCCTGAGCCTTCATCTTGGACTTCCCAGCCTCCAGAACTG